>NC_000007.14:67355263-67658294 GCF_000001405.40 Homo sapiens
AGAAAAGATAGATGCGCTTAGGCCGGGCGCCGTGGCTCACGCCTGTAATCCCAGCACTTTGGGAGGCTGAGGTGGGCAGATCACGAGGTCAGGAGATCGAGACCATCTTGGCTAACATGGTGAAACCCTGTCTTTACTAAAATACAAAAATTATTATATTTTTGTAGAAATGTGGTGGCAGATGTCTGTAATCCCAGCTACTTGGGAGGCTGAAGCAGGGGAATCACTTGAATCTGGGAGGTGGAGGTTGCTGTGAGCCAAGATCACACCACTGCACTCCAGCCTGGCAACAGAGCAAGACTCTCTCAAAAAAAAAAAAAAAAAAAAAAAGAATAAAGAAAAAAGAAAAGATAGTGGCTCACGCCTGTAATCCCAGCACTTTGGGAGGCCGAGGCGGGCAGATCATGAGGTCAGGAGATCGAGACCATCCTGGCTAACACGGTGAAACCCTGTCTCTACTAAAAATACAAAATATTAGCCGGGCGTGGTGGCGGGCGCCTGTAGTCCCAGCTACTGGGGAGGCTGAGGCAGGAGAATGGCGTGAACCTGGGAGGCGGAGCTTGCAGTGAGCCGAGATTGCACCACTGCACTCCACCCTGGGCAACAGAGTGAAACTCCGCCTAAAAAAAAAAAAGATAGATACGCTGTTTTTTTCTTTTTTTTTCCACACTAGAGTTTTATACTCTTCTCACATAGTTTTGTTCTTTTCAGTAAAAGTAATTCATTAAATCTAAACCTAGCTGTGATGGTTTCTTGTTTCTTTGCAGGATGTATTTTGTTTTGCTTGTTAAACAAGTAACTCTACAAATCGGAAAACGTGCCTTGTCAGTATACCCCAGGTATGGAGTTTTCGTTGATCAAATATGGTCCCTGGAGGTCTGTTTAGGGACCAGGCAGGGTTTTTTTTCTAGCACTTTGTAGGAGCAAAGAACCAAGGCCAGGGCTGGGCGCGGTGGCTCACACTTGTAATCCCAACACTTCAATGGGAAGACCACTTGAAGCCAGGAGTTTGAGACCAGACTGGACAACATAGCAAGACCTCATCTCTACAAAGAAATTAAAAATAATTTGTCAGGGCCAGGTGCAGTGGCTCACGCCTGTAATCCCAGTACTTTGGGAGGCAGAAGCAGGTGGATCACCTGAGGTCAGGAGTTCGAGACCAGCCTGGCTAACATGGCGAAACCTCTACTAAAAATACAAAAAATTAGCTGGGCCTAGTGGCACATGCCTGTAATCCCAGCTACTTGGGAGGCTGAGGCAGGAGAATTGCTCAAACCCTGGAGGCAGAGGTTGCAGTGAGTTGAGATTGCGCCACTGCACTCCAGCCTGGGGGAAACAGCAAGATTTGGTCTCAAAAAAAAAAAAAAAAATTAGGCATAGTGGGGTGCACCTGTAGTCCCAGCTGCTTGGGAGGCCGAGGTGGGAGGACTGCTTGAGTCTAGGAGTTTGAGGCTGCAGTAAGCCATGATCACACCACTGCACTCCAGCCTGGGTGACAGAGCAAGACCCTGTCTCAAAAAACAAAAACAAACCACTAGGACTAGAGCTTTCGTGAAATGGCCTCATCGTCTAGGGTGCCACCTGAAGTTCTCTGTCTCACGGCTGAAGAAATCAAGGGCATGAACTCTCCCAGGTGAGGTTAGAGCAGGAGTTTAATAAATGAAAGAGAGAGAGATAGTTATCTGCCGCAGAGAGGGGTCCTGAAAAAGGGTTGCTGTTTCTTCTTCTTCTTTTTTTTTTTTGAGACAGAGTCTCACTCTGTCGCCCAGGCTGGAGTGCAGTGGTGTGATCTCGGCTCACTGAAAGCTCCATCTCCCAGGTTCACGCCATTCTCCTGCCTCAGCCTCCCGAGTAGCTGGGACTACAGGCACCCACCACCACGCCCGGCTGATTCATTTTGTATTTTTTTAGTAGAGATGTGGTTTCACTGGGTTAGCCAGGATAGTCTCGATCTCCTGACCTTGTGGTCCGCCTGCCTCGGCCTTCCAAAGTGCTGGAATTACAGGTGTGAGCCACCGCGCCCGGCCAAGGGTCGATGTTGCACAGGTGAATACAGAGGCTTTCTAAAGAAATTGATGAGAGGTAGGTGTCTCATTTGCATAAGGTGTGAATTTCTGGTCCCCGTCCTCCTAGTGTGCATGCGGGCCCTCAGCTTGAGTTACTCTCATATTGCTTTGTTCCCCATACTGCGCATGTGTCAGGGAATTGAATTTTCCATTGCAGGTATGTCTGGGCAAGTCTCTTGTGTGGACTTTTTTTTTTTTTTTTGAGACAGGGTCTCACTCTGTCTCCTAGACTGGAGTGCAGTGGTGAGATCTCTGCTTGCTGCAACCTCTGCCTCCCAGGTTCAAGTGATTCTCCTGCCTCAGGCTCCCGAATAGCTGGGATTACTGGCGCATGCCACTACCCCTGGCTAATTTTGTATTTTTAGTAGAGATGGGGTTTCACCATGTTGGCCAGGCTAGTTTCGAACTCCTGACCTCAGGTGATCCACCTGCCTCAGCATCCCAAGGTGCTGGGTCTATGCAGCTATAGGCACGTCTTAGGCAAGCCCCCTTGTGCAAGTTCCTTTGTCTGTGCCTGCAGGCTGTTCTTTCATTTGAAAGAACTCAACTGAGGACCCACCCTAACTGCCTGCCTGACTGGTTTCTTCCTTCCTCCTTTCTCACTGGCTTGGACTAGGCTTTGGAGAAGGAGACCATGGGGAGAAAGGTCAGGGGATTCTGTAACTGCCCAGTGGGTTCACCTTGCATGCTGTCTAGACAGGGCCAGTTTTTCATGACAGGGGAATTGCAATAGAGAAGGAGTACTTCATGCAGAGCTGGCTGTGTGGGAGACTGGAGTTCTATTATTACTCAAAGCAGTCCCCTGGAGCATTCGGGGAGCAGAGTTTTTGTTTGTTTGTTTTTGTTTTGTTTTGTTTTGAGACGGAGTCTCACTCTGTCAGGCTGGAGTGCAGTGTCACGATCTCAGCTCACTGCAACCTCCGCCTCTCAGGTTCAAGCGATTCTCCTGCCTCAGCCTCCTGAGTAGCTGGGATTACATGCCTGTGCCACCACGCTCGGCTAATTTTTGTATTTTTAGTAGAGACGAGGTTTCACCATGTTGGCCAGGATGGTCTCAATCTCTTGACCTCGTGATCTGCCTGCCTCGGCCTCCCAGAGTGCCAGGATTATGGGATTACAGGCATGAGCCACCACGCCTGGCCAAGGAGAGCAGAGTTTTTAAGGACTACTTGGTGGGTGAGTTGAGCCAGTGACCCGGGAGTGCTGATTTGTCAGAGATAAAATCGTAGTGGGTACATGCTGTCTTCTTGCACTGAGTCAGTTCCTGGGTGGGAGGAGCCACAAGATTAGATGAGCCAGTTTATCAGTCTGGGTGGGGCCAGCTGCTCTATCAAATGCAGGGTCTGTAAAATATCTCAAGCACTGGTCTTAGGAGCAGTTTAGGGAGGGTCAGAATCTTGTAGCCTCCAGCTGCATGACTCCTAAAACCGTAATTTCTAATCTTGTGGCTAATGTTAGTCCTACAAAGGCAATCTAGTCGCTTTTGTTTAAACTATAAACTAAATTTCTCCCAAAGTTAGTTCAGCCTATGCCCAGGAATGAACGAAGACAGCTTGGAGGTTAGAAACAAGATGGAGTCAGTGAAGTTAGATCTCTTTCACTGTCTCAGTCATAATTTTGCAAAGGTGGTTTCAGTTGCTGGGAGGGCAAGGGCTTGTCCCTGATGCTGGTCTGGAGTAAGAGAGGTTGGGGATGGGAGTGAGACTCCCCCATGCAATACAGTTCAGTTCAATTCATAAAATGTTTATTGGGCACCCACTATGTGCCAAGCCCCATGCTAAGCTCTGACACTCATGGCAAAGTGCTTCCCCTCATGGCCTCACTCTGCCCATTCTACTTGCCTTCTGTGAAGGCCCCAGCCCTTCTCTTTCCCCTGTGGGCCCCTCTCTGGTCCTGGGGTCCTGGATTGGACCCTCACCAAGGTAATATCCCCCATTGACCTCTTCCTCTCTTAGCGGCAGAACTTGGTACAAAGTAGTTGCTCAGTAAAAGTTCTCAGGCTTGAATTAAATGGAATGCACTAGGATCTGGTAGATGTTCACCTAGGAGACCGAGGCTGGGGTAATGGAAGGAAAGCTATTACCACAATCTATGGGAAAAGTAATGAAACATGCTGTTATCTCAGTAGATAGGACGAGGCTTTTGATAAAATTCAGTAGTGATTCTCCCCAAGTCTAACTCTTATTTATTGTACAAACAAATCATAGTGATAATAAGATAAACAAAGACTGCCTGCAATTCTACCTCCCAAATGCAGAAGCTGTCTTCATTTTATTCTATCTTTCTTTCCTGTTCTCATTCATGGCATAATTTTTACATAATTATATCATTTTGTTGTCTGCCCGAAAGAATCAGGAGTGTTTTTTTTTTTTTTTTTGGATTGATCCATTATCTTCGTAATTATAGCCCCTAGTGGCTATAGTTTTCCACAGCAGTGGTTGTATTATAAGTGACTTAAATTTTTCTTATTGTTGGCAGTATGGGCTCTTCCCATGTCTTCCTTTTGATGATCAAAATAATAAAATTGTCTTTTATAGTCAGTTACAACACAGTTGTGTAAATACCTTTTGTTCAATCTTTCCTAAAGCTTGCAAGGTGAATGTACTTCACTATTACAGGCAATTACAGGGTGGAAATGAAGAAGCCATAAGGTGACAAGGGAAGGATCGGGAGACAACCGGAATTTGAGTCCATTCTTTTTTTGAAATGAAACTTTTTACTCTTGTCAGAGGCATTCAAACCAGAGTGACTCCATTTTGAATAGGGGCTGGGTGAAATAAGGCTGAGACCTGCTGGGCTGCATTCCCAGGTTAGGTATTCTTAGTCACAGGATGAGATAAGAGGTCAGCACAAGATACAGGTCACAAGGACCTTGCTGATAAAACAGGATGCGGTAAAGCCAGCCAAAAGTCACCAAAACCAACATGGCAATGAGAGTGACCTCTGGTTGTCCTCACTGCTCATTATATGCTAATTATTGATACAGGAGCTAGAAAGAAATTATTTAGGCAGATAGTGAGGGTAAGAGAGTCTTCAGTAAGGTTACCTTTTAATAAAAAGCAGCCCCCAAATCATTTCTTTTCTAACAGAAAGCAGCCTGAAAAATCAAGCTGCAAACATAGATAAGCAAGCTAAAAGCTTGCATAGGTAAATGCTGACAGCTGTGCCAATAGAAAAGGGATACCTGGAAGCCAGGTATATTCAACATGGAAGTTCCCTCTTCCCTTTTCTTTGTCGCCACGTGTGCAGTAAAAAAGCAGGCAACATGGAGACGGCCAGGTAGAGACTCCATTTGCATAATAAAAGATTAGGGTGGGGTTGGGCGCGGTGGCTCACACCTGTAGTGCCAGCACTTTGGGAGGCCAAGGCAGGCGGATCACCTGAGGTCAGGAGTTTGAGACCAGCCTGGCCAACATGGTGAAACCCTCTCTCTACTAAAAATACAAAAATTAGCTGAGTGGTAGTGGCCCACGCCTGTAATCCTAGCTACTCAGGAGGCTGAGGCAAGAGAATCGCTTGAGCTTGGGAGGCAGAGGTTGTGGTTAGCTGAGATTGCGCCACTGCACTCCAGTCTGGGCGACAGAGTGAGACCCTGTCTCAAAAAAAAAAAAAAAAAGAAACGAAGAGATTAGGGTGGGATGGCCAGCTTCTTTGCATGCTATGCAAATGGCACACCTGGTCCAGTCAATCTCTTGGGCCCTAGGTAAATCAGATACCACCTCCTCAAGCTTGTCTGTAAAAATCCCCTGCATTTCACCACGAGACTAGAAGACCAACTTAAGAGCCCCTCCCTCTCTGCAGCAGAAAGAGCTTTACTCTTTCTTTTGCCTACTAAACCTCCACTCTTAACCTCACTCCTTGTGTGTGTCTGCATCCTCAATTTCTCCAGGTGTGGGGCAACAAACCTCTGGTATTACCCCAGACAAATAACGCTGCTTCATTATAATGCATTAGCATGCTAAGAGACACTCCCGCCAGTGCCATGACGTTTTACAGAAGTCATCCTATATGGTCTAGAAAGGGGGAGGGGACTCTCAGTTCCAATAATTACCCCCCTCTTTCCTGGAAAACTCATGAACAGTCCACCTCTTGTTTAGCACATAATCAAGAAGTAACTAAGTATTATCAATCAAGCATCCCAAGCTGCTGCTATGCGTATGGAGTAGCCATTATTTATTCATTTACTTTCTTAATAAACTTGCTTTCACATTACTGTATGGATTCACCCTGAATTCTTTCTTGTGTGAGGTCTGAGAACCCACTCTTGTGGTCTGGATGGGGACCCCTTTCTGGTAACACTCTTTCCACTATACTATATTGCTTTCCAGATTTTACAAATAAAACTGTGGTGGGCTGGGCACAGTGGCTAACGCCTGTAATCCCAGCACTTTGGGAGGCCGAGGTGGGTGGATCACCTGAGGTCAGGAGTTCGAGACCAGCCTGGCCAACATGGTGAAACCACTGCCTCTACTAAAAACACAAAAATTAGGCCAGGTGTGGTGGCTAACACCTGTAATCCCAGCACTTTTGGAGGCTGAGGCAGGCAGATCGCTTGAGGTCAGAAGTTCCAGACCAGCCTGGCCAACATGATGAAACCCCTTCTCTACTAAAAATACAAAAATTGACTCATGCCTGTAGTCCCAGCTACTCAGGAGGCTGAGACAGGAGAATCTCTTGAACCTGGGAGGTGGAGGTTGCAGTGAGCTGAGATCGTGTCACTGCACTCCAGCCTGGGTGACAGAGTGAGACTGTGTCTCAAAAAAAAAAAAAAAAAAAAAAAAAAAAAGAAAACAAAAAAAAAACTTCAGCTAATTTTTTTTTTTTAGATGGAGTTTTGCTCTTGTTGCCCAAGCTGGAGTGCAATGGCGTGATCTCAGCTTACTGCAACCTCTGCCTCCTGGGTTCAAGCAATTCTCCTGCCTCAGTTTCCCGAGTAGCTGGGATTACAGGTGTGTGCTACCATGCCTGGCTAATTTTTTGTATTTTTAGTAGAAACAGGGTTTCACCATGTTGGCCAGGCTGGTCTCGAACTCCTGACCTCGTGATCCATCCGCCTTGGCCTCCCAAGGTGCTGGGATTACAGGCATGCGCCCCGCCTGAGCTAAGATTTTCAAATAACTTTCTTTCCTCTTGAGAATGGTTTGCTTTGGTCAAGTTCCTAGGTGTGGGATTGTTGGATCAAAGAGTATGAGCATTGTTGAGTCTCTTGATACCCTTTGGCAAAATGCTTTGCAAAGGGCTTGTTTCCAGCAGTCCTCATGTACATTGTTTCAGTGAGCTTCTTTATTTCTTTCCTACTGCAACTCTCTAACAAGGAACATTACGAGAAAAAGGTTTCCCAGCTCATTTACAATGGATAAATGAATTTTTTTTTTTTTTTAGATGAAGTCTCGCTCTGTCGCCCAGGCTGGAGTGCAGTGGCACAATCTCTGCTCACTGCAAGCTCTGCCTCCTGGGTTCACGCCATTCTCCTGCCTCAGCCTCCCAAGTAGCTGGGACTACAGGCGCCCACCACCATGCCCAGCTAATTTTTTGTATTTTTTTTTTTTAGTAGAGACGAGGTTTCACTGTGTTAGCCAGGATGGTCTTGATCTCCTGACCTTGTGATCCACCCGCCTCGGCCTCCCAAAGTGCTGGGATTACAGGCGTGAGCCACCGCACCCGGCTACAATGGATAAATGATTTCTTATTGTACTTTTAATTTGCATTTCTTTGATTACTGTGAGGTTGAACCATTTAAAAATAAGCATTGCCTTTTGTGTGAATTGTGTTTCTTCTTTTGAGGAACATTCCTCCTGCATTCTTTGGCTCCCCTCCCCGCCCCAGACATACATTAGACTTTCCAAAGACTTGGAAATTAACACTTCGTGGGTCATATTTACAGCAATTATTTACTCTGGTAATTTCCTTTTCATTTTAATTGTACTATTTTCAGGACTTTTATGTGTTTTCAAATGAAGATCTTCTCATCTGTGATTGCTTCAAAGCTTGGAAAATAATAATAACATCAACGAAGTGAAAATTACCCAATTTTATTTTTTCCTTCTATTATATATTTGTATTAAGCTCTTTCATCAACATGGAAAAAAATGACAGTATTTATGATAGTCACACACACACACACGGAATGTGAGAGGGGGAGGGTATTTGTGAAAAGACCACAAATTAGATTGGGCAAAATGGCTCATACCTATAATCCTAGTACTTTGGGAGGACGAGGAAGGACGATTTCTGAAAGCCAGGAGTTTGAGACCAGCTTGGGCAACATAGTGAGACCTCATCTCTATAAAAAATACAAAAATTAGCTGGACATGGTGGTGTGTACTTGTAGTCCCAGCTACTTAGGAGGCTGTGGCAGGAGGATTGCTTGACCTGAGGAGTTCAAGGCTGCAGTGAGCTATGATTGCACTGTGTCCAGAATTGGTGGGTTCTTGGTCTTACTGACTTCAAGAATGAAGCTGCACACCCTCGAGGTGAGTGTTACAGTTCTTAAAGATGGTGTGTCCGGAGTTTGTTCCTTCTGATGTTCAGACGTGGTCAGAGTTTTTTCCTTCTGGTGGGTTCGTGGTCTCACTGGCTTCAGGAGTGAAACTGCAGACCTTCGCCGTGAGTGTTACAGCTCTTAAGGCGGCGCGTCTGGAGTTGTTCATTCCTCTAGGTGGGTTCGTGGTCTCGCTGACCTCAGGAGTGAAGCTGCAGACCTTCTAGGTGAGTGTTACAGCTCATAAAGGCAGTGCACACCCAAAGAGCGAGCAGCAGCAAGATTTATTGCAACGAGTGAAAAAACAAAACTTCCACAGTGTGGAAGGGGACCCAAGCAGGTTGCTGCTGCTGGCTCCAGCCGCCTGCTTTTATTCTCTTATCTGGCCCTCCAAGTCCCCACTAGATTAGCTAGACACAGAACACTGGTGCATTTACAAACCTTGAGCTAGACACAGAGTGCTGATTGGTGTTATTTACAATCCTTTAGCTAGATATAAAGGTTCTCCAAGTCCCTACCAGATTAGCCAGATACAGAGTGCTGATTGGTGCATCCACAAACTCCGAGCTAGACACAGAGCACTGATTGGTGCATTTACAATCCTTTAGCTAGACATAAAGGTTCTCCAAGTCCCCACCTGACTCAGGAGCCCAGCTGGCTTCCCCTAGTGGATCACACGCCAGGGCCGTGGGAGGAGCTGCCCGCTAGTCCTGTGGTGCTCACCTGCACTCCTCAGCCCTTGGGCGGTCGATGGGACCGGGCGCAGTGGGCGGCGCCCGTCGAGGAGTCTCGGGCTGCCGAGGAGCCCACCGCGGGGGACTCTGGCATGGCGGGCTGCAGGTCCCGAGCCCTGCCCGGCCGGGAGGCGGCTGAGGCCCCGCGAGAATTCCAGCGTGGCGCGGGCGGGCCGGCAGTACTAGGGGACCCTGCGCCCCCTCCGCAGCTGCTGGCCCAGGTGCTAAGCCCCTCACTGCCTGGGGCCAGCGGCGCCTGCTGGCCGCTTTGAGTGCGGAGCCCGCCGAGCCCACGCTCACCCGGAACTCGCGCTGGCCCGCGAGCTCCGCGCGCAGCCCGGTTCCCGCCCGCGCTTCTCCCTGCAAGCAGAGGGAGCCGGCTCCAGCCTCGGCCAGCCCAGAGAGGGGCTCTCACGGTGCAGCGGCGGGCCGAAGGGCTCCTCAAGCGTGGCCAGAGCGGACGCCGCCGTCGAGGAGGCACTGAGAGCGAGCGAGGGCCGCCAGCACGTTGTCACCTCTCAGCGCCACTGTACTCCAGCCCAGATAACAGAGTGGGTCCGTGTCTCTAAACACACACACACCCCCCTTAGAAACTGAATAAATGGAGAGAAATGCCATGTTTTTGGTTGGGAAAATGCAGTCGAAGAATTGTAATATTTCTGGCTGGGTGCAGTGGCTCATGCCTGTAATCCCAGCACTTTGGGAGGTCAAGGTGAGTGGATCACTTAAGGTAAGGAGTTTGAGACCAGCCTGGCCAACATGGCAAAACCGTGTCTCTACTAAAAATAGAAAAATTAGCCGGGCGTGGTGGCAGGCGCCTGTAATCCCAGCTACTCGGGAGACTGAGGCAGAAGAATTGCTTGAACCTGGGAGGTGGAGGCAGCAGTGAGCCGAGATCGCACCACTGCACTCCAGCCTGGGCGACAGAGCAAGACTCTGCCTCAAAAAAAAAAAAAAAAAAAAAATGTAGCCCCCAATGCATTCACAACTGTGCCTAACCAGGCCAAAGCCCTGGCAGGTGGTTTTAATTTCTGATGTTTTTAGGGGCAGATGGAGCTGATGGGTTCATGAAAGTTGTGTTATTCTAAAAACTGTCACTGGTGGACAAATCTAGCAGTTGCCAGGGGGACCTAATTTTACATAACTTTATTCTGTTTTCCCCCAATTTTTTTATTGTGATAAAATACACATAACATAAAATTTACTATCTTAACCATTTTAAATGTACACCTCAGTAGTATTAAATGCATGCATAATTTTGTGCAAACATCCCCACCATCTGTCTCCAGAATGCTTTCCATCTTGTAAAAAAATTGAAACCCTGTCCCTATTAAACACTTAACTCCTCGTTCCTCCCTTCCCTCAATCTCTGGCAACCACCCTTCTGCTTTCTGTCTGTATGAATTTGACTCCTCTAACTACCTCATCTGAGTGGAATTATGCAGTGTTTGTCTTTTTGTATAACTTTATTCTTTCAACAAAGAATAATAGATGATAATACATAGCTCTGTAGGTTTTATTATTATAACTTAAGAGGTTTTTCTCCATAGAAATAAATATACACATTTAAAAATGAGACTGGCCAGGAACGATGGCTCATGCCCGTAATCCCAGCACTTTGGGAGCCGAAGTGGGAGGATCTCTTGAAGTCAGGAGTTCGAGACTAGCCCAGACAACATAGTGAGAACCTTGCTCTACAAAAAATAAAATTAAAATTAGCCTGGTATGGTGACCCGTGCCTGTGGTCCCAGCTCCTTGGGAGGCTGAGGTGGGAGGATCACTTGAGACCAGTAGTTCAAGGCTGCAGTGAGCTATGATTGCACCACAGCACCCCAGCCTGGGCGAATGAGCGAGATCCTGTCTCTAAAAATAAATAAATAAATATTTTAGAGTAGCTGTCCTGATTTGAGTTTTACAAATAGTTATTGCAGTAACAGAGGATGAGAAGGCGCAAGGGAAGGGAACATCTGGTCACAGATCTTTGGCCACAGATATCACCTCTGGGAGTTAAGCGGGGGTCAGAAGGGATGAGGCAGAGTGATTGATGGATCAACTGAAGTGAAGTAACTCAGGGGGGAAAAACCAAAAACCTTACGTTCTCACTTACAAGTGGGAGCTAAGGCCTGGCACGGTGACTCACGCCTGTAATCCCAGCACTTTGGGAGGCCGAGACGGATGGCTCACTTGAGGTCAGGAGTTCGAGACTAGCCTGGCCAACATGGTGAAACCCTGTCTCCACTAAAAAAATACAAAAATTAGCCGGGTGTGGTGGCACACGCCTGTAATCCCAGCTACTCGGGAGGGTGAGGCAGGAGGATCACTTGAACCTGGGAGGCAGAGGTTGCAGTGAGCCAAGATTGTGCCACTGCACTGCAGCCTGGGAAACAGAGTGAGACTCCATCTCAAAAAAAAAAAAAAAAAAAGCTACAGGCATGCAAAGGCAAACAGAATAGTATAATGAACTTTAGAGATGCAGAAGGTAGAAGGATGGGAGGGGAGTTAGGGATAAAAAACTGCCTCTGAAGTATAAGGTATACTACTTGAGTGACAGGTGCACTAAAAGCTCAGAATTCATCCATGTAACAAAAAAACACTTGTACCCCTCAAAATATTGAAATAAATTTTTTAAAAAAGAGACTGTTTGAGAGAGCAGCATTCAAACAGGGAGAACGTAGGAGGAACGCCTTCTGGGCGGATTGGGATCTCTATCTTTATGTTTTTGTTTGCTGTCACATCCTGGGAAAGTGACTGGTGTGTGTTCTCCAACTTTGAGACTGTTTAGATGTGGCTGGGATGAGCCACGCTTGGTAAGGTGTGATGGGATGTGGGGGTCAACCTTCTGAGGGATCTGGAGTCTAATACAGCCATGGGAGACTTATCCACTTGTTCAAGGTTGGCGATTCTTCTCATTGACACAGGAGACAGGCAGGGGCTGCCCTCAGCATTTCATTTATTCCAAACACATCACAAAGAATCATTCACTCTTCCCTGTAACTTTGAGAGAAGGGTTGCTATGGACTGAATGTGTCCCCCGCAGAATTCATATGTTGAAGCCTAAATCCCTGAAGTGATATGTGGAGGTGGGGCATTGGGGAGGTCATTAGGTCATGAGGATGAAGCCCTACAAATAGGATTAGTGCCGTTAGTGCCCTTATAAGGAAAGACACAAGAGAGATGGAAGGAGAGGATTGCTCTCTACTTTCTCAATGAGAAGGCTGCCATCTACAACTCAGGGAATGGGCTCTCACCAGACACAGGGCTTGCTAGCACCTTGCTCTTGGACTTCCCAGCCTCCAGAACTGTGAGAAATAGAGATTTTAGGTGGACATGGTGGCTCATGTCTGTAGTCTCAGTGCTTTGGTTGGGCAAAGTGGGAGGATTACTTGAGACCAAGATTTCTGGACCAGACTGGGCAAAATAGTGAGACCCCCATCTCTATAAAAAATTTAAAAAATTAGTTAGGTGTTGTGGCATGCGCCTATAGCCCCAGCTCCTGAGGAGGCTGAGGCAGGAGGATCGCTTGAGCCCAGGAGTTCAAGGCTGCAGTGGGCTATGATTGCACCACTGCACTCGAGCCTGGGCAGAGACAGACCCTGTCTCTTAAAAAAAAAAGACACAAGGCAGATGGAAGGAGATGATTCCTCTCCACGCTCTCCCATGTGAAGGCACAATGGGAAGGTTGCAGCTGTAAACTGGGAAGTGAGCCCTCACCAGACATAAGATTTGCTGGCACTTTGATCTTGGACTTCCCAGCCTCCAGAATCATGAGGAATAAATGTTTCTTGGTAAATCACCCAGTCTGTGGTATGTGTTATAGCAGCCAGAGCTGATTAAGACATGGGGGCAATCAGGCTCACCAATGAGGCCACCCAGCTAGAGCAGCAGAGCCTGGATTTAAATCTGGGCATGTGGGCTCTGGGGTCAGGGCTCGTCATTTCTAGGCTTTGCTGGCTATCCCATTTTTAGAGGCAATTAACATGTTTATTAATCACTCAGTCATCAACCACTAAAACAGCTTTTTCTATGCGCCAGGCCCCATGGCACCAACCATGGGAGACATAGAAATGACACCGGGGCATTAAACCTGGTGTCTTTTAAGACTCCCAGCAGAGGTGGCTGCTATTGCATAGCCCTTACCAGGTAAGTTTTTGTGAAGCCCCTCCAACCCCCAGGGCATTAGCATCAAGAACTCTTCTTGCTATGTGGCAAGGCAAGCCGTCTGGGCGTTCTGTGGACTGAGGATGATAATTAACCTACATGGAAAACACCAACCCCTGGTAATTCCTGGGTGAGCTCTGGCTGCAGAACCTGGGGCCCTGAGGTTTCTTCCCTTTTCCTGGGTGGGTGGGAGCCTTGGGAAGGGTCCCGTTATCTTCCTGGCCTGTGTCCTGTTCTTCTCTTCCTCCCTCACTTTTTCTACCCTGCCCTCCCAGATTTGCTGTCGGGGTCTTTGTGTTACTCCAAGGGCCTCTCTGTCCAGGTGCCCTCCCCTTTCCACTCCTTGTCCTTGCCCATCATTCCTGGATGACACCTTGTTAGAAGTGCTGTCTTATCTTACCAGTAAGGAAACTGGGAATCAGAGAGGTTGAGCAACTCACATAGGGTCACCTAAGAAGCTGGAGGCACAACTGGGCTGGGAATGCACCCAGAATTGAAGCCGATCATGGGCAAGAGGAGGCCACACTCCCACTGAGAGAGGGGAAGGGCTGGCAAGGAGCAGGGAAGGGTGAGAACAGCTGGGGCTTCTCCACCATTTGGCTCTGCCAGCCTGGGCAGTGCCACTCAGTGTCAGATCTGCAAGCCCCTTGGAGGGCAACCAATCCTGAGGGTGGAAACTGTGGTCCCAGGCCAGACCCTGTTCAGTCTCTTTATTAAAAAAATTAGAAGTAATTTCAAACATATTGCTACAATAGTATAAACCACTGTGTGCAACAATAGTATAAAGTATACAACAATACAACATCAAGAGTATAAAGACCAAGAATTGCAAGAATACCATAAAAACCCATTATTGACATTTTGGCACATCTTTCTTTTCCTCCCTTCCTTTCTTTTCCTTCCTTTCTTCCTTCCTTCTCTCTCTTTCTCTTTCTTTCTCTCTTTTTCTTTCCCTCCCTCCCTCCTTTCTCTTTCTTTCTTTCTTTCTTTCTTTCTTTCTTTCTTTCTCTCTCTCCTTCCTTCCTCTTCTTCTTTTCTTCTTTCTTTCTCTCTTTCTTCTTTCCCTCCCTCCCTCCCTCCTATCTTTCTTTCTCTTTCTTTCTTCCTCTTCTTTCTTTCTTTCTTTCTTTCTTTCTTTCTTTCTTTCTTTCTTTCTCTCTCTCTCCTTCCTTCCTTCCTTCCTTCCTTTCTTTCTCTTTCTTTCCTTTTCCTTCCTTCCTTCCTTCCCTCCTTCCTTCTTTCCTTCTTTTTCTTTCTTTTCTTTCTTTCAAGACAGAGTCTCCCTCTGTCACCCAGGCTGGAGTGCAGTGGTGCAATCTCAGCTCACTGCAACCTCCACCTCCTGGGTTCAAGCAATTCTCCTGCCTCAGCCTTACAAGTAGCTGGGATTACAGGTGACTGCCACCATGCTGAGCTAATTTTTGTGTTTTTAGTAGAGATGGGGTTTCATCATGTTGGCCAGGCTGGTCTCAAACTCTTTTACCTCAAGTGATCCACTTGCCTTGGACTCCCAAAGTGCTGGGATTACAGGCATGAGCCACCACGCCCAGCCCATTTTGCTTTCTATATGTACATATTTCCCCCTTAACCATTTGAGAGTTATAGATGTCATGCTTATCACTCCTACATGCTTGAGTGTGTATATTATAAGAACAAGGACTGGCCGGGCATGGTGGCTCACACCTGTAATCCCAGCACTTTGGGAGGCTGAGGCAGGTGGATCATAAGGTCAAGAGATCGAGACCATCCTGGCCAACATGGTGAAAACCCCTCTCTTCTAAAAATACAAAAATTAGCTGGACATGGTGGCGCCCACCTGTAGTCCCAGCTACTCAGGATGCTGAGGCAGGAGAATGGCATGAACCCAGGAGGCAGAAGTTGCAGTGAGCTGAGATCACGCCACTGCACTCCAGCCTGGGGCACAGAGCGAGACTCCATCCCCCAGCACCCCCCTCCAAAAAAAAGAATAAGGACATTATTTTATAAGACCAAAGTGCACTTACCCAATTCAGGAAATTCAGCTTATGTAATACTAGTATGTAATATATAGAACATATGCACATTTTGACAATTGTCCCCAATACTGCCCTTTCCGAATAGTTCTTTTCCCCACTTGATTTAGAATATCCTCTAAGATCATGAACTGCATTTAGCTATCTTGACTGTCTCCTTCCCTTTCTTCTGAAATAGTCACTCAGTCTTCCTTTGTCTTTCTTTATCTTGATATTTTTAAAAAGCGCAAGCCAGTTGTTTTGCAGAATGCCCTTCAATTTGGATTTGTCTGATGTTTTCCAAATGGGCTATGCATTTTTGGCAGGAGTAATTCCTAAGCGATGTTGTGTCTTCTGCTCCGAGTCTTTGAAAAAAAGTGGAACCAGTTGCCAATATTAAAACCTGAGAGATTTTACATATTGTCTTGGTTTCTGGATACTCTTATGAACAGATAGCTACACTCTGGCCCCCTGGGCTAGGCTCCTGCGGGGAATGGCCAGTTGGAGCTGGACAGTGGGTGCTTGAGATGGGGGTGGGAGTACTGGAGTGTCATACTCTCTCTTTGCTTTCCCCTTGGTCATCTAGGGGAGCCCACCTGGCCAGGCAGGTACTGAGTGTACAACTCTTGCTGAATATCCCATTTATTTATTTATTTATTATTATTTTTAAAAATTTTTCAGAGGTAGGGTCTCCCTCTGTTGCCCAGGCTGGAGTGCAGTGGTGCAAACACAGCTCACTGCAGCTCTAAACTTCTGGGTGCAAACGATCCTTTGCCTCAGCTTCCTAAGTAACTGGGACTACAGGCATGCACCACCATGCCTGGCTAATTAAAAAAAATTTTTTTTATAGAGATGGGGTCTCACTATGCTGTCCAGGCTGGTTTTGAACTCCGGACCTCAAGCCATCCTCCCGTTTCAGCCTCCCAAATGTTGGGATTACAAACGTGAGCCACTGCGCCTGGCCTTCCTTCGTTTTTCAGTTGAGGCAACGATCTAGAAGACCCAGAGAGGGCCAGGAGTGAGCTGCGGTCACCCTCAGAGGCCAGACTTGTCCTCCTTTTGTCAGAGCAATTACAAGTGGTTAGGTTCACATCTCACCATGTTTTATTAACACTTGACAAGAAATGGGGCATTGGCTGTGTTTGAGCAACTGCACCCTGCTGGTGTGTAATTCAGGGAGATGGGAACATGGGAACGTTTTCCGGAGCTGTGTCTGCCCCTGTCCTGAGCAGTCCCCGGCTGCCTTCTCCCTGACGTCGTTATGTTCTTGCTGTTCATACTTTGGACACTAGGTGTCACTGGTTCCCTATGAATAACCTAGAGCAGCCCGTCGGCCTCAGAGGCCACCAGTCCAGGTGCAGAGGGGCCTTGACATCAGCCAGCTCAGCACAGTTATGCTCTTTTTAGCCTTGGAATCCTTTCTTCTGATAAGATCCTTTGCCCCTGACTTAAAAAAATGGAAGTAGACATCACATACTATAAAATCCACCCTTTAAACGCGTACAGTGATTTTTAGGCTATTCACAAGACTGCAGCCATCACCACTATGGTTTTTTTTTTGGAGTTGGAGTCCCACTCTGTCGCCCAGGCTGGAGTGCAGTGGCAGCCACCTCGGCTCACTGCAACCTCCGCCTCCCCAGTTCAAGCGATTCTTCTGCCTCAGCCTCCTGAGTAGCTGGGACTACAGGGGTGCACCACCGTGACCAGCTAATTTTTGTATTTTTAGTAGAGACAGGGTTTCGCCATGTTGGCCAGGCTGGTCTCAAACTCCTGACCTCAGGTGTTCTGCCCGTCTCGGCCTCCCCAAATGCTGGGATTACAGACGTGAGCCACCGCACCCGGTCCATCACCACTATCTAATTACAAGATGTTTTCATTCTGATGAAATCTTACATGGAAGTCAGGAGCGAGGGGGATTTTTCTTGGCTTTGCCTGGGGGAAAAAAGCTATTAGGTTGCAGGCCGGGCTCAGTGGCTCACACCTGTAATCCCAGCACTTTGGGAGGTTGAGGTGGGTGGATCACTTGAGGTCAGGACTTTGAGACCAGCCTGACCAACATGGTAAAACACTGTCTCTACTAAAAATACAAAAATTAGCCAGATGTGGTGGCATACACCTGTAATCCCCGCTACTCGGGAGGCTGAGGCAGGCGAATCTCTTTTTTTTTGTTTTGTTTTGACGGAGTCTGGCTCTGTTGCCCAGGCTGGAGTGCAATGGTGCAATCTTGGCTCACTGCAACCTCTGCCTCCTAGGTTCAAGTGATTCTCCTGCCTCAGCCTCCCGAGTAGCTAGGACTACAGGCGGGCGCCACCACACCTGGCTAATTTTTGTATTTTTAGTAGAGACGGGGTTTCACCACATTGGCCAGGCTGGTCTTGAACTCCTGATCTCTTGATCCGCCCGCCTCAGTCTCCCAAAGTGCTGGGATTACAGGCATGAGCCACCGCACTGGGTCTTAACTTTTATTTTAGGTTTGGGGTACATGTGAAAGTTTGTGACATAGGTAAACTCATATCATGGGGGTTTGTTGTACAGGCTATTTCATCACCCAGGTATTAAAGCCGAGTACCCACTAGTCATCTTTTCTGCTCCTATCCCTCCCCGACCCTCCACCCTCACATAGATCCCAATGTTTGTTGTTCCTTCTTTGTGTTCATAAGTTGTCAACATTTATCTCCCACTTATAAGTGAGAACACGTGATTCAAGCGATTCTCCTGCCTCAGCCTCTGGAGTAGCTAAGATTACAGGTGTGTGCCATCATGTCTGGCTAATTTTGGTATTTTTAGTATTTTATATTTCAGTATTCCTGTTCTTGCTCTAGTTTGCTAAGGATGATGGCCTCCAGTTCCATCCATGTCCCTGCAAAAGACATGATCTTGCTCTTTTTGATGGCTGCATAGTATTCCATGGTGTATCTGTACCACATTTTCTTTATTCAATCTGTCATTGATGAGTATTTGGGTTTATTCCACGTGTTTACTATTTTTTTTTATTATGCTTTAAGTTCTAGGGTACATGTGCACAACATGCAGGTTTGTTACATATGTATACATGTGCCATGTTGGTTTGCTGAACCCATCAACTCAACATTTACATTAGGTATTTCTTCTAATGCTATCCCTCCCCCTGCCCCCCACCCCACAACAGGCCTTGGTGTGTGATGTTCCTCACCCTGTGTCCAGGTGTTCTCATTGTTCAATTCCCACCTATGAGTGAGAACATGCGGTGTTTGGTTTTCTGTCCTTGTGATAGTTTGCTGAGAATGATGGTTTCCAGCTTCATCCGTGTCCCTGCAAAGGACATGAACTCATCTTTTTTTATGGCTGCATAGTATTCCACGGTGTATATGTGCCACATTTGTCTTTACTATTTTGAATAGTGCTGCAATTAACATTCACATGCATGTGTCTTTTTTTTTTTTTTTCTTTTGAGATGGAGTTTTGCTCTTGTTGCCCAGGCTGGAGTGCAATGGCGTGATCTGGGCTCACCGCAACCTCTGCCTCCTGGGTTCAAGCGATTCTCCTGCCTCAGCCTCCCGAGTAGCTGGGATTACAGGCATGACACCACCACGGCCAGCTAATTTCGTATTTTTAGTAGTGACAGGATTTCTCCATGTTGGTCAGGCTGGTCTCGAACTCCCAACCTCAGCTGATCCGCCTGCCTCGGCCTCCCAAAGTGCTGGGATTATAGGCGTGAGCCACTGCGCCTGGCCGTGCGTGTGTCTTTATGATAGAATGATTTATATTCCTTTGGGTAGATACCCAGTAATGGGATTGCTGGGTTGAATGGTAGTTCTGCTTTTAGCCCTTTGAGGAATCGCCACACTGCTTTCCACAATGGCTGAACTAATTTACACTCCCACCAACAGTGTATCTGCATTCCCAGAAAAGTGTTCTTGTTCTTGAAAAAGGAAATCACTATATTTGTTGTGTAGTAGGTGGAATAACGTGCTCCCAAAGATGTCTTCATTCTCATCCCTAGAACTTGTGGACAGGGTAGCCTATATGGCAGAAGGCATTTTGCAGTTGTGATTATGTTCAGGATCTGGGGATGGAGATATTGTCTTGGATTATCCACATGGGTCCAGTGTAGTCATGAAAGTTCTTATACAGGAAAGAAGGAGGCAGGAGAATTAGAGAGAGAGGGATGTGAGGATGGATGAAAGCGTAGGGGGACACAAAGAGAAAGAGAGAAAGGAGAAGGAGAGAGACAGGGAGAGACAGAAATAGGGAGAGGAGAGGGAGAGAAAAAGAGACAGAGAGACAGAGAGAGTAGAGGAAGAGAGACAGAGAGAGAGAGAGAGACAGAAATAGAGAAGAGGGAAAGAAAAAGTAGAGGGAGAGAGAGAGAGACAGAGAGAGAGAGAAATAGAGGAGAGGGAAAGAAAAAGAGACAGAGAGACAGAGAAATAGAGGAGAGGGAGAGAAAGAGAGAGACAGAGGGAGAGAGTAGAGGGAGAGAGACAGAGAGACAGAGAGAGATGGAGAGAAACACATACACACACATACACACGCAGAGAGATTGTGAAGATGTTATGCTGTAGGCTTTGAAGTTAGAGGAAGGGTCCACCAGCCAAGGAATGCAGGAAGCCTCTAAAAGTTGTTGGAGACAAAGAAACAGATTTCCCTGCAAAGCCTCCAGAAGGAACACAGCTGTTCAAGACCAGGAATTCAAGACCTGCCTGGACAACATAGCGAGACCCCTGTCTCTACAAAAAAAATGTAAAAAAATTAGCTGGGCGTGGTGGTGCGTACCTGTAGTCCCAGTTACTTGGGAGGGTGAGGTGGGAGGATCGCTTGAGCCCAGGAGTTCTATGTTGCAAGCTCTCAACATCTTGATTTCAAGACTTCTGACCCCCAGAACAGTTAGAGAATGGATTTGTGTTGTTTTAAGCCACTGAGTTGGTGGCTATTTGTTACAGCAGCCATAGGAAGCTGATACCTCCTAATACTTCTCATTTCCTCGTTTTTCCCCATTCCCTCATCTCATGATCTCCCTTTCTGGTGATCTCAGGTGAAATGCAGCTTTCTCAAGGAAGCCTCCCCTCTGTTGCCTGACTAGAGATGCCCTTTTAGCTCCCAGAATGGTTTCAAAGAGCAACAGCGCAATTGTAGAATCATGTCAACATCTGTGTCATGCCTGGTTGGTGCTTATTTCCCTGGTTCCAATACCAGTTCTTTTTTTTTCTTTTTTCCAAGGCAGAGTCTTGCTCTGCCGCCCAGGCTGGAGTGCAGTTGTGTGATCTCGACTCACTGCACCCTCTGCCTCCTGGGTTCAGGAGATTGTCCCTACTTCAGCCACCTTAGTAGCTGGGATTACAGGTGTACACCACCACACTTGGCTAATTTTTGTATTTTTGGTAGAGACAGGGTTTTGCCATGTTGGTCAGGCTAGTCTCGAACTCCTGGCCTCAAGTGATCTTCCCTCCTTGGCCTCCCAAAGTGCTGGGATGACAGGCGTGAGTCACCACATCCTGCCCCAATACTACCACGCCTGGCCCCAGTACCAGCCTCCCAATACATGGCTGTCTTCTTCACAGGTGTGTCTCAGGCACACAACATGAGCCTGGACCCCACAGAGGATCAAGGAATGTGTGTACAATGAGCATGTGGAATGTTTGTAAAATGCACGAATGTCTGTAAAACGGGAATGTTTATAAAATGCATGAATGAGTGAGCTTCTCATTGAGTTCACTCTCATCATGGGCCAGGCATAGCCGTGTCCTGGGAATGGTGTGTGTGTTATGAGGGGCCTGGAAAGACCCAAACACGTCCTCATTCCCACACATTGGGGAGGAGAAGATGAACACAGACAGGTGAAGATTTAAATGGTGTTAACATCATTAATTCACTGTTGCAATCATCATATTCACAGAGGCAGAGAGAAGGATGATGGTTGGCAAGGGCTGGTGGGAGGGAGAAATGGGGAGTGAGTGTTTCATGGGGACAGGGTTTCAGTTTGAGAAGATGAGAAAGTTCTGGAGATGGATGACAGTGAAGGTTGCATGATAATGGGAATTTATTTAAGACTACCAAACTCTGTCCTTAGAAATGCTGAAAATGACACATTTTTTTGTTATATATATATTCAGCCACAATTGAGAAAATTTCTTGCATCTAAAAATATGCCTCTAAGAACCCACCATTCACATGAATGCATTAAAAACCTTCATTCACTGAAAAAAAAAATTTAATTCAGTTTCAGACAATGCTGGGAGAAGTTAAAAATGTTTCAGTCCAGTCAAAGATTAAGAACCAAGTATGTGGCTGGGCGTGGTGGCTTATGCCTATAATCCCAGCATTTTGAGAGGCTGAGGTGGGCAGATCACCTGAGGTTAGGAGTTCAAGACCAGCCTGGGCAACATGGTGGAACTGTTGTTCTACTAAAAATATAAAAATTAGCCAGACGTGGTGGCACATGCCTGTAATTTCAGCTACTTGGGAGGCTGAGGCAGGAGAATTGCTTGATCCTGGGAGGCAGAGGTTGCAGTGAGCCGAGATCACACCACTGCACTCCAGTCTGGGCAACAGAGTGAGACTCCATCTCAAAAAACAAAAATGACAAACAAACAACCAAGTATGTAACAAGGCATAGAGTTTCATGCCTATAATCCCAGCACTTTGGGAGGCCAACTTGGGAGGAGCAATTGAGGCCAGGAGTTTGAGACCAGCCTGGGCAGCATTGTGAGACTCCTGTCTCTATAAAAAGTAAAAAAAAAAAAAAAAAAAAAAAAAAAATCAGCTGGGCATGGTGGTTTGCACCTGCAGTCCCAGCTCAGGAGGCTGAAGTGGGAGGATTGGTTGAACCCAATAATTGGAGGCTGCAGTGAGCTATGAGTGTGCCACTGTACTCTGTCTAGCTTGGGCAACAGAGCAAGACCCTGTGGCAAAAAAACAAAAAACAAAAAAAAGGAAAAAAGAGGCCAGGCACAGTGGCTCACGTCTGTAATCCCAGCAGTTTGGATGGCCGAGGCAGGTGGATCACCTGAGGTCAGGAGTTTGAGACCAGCCTGGCCAACATAGTGAAACCCTGTCTCTACTAAAAATACAAAAATTAGCCGGGTGTGGTGGTGCACGCCTCTAATCCCAGCTACTTGGGAGGCTGAGGCAGGAGAATCACTTGAACCCAGGAGGCAGAGGCTGCAGTGAGCAGAGGTTGCACCACTGCACTCCAGCCTGGGCGACACAGCGGGACTCCGTCTCAAAAAACAAAACAAAATGAAACAAAGAAACCCCCCACGTACCTTATCAGACCTTGGATCCCACAATTTGGTTGGGACAGTGTGATCCCAAAGAGAGACACATTTCTAGGGAACGGTTCTGGGGAAGGGTTCCAGGGAGGTGGTCCTTGAGTTGTAGGTTGAACCCAAGGTAGTGCGGGCCTGGGTAGAGAGCTTGGAGGGCCTTCTGAGCCAAGGCAGGGCTTCCGAGAGCCCCAGAGCCCTCCTGGTGCAGGGCCACCTTTCAGCCTGAGGACACCCGGGCTGCACACGGTAGGGTTCCAGGGCTGAGATCCTAGCCTGCAGAACTCTTGAACAGTTCCTTCTGGAAGACAGCTGGCCTCAGGGAGGAGAAGGGAGCCCCATCAGTCATGAGGCTGGGCACACAGGAGCAGCTGGGCTGGGATGGCCACAGGCTTGCTTGTGAGTAGGTGGAGCAGTGGGAGGAGTACTCCTGGCAGCCACCAGGGGTCACTCTTGATTCATGAAAGATGCTTGCAGGCCCCACGTGCTGGGTGTCTTGGGCCTGTAGCTTGGCAGTCCCCAGGGGGTCTAAAGGCCTGGGAGACCCAGTGCATGGTCTAGCTGGGAGCCGCCACGTGCCTTAGGTGGCTCAACTCGGAGACCCCGAGCCGGGGAGGAACATTAGTCTCTTTTGCTCCAGCCTCTCTCTGTTTCAGCCTGGGCAGCTGGCCTCGTGCCCTCAGCCTTGGTTCCCACTGCCAGGATTTGAGGGAGGATGAAAGGCGACCATGGTCCTGGCACAGTGTCAAGGCTGCATTCATGGAGTCGTGGGTAGAACAATGATCGTCCCAGGACCTCAAAGCTGCAGAGGCCTGGAGAGGCACATCCCGGCCTCAGCTGGGAACATGACCTTTGCAAGACACAGGACTTTCTGGTACATCCAGAGTCAAGGAGGTGCCCTGGGTGTCAGATGACAAATTTAGGGTTGCACTCAGCCGTTCCTATCACCGTTGGGTTCAGTGTTGTCCTCTTCAGGAACCCCACTTTTCTGTAGGTGTGGCTGCTGTTCACATCTGCACACCAGCTGAAAGGGATTTGAGTGTATCTGGAACTTTCTTGCTACCAGCGTTTATTTCTGATCTATTTCGGGCTAAAATACTTCATTGTGAATAATTTTTCCTAATGAGCTTTTCTCCCTGTCCCGAGAAACTGGGATAATATGAGAACTTCAGGCTTTTTTTTTTTGAGACAGAGTTTCACTCTTGTTGCGCAGAATGGAGTGCAATGGCGTGATCTTGGCTCACTGCAACCTCCGCCTCCTGGGTTCAAGCGATTCTCCTGCCTCAGCCTCCTGAGTATCTGAGATTACAGGCGCCCACGACCACGCCCGGCTAATTTTGTATTTTTAGGAGAGACGGGGTTTCTCCATGTTGGTCAGGCTGGTCTCAAACTCCTGACCTCAGGTGATCTGCCCGTCTTGGCCTCCCAAAGTGCTGGGATTACACGGGTGAGCCACCGTGCCTGGCCAGCTTCAGGCCTTTGTACCGGGGCCAGGGCAGGACAGGGAAGCAAGTCCTGAAAAGTTCAGGGATATAAAGGACCACAAAGGGCAAACTTCATGAGCATCACCGTTTTGCTGGATTAGCAGTAACACAGGGTCATGGAGCAACAGAGATAGAAGGGAGCTGAGTCCCATCGTCCCATTTCACAGATGGAAACTGAGGCCCAGAGATGGAGGTGCAGTGCCTGGGCCAGGGCTCTTTGCTCTTGGAGAGGATGTTTATTCTTTGCTCCTATGGGGCCGTCAGTTCTGTGGCTTGAATATACAGAGAAGAAGGGGAAAGATGAGGAGGGAACCTAGGGTCTCTCAGACTGAAAGAAGCTTCTGGAAGACCCCAGAGGTGTGGGGATCCTGGGTGCGGGGAGACAGCAGCCTGCCAAACTGGTAGACAGTGGACAATGGTCCTCTGAGACTCAGTTTCACATCTGTAAAAAGAGCCAGTTGGTCTGAGAAAATAGCTGAAAAATAGCTGAGGACTTTCCTAGGTCTGACTCCTTCTCTCTCTACCCCTCTAATTCAGTGTCACAGTCCACACTTGGGGTAAAGGAACCCCACTTTTCTGCAGATCTGGGTGCTGCTCACATCTGCACGCCAGCTGGAAGGGATTTGAGTGTATCTGGAACTCTCTTGCTACCAGCATTGTTTATTTCTGACCTATTTCTGGCTAAAAAAATCCATGTACTAGAGAGATTGGTTTCTAATACCGTGTAGACATGACCTTTGTGTATTTTCCCTACATATCTTCCAGGGTTCAGCCTGATTTCCATACAGCCTGAGCTCTTCACCATGAATGTGGGCAGGCCAGTTAGTAATGTGTACTTTACAGAGCCTTTGTGGATAGATGGTTCAGCTGCTTGGAGAGTCAGGGGCAAGTGTGTGTGGACTGCATGTGTGTATGTGTGTGTATATGTACGTATGTGTGGATGTGTGCACATGGTGTGTGCATGCATGTGTGCATGATGTATGTATATGTATGTGCACATGTGTATGTATGGTACATGGTCTGTGCATTCTCTGTGTGCATGATATATGTATGTGCATGTGTACATGTAGTGCATGCTGTGTGAATGTGCATGTGTGTGCATGTGTACATGTGGCACATGGTGTGTGCATGTGTGTGCCTGCATGCATGTGTTTATCTTTGTACATATGTACATGTGGTATATGGTATGTGCATGTGTGTATGCATGTATGCACGATGTATGTTTGTACATATGTACATGTTCACGGTGTATGCATGCATGTGAATGCATGTATGTGTGATGTTTGTACATGCGTACATGTACATGGTATGTGCATGTGTGTGCATGCATGTATGTATGATGCGTGTTTGTACATATGTACATGTGTATATTGTTTGCATTTGTATGCATGCATGTGTGATTTATGTTTATACCTGTGTACATGTGGTACATGGTGTATGCATGCATATATGCATGTATGCATGATATTTGTACATGAGTACATGTGGCACATGGTGTGCCCATGTGTGCACACACATGTATGCACGATGTATGTTTGTACATATGTACATGTGATGCATGGTGTGTGCATGTGTGTGCATGCATATATGCATGATTTATGTTTGTACATGTGTACATGTGGTCCATAGTCCGCACATGTGCATGTGTACATAAGTACATGTGCATGGTGTGTGCATGCTGTGTGTGCATGCATGTGTGCATGGTGTATGTATGTGCATGTGTACATGTGGCACATGGTGTGTGTGTGTGTATGCTGTGCATATGTGTGTACATGCATGTGCACATATGATTTGAGATGGAGGTGGGCCGGGCCTCCTGAGAGAGCGTGGAGAACTCAGGGCACCTGCAGACTCAGTCTAAGCTCTCCAGGACCATCTCAGGCAGATTCTGTTCCTTGCATCCAGTCCCTAGGTGGCTTCAATTTGGATGGGAGGCCATTTTCCATTTTTTCTGTCCAAGAAATGGAGCTTGGCCCTTGAAATCAGACCCTTGAAAGGCATTTTGCATTTTCTTAGGGGTATAGAAGCATTAGTTTGTCTGGGATGAGTGGCACGTGATCATCTTGTTCCCAGCATTGCGAATTAAGAAGTGCAGAAGTCCTGGGTGCCAGCCCAGTAGTTCCTGCCCCTTTCTGGTGCCTGCTCTGTTATGTTTGAGGTCCTGGCTGGCATGGCACATGGAAGGTAGGGGGCCAGAAGTGCAAAGGTTACTGAGACAAGGACTCCTTGAGGCAGCTAGAGTCATTTCACATCAAGCCAGACAGGAGACCTTTGCTTGTCAGAGGCAGGACCGTAGTGTGCCTCTCGGATAATGCAAACATGATTGTATGGAAATCAGGACACAGCTAAATTAGTTTTCTGCAGACACGATTTGCAATATGCTTGTGATAGTAAATGTTAATACTCTCACTCACGGTGGTTTATTTTGCAGCATCTGAATCTCACAAATGTACTTTCATCTATGGCTAATGTGACATTGGCTAGTGCAAACTTTCATTGGTTACTACTTTTCTTCCCAACTACCTGCTCTGAATACTTGGGAAACAGTTTCTTCGAAGTTAGCTCAATAAACAATGGAGGAAAAAGACAGGAGCTGAAGAACTGCTGTTTACATTTCTGTGTTTCTGGAGGGTTGGGGACTGGCAGTCAGCTTGGTGCTGGGGGGCCCTACTTGGAGTTGCCTGTCTATAAGGAAGCCAGGACCTGTCATGTATGTTACTTAAATTCCATAGCCTCGCTATGCTATAGTTTCTTGATCTGTAAAATTATTTCGGCTGGGCGCGGTGGCTCACATCTGTAATCCCAGCACTTTGGGAGGCCGAGGCAGGCAGATCACAAGGTCAGGAGATCGAGACCATCCTGGCTAACATGGTGAAACCCCATCTCTACTAAAAATGCAAAGAATTAGCCGGGCGTGGTGGCACGCGCCTGTAGTCCCAGCTACTTGGGAGGCTGAGGCAGGAGAATCGCTTGAACCCGGGAGGCAGAGGTTGCAGTGAGCCGAGATTGCGCGCCACTGCACTCCAGCCTGGGTGACAGAGCGAGACTCCATCTCAAAAAAAAAAAAAAATTGTTTCAATCCTACTTTCCATATCATGTCTGTTGTATGAGTCTTTGGAAGATTAAATAAGGTGCTGCATGAGATGGGCTCAGTTCAGTGTCTCCTCGTGGTAAAAGACTCAGTGAGTGCTATTATTATTAGCTATGATTTATTTATTTATTATTATTTTTTTTAGGTGGAGTCTTGCTCTGTCGCCCAGGCCGGAGTGCAGAGGTGCGACCTCAACTCACTGCAACCTCTGCCTCCTGGGTTCAAGCGATTCTTGTGCCTCAGCCTCTCCAGTAGCTGGGATTACAACGCCTGGCTAATATATATTTTTATTTTTATTTTTAGTAGAGACAGGATTTCACCATGTTGGCCGGGCTGGTCTTGAACTCCTGACCTCAAATGATCCACCCGCCTCGGCCTCCCAAAGTGCTGGGATTACAGGCATGAGCCACCACGCCCGGCCTATTTACTGGTTTTTAAAATTCCCTATCTATTCCAAAAATATCTGAGGCAGCTTATAAAACTAAAACAACACAGGCTGGGTGTGGTAGCTCACACCTCTAATTCCAGCTATTTGGGAGACTGAGGTGGGAGGATTGCTTGAGCCCAAGGGTTGGAGGCTGCAGTGAGCTATGATTACACCACTGCACTCCAGCCTGGGTAATAGAGTGAGACCCTATCTCAACAAACAAACAAACAAACAACACATTAAAAAAAAAAAAGAATAAAGAGAAAAATTGATCAGGATAAAGGAAAGTTAAAAGTGGAAGAGAAAGATGAAGGCAGAGGCCCGGCGTGGTGGCTCACTCCTGTAATCACAGCACTTTGGGAGGCCAAGGTAGGTGGATGACTTGAGGTCAGGAGTTTGAGACCAGCCTAGCCAACATGGTGAAACCCCACATCTACTAAAAATCAAAAAATTAGGCAGATATAGTGACATGTGCCTGTAATTCCAGCTACTCAGGAGGCTGAGCCAGGAGACTCACTTGAAGCCCGGAGGCAGAAGTTGCAGTGAGCCGAGATTGTGCCACTGCACTCCCACCTGGGTTACAGAGCCGGACTCCGTCCCCCCAACCAAAAAAGATGAAGGTAGAATGTAAATGGCAATATATAGGGATATAAGCTAGAAATTCTGATAGTATTGCAGTATTACTACAGGTGGAGATGCTGCCAATTTGGCTGTTAATATCCCAAAGCAAGATGGGAGGTGTATGTGTACCAGCCAGTTCTTTGATCACAAAGCAAGAAGGAAATACCTTTAGGTGTGTGTGGCTGGTGGCTGAGAGGATTTAGGTGGCCCATAAGGACACTCAGCAGAAGCAAGTCTCTTGGTTTTTAAGACTGCCCAAGAAAGAAAGACTCTTGTTTTTTGTTTGTTTGTTTGTTTGTTTTGTTTATTGAGATGGAGTTTGGCTCTGTCGCGCAGGCTGGAGTGTAGTGGTGTGATCTCAGCTCACCGCAACCTCCGCCTCCCAGGTTCAAGCAATTCTCCTGCCTCAGCCTCCAGAGTAGCTGGGACCACAGGTGTGTGACACCACACCCAGCTAATTTTTGTATTTTTAGTAGAGATGGGGTTTCACCATGTTGGCCAGGCTGGTCTCAAACTCCTGACCTCAAGTGATCTGCCCACCTCGGCCTCCCAAAGTGCTGGGATTATAGGTGTGAGCCACCGCACCTGGCCAGACTCTTGGTTTTAGGAACTTCCTACTATTCCCTGTGACCAACAGATCCCAAGTGACTCCCAGCTGATCAGCCACTTCAACTGCAGAGGCCAAGCCGAAATTTTCTCAGGGCAAGCTATTGGACCAGAGGTGGTGGCCAGTGGAGGACCAGCCCAAGGGCAGAAAGGAGGCTGGCTGGGGCGGGGGCGGGGGCAGTGTCCCCAAATGTTTCCAGCATGATGATTTTTCATCCTGAGATTTCAGCCAAACTCAGCTTGTGTTCTTTGCTGGTTCTGCGTCTCAAGATGCAGTTTATACCTAAATGTCACTCTTTAGTATTGAACACGCGCACTTTGGAGTGAATTTTTTTTTTTTTTTTTTTTTGAGATGGAGTCTCGCTCTGTTGCCCAGGCTGGAGTACAATGGCGCAATCTCCGCTCACTGCAAGCTCCACCTCCCGGGTTCACGCCGTTCTCCTGCCTCAGCCTCCCGAGTAGCTGGGACTACAGGCGCCCGCCACCACGCCCGGCTAATTTTTGTATTTTTAGTAGAGACGGGGTTTCACTGTGTTAGCCAGGATGGTCTCGATCTCCTGATCTCGTGATCTGCCTGCCTCGGCCTCCCAAAGTGCTGGGATTACAGGCGTGAGCCACCGTGCCCGGCCCTGGAGTGATTCTTTCGAGGTCTCGGTTTGGCAAGTTCTAGGCTAGGAATTTTAAGATGTCCTCCTTACTCATGTGCAGGGAGGACACTGTCATTTTGGAATGCCCCCTGGCCCTTTAGTTTTTGTTGAATTTTTTTATTTTAAAATTTAATTTAATTTAATTTTTTTTTTTTTTGAGACAGAGTCTCACTCTATTGCCCAGGCTGGAGTGCAGTGGCGCGATCTCGGCTCACTGCAACCTCCGCCTCCCGGATTCAAGGGATTCTCCTGCCTCAGCCTCCCGAGTAGCTGGAATTACAGGCATGCACCACCACACTTGGCTAATTTTGTATTTTTTAGTAGAGACAGGGTTTCACCATGGTGGCCAGGCTGGTCTTGAACTCCTCACCTCAGGTGATCTGCCTGCCTTGGCCTCCCAAAATGCTGGGATTACAGGCATAAGCCATAGCACCCAGCCTAACTTGTTTCTAAGAGACTGGGTCTCACTCTGTTGCCCAGGCTGGAGTACAGTGGTGTGATCATAGCTCACTACAGCCTTGAACTATTGGGCTCAAAGGATCCTCTCACTTCAGCTTCCTGAGTAGCTGGGACTACAATCATGCACCACCATGCCTGGCTAATTTTTTAAGTTTTTAGTAGAGATGAAGTCTCACTATGTTTCCCAGGCTGATCTCGAATTCCTGGCCTCAAGCTATCCTCGTGCCTCAGCCCCTCCCACAGCACTGGAATTATAGGCATAAGCCACTGTGCTTGGCCTAGTTTTTGTTGAATGTGGATCATTATCATCATCACCTCTGACTTTACTAAACACTTTGTTCTCAGCACTGTGCTAGGCAGCTTGCAGACATAATTCAATCATTCAATGGTCATTTTTTTTTTTTGAGACAGAGTCTTGCTCTGTCACCCAGGCTGGAGTCCAGTGGCACAATCTCAGCTCACTGCAACCTGCACCTCTGGGGTTCAAGCCATTCTCCTGCCTCAGCCTCCTGAGTAGCTGGGATTACAGGTGCATGCCACCGCACCCAGCTAATTTTTTTTTTTTTTTTAAAACGGAGTCTCGCTCTGTCACCCAGGCTGGAGTGCAGTGGCGTGATCTCTGCTCACTGCAAGCTCTGCCTCCCAGGTTCACGCCATTCTCCTGTCTCAGCCTCCCGAGTAGCTGGGACTACAGGCACCCGCCACCACGCCTGGCTAATTTTTTTTGTATTTTTAGTAGAGATGGGGTTTCACCGTGTTAGCCAGGATGGTCTTGATCTCCTGATCTCGTGATCCACCCGCTTCAGCCTCCCAAAGTGCTGGGATTACAGATGTGAGCCACCGCACCCGGCCCACACCCAGCTAATTTTTTATATTTTTGGTAAAGACATGGTTTCATCATGTTGGCCAGGCTGGTCTCAAACTCCTGACCTCAAGTGATCCACCTGCCTCGGCCTCCCAGAGTGCTGGGATTACAAGTGTGAGCCACTGCGCCCAGCCAATACCTGTTGAATGCCTACTATGCATCTGGGGCTGTTTGAGGTGTTTAGGATACAGCAATGGACAAAACAAAGTCCCTGCCCTTTGGAATCTACCTTCTAGTTGGGAGACAGGCAACAGAAGGTTGAACAATAAATATGAAATATACCCTCAGGCAGGGGTTAGTACTCAGGATAGAAAGGAAACAAGGGGAGGGCTGGAGAGTGATGGACAGTTGAAGAGCTGCAATAGACAGGGTGCTTGCAGCATGAAATGAGAGAGGAGCAGGTGCAAAGTCCCTTCGGTGGGAACATGTTTGGTCTACTTGAGGAACAGTAAGTGAATAGGCCGCAGCATCTGGGGCACAGTGACATACCTCATTTACGGATGAAGGAGTGGAGAGATTAAATAGCTGAGATCCTCAGTCCCAGAGAAAGTGCTAGAGCTAGAATTCAATCACAGAAAAAGAAAAAGGAGGTGAGGTCAGATGTGGAGGCTCATGTCTGTAATCAGTGCTTTGGGAGGCTGAGGTGGGAGGCTTGACGCAGGAGTTTGAGACCAGTCTGGGCAACATTGTGAGATCCCATCTCTACGAAAATTTAAAAATCAACTGGATGTGGTGGTGCATGTCTGTAGTTCCAGCTACCTGGGAGGCTGAGATGGGAGCACTGCTTGAGCCCAGGAGCTCAAGACCAGCCTGGGCAACACAGCAAGACCTTGTCTCTACAAATAATAAAATTAGCTGGGCCTGGTGGTGTGCACCTGTAGTCCCAGCTACTTGGGAGGCTGAGGAGGGAGGATTGCTTGAGCCCAGGAGTTCAAGGCCAGCCTGGGCAACACAGCAAACCTTGTCTCTACAAATAATAAAAATTAGCTGGGCATGGTGGTGTGCACCTGTAGTCCCAGCTACTTGGGAGGCTGAGGAGGGAGGATTGCTTGAGCCCAGGAGTTTAAGACCAGCCTGGGCAACACAGCAAGATCCTGTTTCTACAAATAATAAAAATTAGCTGGATGTCATGGTGTGCACCTGTAGTCTCAGCTACTTGAGAGGCTGAGGAGGGAGGATTGCTTGAGCCCAGGAGTACAGCAAGATCCTGTTTCTACAAATAATAAAAATTAGCTGGATGTCATGGTGTGCACCTGTAGTCTCAGCTACTTGAGAGGCTGAGGAGGGAGGCTTGCTTGAGCCCAGGAGTTCAAGACCAGCCTGGGCAACACAGCAAGATCCTGTTTCTACAAATAATAAAAATTAGCCAGATGTCATGGTGTGCACCTGTAGTCTCAGCTACTTGGGAGGCTGAGGAGGGAGGATTGCTTGAGCCCAGGAGTTCAAGACCAGCCTAGGCAACACAGCAAGATCCTGTTTCTACAAATAATAAAAATTAGCTGGATGTCATGGTGTGCACCTGTAGTCTCAGCTACTTGGGAGGCTGAGGCAGGATTATCGCTTGAACCCAGGAGTTGGAGGCTGCAGTGAGCTATGATCACACCACTGCGCTTCAGCCTGGGCAACACAGCAAGGTCCTGTCTCACATAATAAATAAATAAATAAAAGGAGGAGTGATGGCTTAGACATGGCAAAAGGAGAAAGATGAAATAAATGGCAGGAGGACAGAGAGAGAGAGATATCAAGAGAGGGGAGGGAGACAGAGCAAGGATGTGGTAGAGAAAGAGGAACTGGAGAGGGAGATACAGAAAAGGAGAGGCTGGGGAGGGAATGGAAAATGTGTATTAGAGGTCAGCCTCATGGCCAGGGCTCTAGCTGGCTCGCACTGGGAAACCCACAGGAAGCAGAAAGCGAATCCTTCCTTGGCAACCCTCAGGCAAACAAGTGCCCATTGATCACACAGTTGCCTTTTTTTTTTTTTTCTTTTTCTGTCTCCCATGCTGGAGTGCTGCAACCTCTGCCTCCCAGGTTCAAGCAATTTTCCCACCTCAGTCTCCCGAGTAGCTAGGATTACAGGCGTGTGCCACCACACCCAGTCAATTTTTGTAATTTTAGTAGAGACGGGTTTTCACCATGTTGGCCAGGCTGTTCTTGAACTCCTGGCCTCAAGTGATCCTCCCACCTTGGCCTCCTAAAGTGCTGGGATTACAGGTGTGAACCACTGCACCCGGGCCCACAGTTCCCTTTTGCAGGGAGCCTTATCCGTACAAGCTCACTGAGGGCAAAACTGTGTGCAAAGCAGAAATTGCCATGAACATTTGCCTGGTCACCTATTTTTTTCTTCCCCATATAATAATGGGTTGGGAGCCTCTATTCTTGTTATGGGCGGAGTGCTGACAAAGTGCCTTTAAACGACTCTGTAATTGCTAAGATGCCATGTTACCATGTGGGAAGTGCCTTCTGTCCGCCCCTTTCCTGGGAGTGTGCTCAGTGCTGTCTCACCATGGATGTAGACAGGCAGCTACCAGATACTCTGCCCTGAACACAAGCTTGTCTGCCCGTTAGAGGCCATGGATGGCCCCAGGCAGTGTAAGGGCAGAGACCCTGACCGACAGCTGTCTCTTCCTGGTCTTTGCCCCATGCCCCATGCACATTATGCTGGCTGACTTTTGAGGTCATGGCTTTGCAAGGTCTAGCTGCACAGAGAGGTGGAATTTTCCAGAGCAGGAATCAATATAATACTCCAATCTGGTCAAAGAGATGTCTGAGGCTCATCCTCACTGGAGAGAGGTTTTGATGGTCCCTTACCCATCTGTGTACATTGGGCAGGTCACTTCATCTCTCTGGGTTTCAGTGCTTGCATTTTTTTTTTTTTTGAGATAGAGTCTCCCTCTGTTGCCCAGGCTGGGGTGTAGTGGTGTGATCTCGGCTCACTGCAACCTCCGCCTGCCGGTTTCAAGAAATTCTCCTGCCTTGGCCTCCTGAGTAGCTGGGATTACAGGCACCCACCACCATGCCTGGCTAATTTTTGTATTTTTAAAATAGAGATGGGGTTTCACCATGTTGGCCAGGCTGGTCTCGAACTCCTGACCTCAGGTGATCCGCCTAACTCAGCCTCCCAAGGTGCTGGGATTACAGGTGGGAGTCACCACGTCCGGCCCTCAGTTGTCATGTCTATATCAGAGGTGTGTTAGACCTGATGGCCCACAGGGTCCCTCGTGGCTCAATACCGCATGTGCATAAGCTATAGCTGACACAAGTGTGGTGCCTGGCATCCTGGTGCTGGGGTAGAACAAGTGGGCACTGGGAGAAGAGCCCAGGCTTGCTTGCAGCTTCGTGTACACTGTAGCTGGCTTTGTATGGATTGGGCTGGCCCTGTTGAGGGGCTGCTATCAGCCCCACCTTCTAGTTGCCCCACTCTGCCCTTCCATGCCCTGCTCTCTCACACTGGGTTGTGCATCTGCACAGCTCATTTCCCACCCTCTGGTTTCCTGGTGTCTCTGCCCAGAGGAGGCAACAAGAAATCAGAATGCAGGATTGCAAGGAAGAAGCTGTTGTTCTTCTCTGACTGCTTCTGGAAGCATCTGTAGAAGTGGTCATGTTCTAGGCCAGGCAGGGTGGCTCAAGCCTGTAATCCTAGCACTTTGGGAGGCCGAGGCGGGTGGATTACAAGGTCAGGAGATCGAGACCATCCTGGCTAACATGGTGAAACCCCGTCTCTACTAAAAATACAAAAAAGTAGGTGGGCGTGGTGGCACGTGCCTGTAATCCCAGCTACTCGAGAAGCTGAGGCAGGAGAATCAATTGAGCCCGGGAGGCAGAGGTTGCAGTGAGCCGAGATCACGCCACTGCACCCCAGCCTGGGCAACAGAGGGAGACTCTATTTCAAAACAAAACAAAACAAAACAAAAAGAAGTGGTCATGTTCCATCCCTGATGCCAGCTTGGTCCTCAGTGACCTCCTCTTTATGCTGGGAGCACCCCATCTATTGCAACTTCTAAACTGTCCATCACTCTCTGCCCCTCCCCTCGTTTCCTTTCTATCCCTAGTTTCTGCTGGTGCTCCTTTTCTTTCCATGACCCCAGCACAGATCTGGTGGTCCCTTTCTGGTAATCTGGCAAGCTGAGTAATCCCCCTCCCCTTCCCACAGCACAGCTCCTGGCTCTGCAGACACCACCTTCTCTCTTTCCCACTCTAGTCCTAGTGCTGGTGGCATTGGAGGGTGTGACACCAGGCTGTAACCTGGGAGAGTTGTGGGGAGAGGGGCCTGCTGGCTTCTAGGGCTTCCAATGACCAGACCCACATGGAAGCCTTTGGAATTATCCTGTCCATGTGGCAGGTGGATTCTGCAACCACCATCTGTGGCTTGGGGCCCGTTCAGCCCCTGGAGGGATTTCTGGGAGTCTAGTGTGTTTAAAAGATGCTGGAGGCCTGTAATCCCAGCATTTTGGGAGGCCGAGGTGGGCGGATCACCTGAGGTCAGGACTTTGAGATCAGCCTGACCAACATGGAGAAACCCCGTCTCTACTAAAAACACAAAAAATTAGCTGGGTGTGATGGTGCATGACTGTAATCCCAGCTACTTGGGAGGCTGAGGCAGGAGAATCGCTTGAAGCCGGGAGGTGGAGGCATTATTTTTTTTGTAGAAACGGGGTTTCGCCATGTTGGCCAGGCTGGCCTAGAACTCCTGACATCAGGTGATCCGCCTGCCTCAGCCTTCCAAAGTGCTGGGATTACAGGCGTGAGCCACTGTGCCCAGCTGGAAGTCCAGACTTCTTGCTACCTATGCGGCCATGTGTCTTTTTGCTTAAAGGAACATTAGCTGAGTTTTCTGTTACCTGCAACCATGCCCAGCCCCTAACCACCTCTTAAAATACCCTGTCTCCAAAGACAGTCCCATTCGGAGGTACTGGGGGTTAGGGCGTCAGCATATAGATTTTGAGGGGACCCCATCAGCCCGTAACAACAGAACTCCATAAGTAGTGAATGAATGGTAAATGAGGTGGCTCAAAGGCGGAGTTGGATTTCCATTTGTGTGCGTTGAAGGAGCGGGCGAAGGGGGTCTGGGCATCTCTGCTGTCAACAGGAGGTGAGAGGCAGAGGGATGGGCTTGAGTTAACTCTCTGCGTGACACTTCTTGCTTGTTTGAAGCTCTTCCCTGCCGCCTCCTTCTGTTGTACGTGACATCCCGACTGGGAACACGCGAAACAACAGCTGATGCTGTCAGTGGGACGGCCGCCTCTCCGCCGTGCGCTCGGTGGTAACTGCCAACTCGATGACATGTAAACTTTAGCGGTGACATTGATCCCTCTTCTGGCGAGAAGGGGGACAGGAGCCTGGGATCATGGTGATGTCTTCTCTTTCAGGGGCAATGACAGGGCTGCAGCATTTCTTAGCAGGCGAATTTCAGCTCAGTCTTAAAAAGCTAGGAAGGAAAAACAAAATTCTGTAAGAATCTTTTATTTTTTTGGAAGCCATGAAATCATTAACAGGTTAGCAAAATTATTTATTTTCTTTCTTCAAAACAGATGGGAAAGGATTTCTTAAAAAAATATTTTTTTTGAGATAGGGTCTTGCTCTGTTGCCCAGGCTGGAGTGCATTGGCATCATCATAGCTCGCTGCAGCCTCCAACTCCTCGCCTCAAGTGATCCTCCTGCCTCAGCCTCCCGAGTAGCTGGGACTACAGGTATGCATCACCACGCCTGGCTAATTTTAATTTTTTTGTGTAGAGACAGAGTTTTGCTATGTTGCCCAGGCTGGTCTCAAACTCCTGGCCTCAAATGATCCTCCCACCTTGGCCTCCTGAAGTGCTGGAATTACGGGCATGAGCCACCATGCCCAGCTTGGATTTCTTTTCCTCCATGAAAATGATGTTTCCACTGAGATAAGAAATTTAAAGGGGAGACTGACACTGGTGGGATCAGGCAGTGTAGACACTTCATTTTAGCTCAATAATTCCAGCCAAAATTGTTCTGTTCCATTTAGTGCTGGGAAATGGGTCTTAGTTTTTCTTGCTCCAAATACTTTACACAGTATCAGAAGCAATATGTGGGGTCTTGGGAATGAGGCATTTTCTGATGATGCTGGGTGATCCTGTGGGTGGAGGGATGCTAGGAAGAGAGAAATTGATACAGGACATAGATATTATTTAGGCAGAAATTATTTAGCCACTGCCCCCTCCATCTTCCCTTTTCCTTGTCACCATGTGTACAGTAAAGAACCAGGCGGCCGGGCGCGGTGGCTCACGCCTGTAATCCCAGCACTTTGGGAGGCCGAGGCGGGCAGAACACGAGGTCAGGAGATGGAGACCATCCTGGCTAACATGGTGAAACCCTGTCTCTACTAAAAATACAAAAATTAGCAGGGCATGCTGGTGGGTACCTATAGTCCCAGCTACTTGGGAGGCTGAGGCAGGAGAACAGCGTGAACCCGGGAGGTGGAGCTTGCAGTGAGCTGAGATCGCGCCACAGCACTCCAGCCTGGGAGACAGAGCGAGATTCCATCTCAAAAGAAAAAAAAAAAAAAGAGAATCAGGCAACTTGGTTCTAGCCAAATAGAGAACCCATCTGCATAATGAAAGATTTTGGTGGGGTGACCAGCTTTTCACTCCCTATGCAAATGGCACACCTAGCCCTAACCGGTTTTTCCTGCCCTATGCAAATGGCATACGTGGTCCGACCAATCTTTTGTGCCCTATGTAAATCGGACACCGCATCCTCAAACTCATCTATAAAACCTTCTGCATGCATTGCACCACAGAAGTGGGAAACCCGTTCAGGACCGTCTCTCTGCAGGAGAGAGCGCTTCTTTTTCTTTTGCCTATTAAACCTCCACGCTTAACATCACTCCTTGTGTGCCTGCGTCCTTGATTTCCTTGGCATGAGACAATGAATATCAGGTATCACCCCAGACAACGAGGCCGCTTCAAAATCACCATGTCCTTCCCAGGGGTTCCCCAGGGAGGAAAAGCCCTGAGGACAAAGGAAGTCTGCATAGGAAAGTGGAAGGTACTTGAACCTCTGTAATTAGGTTTGAATGTCGATCTGTTGGTTGTTTGTTTCATACACTACAAACTATGGAATAATTTTGGATGGTGGTGGTGGCAATGGTGGAAATGGGTATATAGACCTCCTAGTGGGGGGCCAGACAATTTGAACCAATGGATTTAACAGGAGAAAATACCAGCTTAGGGGCAGCAGAAACTTGAGAAAAATCCAATAGGAGGGTTATTTGTTGGCTGGATACACCCTGAGGAGGCAGGTCAGACTCTGGAGCTGCTGGTTGGAGGAAGAAATGGGCAGGCCTGCCATGGATGGTTGTGTGGTTTGTGCACTGAACAAAGGCAACAGATGGAAGGTGTAGGTGGGGCTGAATTCCAGTATGTGTTTTGCTGGCCAAGCCATGTGGCATGACATAGGCTTGCTTCTACCCAGAGGAAAGGATGCTTGTTTCTTTGCACAAAGATGCCTTCTCTCACCAGACTATGCATGCATAGTGCTGTATCTGCTCGTTTGCATGAGGTTACTGTATAGGTTTGCAGGATCCAGGGCTTGTGGGCCAAAGTACTTGAGCTCTGGGAGCTGAGGGTGGAGATGGTCCACATCCCGGGGTCTGCACAATGCATTGTTCTCCTGGAGTGGAATGACTCTCCTCCTCTGAGTCAGCATCAAGACCACCTTGAAGCATGATTGTCAAACTGATTTTCAGGGCTCTGGCTTTCTGGTATACCACGCCCTTCTTCAGGGCTGAAACACTGGTCATTTTGTTAGCAAAATACAAATATTTCATGGTCTTCAAATAGATGGACATCTAAATCATTTATATTTTGAGATGATTAGTGACTGAGCTACTTAATTCGTGCAAACAGATTCACCAAGTGCAGTCTGCAAGTCTTGCCAGGCTTGGCCCTGTGCAAGTTACAAGAATTTATCACCTTGTGACTATGTGTTGGCAAAGCTTTGATGGTAAGAGTATGTCTCTCTCTGTGAAAGATGTTCAAATCAAGTGGCCCAGTGGCTCTTCCATGCCTTGGAGGGAGCTGTGAAGAGTTCTGTAAGGGGTCCTAAAAGGGGGAAGGAAATCTGTGTCATGCCAAGTGGCTTGGCCAGCAAACTACACACTGGAATTCCACCCCACCTCCCACTTCCACTTGTTGCCTTTGTTCAGTGCACAAACCACGCAACCATCCGTGGCAGGCCTGCCCATTTCTTCCTCCAACCAGCACCTCAGGAGTCCGACCTGCTTCCTCTGGGCCTATGCAGGGGGTTGCAGAGCAGCCTGAGATGGGGATGTGGAAGCTGAAGGGTGAGCCGAGAGCTCCCTGCAGCATATAGAGGATAGCCTAGTTAAGTAGAGCATAGCCCAGTTTAGGGGCGGCAGAAACTTGAGAAAGGTCAAACAGGAGGGTTATTTGTGGGCTGGATATGCCCTGTGGAGGCAGGTCAGACTCTGGAAAATGCTGGTTGGAAGAAGAAATGGTTAGGCCTGCCATGGATGGTTGTGTGGTTTGTGCACTGAACAAAGTGCAAGGATGCTCCCCCAGCATGGGGTTCATCTGTCCTTGTTAAGTATGTGTGGAACATCCCTTGCTGGACTGGGGGTGTGTGCTGAGCACGCCATCCTCTGCTAGGCCACCAGGCTCTGATGTGCTTCTTGGACTCTTAATGGCAAAGGGTACCCTTCTGAGCCCCTAACCAGCATCACCCAGCTGGTTCCACAACTGTCCTCCTTCAGGAAAAGAGCATGGAGAGACTCAAAGCTCAAGTGCATTCTGGCAATCTTGAAGTTTAACCCTCATTAAGAAACTCCCTCATCCTTTTGTGTTCTGGATAATGGCTTACTGCAAAAACCCCCTGTATTAGTCTGTTTCACATTGCTATAACAGAATACTTGAGACTGGGACATGTATTAAAAAAGGAGGTTTATTTGGCTCATGGTCCTGCAGGCTGTGCAAGAAGCTTGATGCCAGCATCTGGTTCTGGTGAGGCCTCAGGAAGCTTCTAATCATGGCAGAAGGTGAGTGGGGAGCAGGTGTGTCACATGACGAGAAATGTGTGTCTTTTTTTTTTTTTTTTTGGAGACAGGGTCTCACTCTGTCGCCCACGCTGGAGTGCAGTGGTGCAATATCAACTCACTGCAACCTTTGACTCTCAGGCTCAAGCCATTCTCCTGCCTCAGCCTCCTGAGTAGCTGGGACCACAGGCACCCGCCACCACACCCAGCTAATTTTTGTATATTTTGTAGAGATGGGGTTTTGTCGTGTTGCCCAGGCTGGCCTTGAACTCCTGGGCTCAGGTGATCTGCACTCCTTGGCCTCCTAAAGTGCTGGGATTATAGGTGTGAGCCACCATGCCCAGCTGACATGCCAGGCCCTTTAAACAAGCAGCTCTTGAATGAACTCATTACCATGGGGAGGTCACCAAGCCATTCACGAAGGATCTACCAGAAAAGCCCCCACCAAGCCCCACCAAGCCCCACCTCCAACATTAGAGGTCACATTTCAACATGAGATTAGGAGGAGGCACACATCCAAACCATATTATTCCCCCTTTCCCAAATACCTAAGACTCTCAGATGCTCCCATTGTTACCGATGACAAGGCTAGATGAGGACCCTCTAAATTCCCATTCTTTGCTTCATAAGTGATTAGCCGAGGCTGGGCATGGTGGCTCATGCCTGTAATCCCAGCACTTTGGGAGGCCGAGGTGGGCGGATCACTTGAGTTCATGAGTTTGAGACCAGCCTGGCCAATATGGTGAAACCCCATCTCTACTAAAAATATAAAAATTAGCTGGGTGTGGTGGTGCACATCTGTGGTCCCAGCTACTCGGGAGGCTGAGGTGGGAGAATTGCTTGAGCCTAGGAGGCAGAGGTTGCAGTGAGCTGAGATCGTGCCATTGTACTCCAGCCTGGGCTATAGAGTAAGAGTCTGTCTCAAAAAAAAAATAAATAAATAAAAAAGAAAGAAAATGAGTAATTAGAAGTAATTAGCTGAGATACTTGTCTCCACTGATCAGTGGGAATAAAATGCTTGTTAACTGAATATTGGTCCAGCTTCCCTCCTTCCCCCAGGCCCCTGAACTGTGGCCAGCCAGCAGCCTGATGGCAGACAGCCCCTCTTGGGAACAGGCTGGCTTCGGGGTAAAACATGCCCTGACCTGCTATCTGATCACACCCCCTTTCATCTCACTTCCCACACCTTGTTCTTTCCAGTCTCACTTATCCCTTTCTATAAAAGAAAATCTCTTTTGGCCTAATTCTCATTTATTTATTTATTTTTTAGATAGTGTCTCATTCTATTGCCCAGGCTGCAGTACAGTCGGGCTGATCATAGCTGACTGCAGCTTCCAACTCCTGGGCTTAAGTGATCCTCCTGCCTCAGCCTCCTGAGTAGCTGGGACTATAGACACGTGCCACCATGCCCGGCTACTTTTAAAAAATCTCTTGTAGTGATGGGGTCTCGCTATGTTGCCCAGGCTGGTCTTGAACTCCTGACCTCAAGTGATCTCCCTGTCTCAGTCTTCCAAAGCACTGGGATTCCAGGGGTAAGCCACCATGCTGGTTTTCTTTTTGCCTAGCTGTTGAGACATCTGCAGAGTTTGTTGTCACAGTGCTTTTCTTTTTCCAATAGTTTCCTCTCCTATTATGATAGCCCCTTTCCCTCCACCTGCAATAATCTTTTCAAATAAGAAGTCTCTCTTTAGTAATCCATAGTTTAAAAAATTTGACAGTCCAGGCTGGGAGCAGTGGCTCACGCCTGTAATCCCAGCACTTTGGGAGTCGAGGTGGGTGGATCATCTGAGGTCAGGGGTTCAAGACTAGCCTGGCCAACATGGCGAAACCCCATCTCCACTAAAAATACAAAAATTAGTTGGGTGTGGTGGCGGGTGCCTGTAGTCTTAGCTGCTCAGGAGGCTGACGCAGGAGGTCGCTTGAACCTGGGAAGCGGAGGTTGCAGTGAGCCCAGACAGCGCCATTGCACTCCAGCCTGGGCTACAGAATGGGACTCTGTCTCAAAAAAAAAAAAAAAAAAAAAAAAAAAAGACAGTCCTAAGAAAGCTATAGTCTCCTACCAGGGCCAGGATTGGTCATTTTGTCCTTCTGCTGATTGCCATGAGGCATGTAGGTAGACGTGCATCAGCTTTTGGGGTGGCACCGAATGCAGTCACAGGCACCCACCATCCCGATCTGGCCTGCTCTCAGGGACTAAGCACGTGCAACAGGGCTTGCATTTGAATGAGAACTCAATGTTTGGCATGAGAAGCAGTCAGTGACACCAAGAACCATCTACCAAATAGAAGCGGGCAGTGATGACACTAAGGATTTATGCGGAATCTAGACCCTTAGGTGGTAATTATTTTAAAAAATGCCACTTTATGTGTCCGAAAGAATACCAACAAGGTCTCAATTTATAATCCTCAGTCACACTTTTCGAAACCCTTTTCCCACCCTTGTTTGCATTTTCCACGGCAGATCCACAAACCAGTCCCTGCCAAACCCAGACTTTCTCCTCCTTAGCCTTTGTTTCAGTCTGTGTGGGCTGCTATAACCAAATATAATAAACTGGGTAACTTTTTTTTTTTTTTTTTTTTTTTTGAGAAGGAGTCTCACTCTGTTGCCCAGGCTGGAGTGCAGTGGCTTAATCTTGGCTCACTGAAACCTCTGCCTCCTTGGTTCAAGCGATTCTCCTGCCTCGGTCTCCCAAGTAGCTGGGATTACAGGCACCCACCACCATGCCCAGCTAACTTTTGTATTTTTAGTAGAGACAGGGTTTCACCATGTTGGCCAGGCTGGCCTTGAACCCCTGACTTCAGGTAATCTGCCTGCCTTGGCCTCCCAAAGTACTAGGATTACAAGCGTGAGCCACCACGCCCAGCCAACTGGGTAGCTTTTAAATGACGGAAATTTATTTCTCACAGTTTTGGAGGCTGGAAAGTCCACAGTCAAGGTGCCAGCAGGGTTAAGGTCTGGTAAGCGATGCTTTCTGGTTCATAGATGGTGTCTCCTAGCTGTGTCTTCACATGTTGGAAGGGGTGAGCTAGCTCTTTGGGGTCCCTTTTATAAGGGCACTAATCCCATTCATAAGGGCCCCACCCTCATAGACCTAATCACCTCCCAAAGGCCCCACCTCCTAACAGCATCACATTGGGTATTAGATTTGGACGTATTTATTTTGGGGGGGCAGAAACATTCAGATCACGACAGTCCTGGCGTTAGTGACTCCACCGCATCCTCTCCTTTTTCCACAGCTTTTTACGATGTCAATCAATTTAGCTTCTTTTATGAAGGCCTCCAATCCCAAGCCTCTCAGATCTCATTTGGCCTCATGAAGCATTCTAGAACCCAGGGACTAGACTGATTTTTATTTATTATCATTTGATTTTAATTTTATTTTTGAGACATAAAAATAAGCTCTGTCATCTAGGCAGGAGTGCAGTGACCCCATCATAGCTCACTGCAGCCTCAAACTCCTGGACTCAAGTGATCATCCAGCCTCCAGCTCCCAAGAAACAGGAACTACAGGAATGTCTCACCATGCCAGGCTAATTTTTGTATTTTTTTGTAGAGACGGGGTCTCCCTATGTTGCCCAGGCTGGTCTTGAACTCCTGGGCTCAAGTAACCCTCCTGCCTCAGCCTCCCAAAGTGCTGGGATTACAGGCATAAGCCGCTGTGCCCAGTCTGAGATATATTTTTTTAAAAGCAGGACGAGGGAGAGGGAGTGAGATGAGGGAGGTAGGAGAAATCTCACCTGTTAATAAATCTTGCTTCTGTCACATTGTCATGGGGGGCACAGCATGAAAAGGGCTTTAAGAGAAATCCAAACACAATGCTGTGGGGTTCTTGGGGTGAGCCGGCTCCACACGGTGCTGCCAAGGGCACTGTCTTGCTGCTAATCCATCTGCCCTGATGCAGGCCGAGTGCAGAGACCTGCAGTGGTGCATGCTGCGCTGGGGTCAGCTTCCAGATGTAACAAATGTGTTACAAGCCGGTTCAACCTCTAGCGATTGTAGGGTGAATTAGAGCTTGGAGAGCCATGGAGCTGATGGAGGAGTAAAGGAGCAAGAGGACTTCTTCCATGGAGGCCCTTCAGCCTCCATGGGTATGCTGGGTTATGAGGGTTTGCCGGCTGCCTTAGGCTGGGTTGGGGTGAACTGTGAAAATTCCTTGTGTTGGCTTACTGGCTACACATCCAGCTTGCAGCCCTGTGTCAGAACCCGGGCTGTGTGGCAGCTGGCAGTAATCTGGCTGGATGATCAGGCTTTGAATGTAGGCAGCCTCCCAGCTCCAGAACTTCCCTCCCCACCTACACACACACACACACACACACACACACACACACACACACACACACACACACGCATTTGTTTCAGAAAAACATTTACTGGTCACCTATTTTGATCAGGGAAAACAATGTCTGGTTTGACCCCTACGTGATTTGAACATACAACCTTCTGATCTGGAGTCAGACACACTACTGTTGCACCATGAGGCCTGCCCTGGGCACCTACTTTGTACAGGGTACTGAAATACTGGGATGAATAAAGCCCAGTCCTTGGACTTCGAAAACTTCACACTTTTTTTTTTTTAATTTTTCTTTCTGTTGGTTATTTTGGAGCAGGTGGTGTTTGGTTACATGAGTAAGTTCTTTAGTGGTGATTTGTGAGATTTTGGCGCACCCATCACCCAAGCAGTATACACTACACCCAGTGTGTCATCTTTTATCTCTTACCCCCTTCCCACTCTTTCCCCGAGTCCCCAAAGTCCAATGTGTCATTCTTATGCCTTTGCATTCTCATAGCTTAGCTCCCACTTATAAGTGAGAACATATGATGTTTGGTTTTCCATTCCTGAGTTACTTCACCTAGAATAATGGATTCCAATCTCATCCAGGTTGCTGCGAATGCCATTAATTCATTCCTTTTTATGGCTGAGTAGTATTCCATTGTATATACATACTACAGTGAAAACTTCACCCTCTTGAGAGATCTCAACATTCACACAATGCACTATTCTGTGGTGCTCATTCATGTGGCTACATGTGCATGTCATCAATGTGATCAATAGCATTCTGTTGTATGAACGCACCACACTTTAGGTATCCATTTTCATGTTGATGGACATTGGATGTTTCCCATTTTTGGTTATGGTGAATCAAGTTGGTATGTACTTTTTTTTTTTTTTTTTGAGATGGAGTCTTGCTCTGTCACCCAGGTGGAGTGCAGTGGCATGATCTCAGCTCACTGCAACCTCCACCTGCTGAGTTCAGGCACTTCTCATGCCTCAGCCTCCTGAGTAGCTGGGATTACAGGTGTGTGCCACCATGCCCGACTAATTTTTGTCTTTTTAGTAGAGATGGGGTTTCACCATGTTGGCCAGGTTAGTCTCAAACTCCTGACCTCGGGTGATCCTCCCGCCTCAGCCTCTCAAAGTGTTGGGATTACAGGTGTGAGCCACCGTGCCCAGCCATTAGCTTTTTTTTTTGCGTGGAAACATGCAATCATTTCTACTGGACTGTACCTAGGAGTGGAATTGCTGGGCCCAAGGGAAGGAGTATTTTTTGCTGTAGGAGATATTGTCCAACTGTTTTGCAAAGTGGTTGAACTCATTTTGACTCCTACCAATGGTATATGAAATGGAATTGATATTTTGTGATGTTAAGAGTGGTTCTATGATTATTGCAGGTTTTTTTCTTTTCCATCTCAATGTACACTTCAGGAGACAGAGGCTAAGATGGGTGAAGGGACTCACCTTATTTCTTATAGCAAGTGAATGGAAAAGAGGAAATCCAAGCCCAGGTTGCCTTAATGCTAATAACCTGGGCCCTGTGCACCGCTCCCATTCCATCGGTACCATTAGTAAAAATGACCTATCCCATCACTACTTGATAAGTCTGCAGGGGAATGACAGGGGCCTGGGGTCCACCACTCCCAGCCTTGGAAGCCAAGGAGTCAGATAGATGCTGGTCACCTCAACAGCACATAGCTAGCACCACATAAAGAAACTTTCCAACACGATTTCATTCTTTGCAGCTCTGGTTCCTACCTGACATGACTCTCAACCTCTCTCTGATCCTCCTAGATTGTGACTTATGTCATGTTCACTGTTACAGTGGTTCACTTTGAAACCTGAGCTCAACCCAATTTTCTAAATTGTGACTGGACACCTCTTGTTGAGTATTGTAGCAGGAGCTACTGGCATCTTTTATGGGCTGAATTGTGTCTCCCTTAAATTCATATATTGAAGCTTTAATCCCTAGCACCTCAGAATGTGACTGCTTTTGGTAAATCTCTGAACTAGAATAAACATCACCTAGAAATTGTCTTAGTGCATTTTATGCTGCTATAACATAATTTCGCTGTTATTTGCCTTAGTCCATTTCATGCTGCTATAACATAATTTCGCTGTTATTTGCCTTAGTCCATTTCATGCTGCTGTAACAGATAACATCTTTGAAATGAGGTCATTAGGGTGGGCCCTAATACAATATGACCAATATCTTTATACGAAGAGGGAATTTGAATGCAGACACACACAGAGGGAAGACCATGTGAAGACAGAGGGAGAAGATGGTTATCAGCAATCCAGAGAGGCCTCAGAGGAAAACAGCCCTGCTGACTCTTTGATCTCAGACTTCCAGCCTCTAGAATTGTGAGGAAATAAATGTCTGCTGTTGGCTGGGTGTGGTGGCACATGTCTGTAATCCCAGCACATGGGAGGCTGAGGTGGGAGGATTCCTTGAGGCCAGGAGTTCAAGACCAGCCTGGGAAACAAAGTGAGACCCTGTCTCTAAAATAAATAAATACATAAATAAAATTAAAAAAGTAATCAGGCATGGTGGTGCATGCCCATAGTCCTATCTACTCAAGAGTCTGAGGCAGGAGGTTTCCTTGAGCTCAGGAGTTTTATAGCAAGCTATGATCACGCCATTGCACTCCAGCCTGGGCAACAGAGTAAGACCCTACTTCAAAAAAAGTGTGTTGTTTAAGCTTCTCAATCTGTACAACTTTATTATGGCAGCCCTTACAACACATATAGTATCTCTCCTATATCCTGGGATATTTTCCATGTACCACCGGGACTTCTGACTGCCAGCATTATCTTTTTGTCTGAGGACTTTCTCTGGTCAGGTCCAACAGGCCATATGTGCTAGAAGATTACCCCCCAAGCCCTTCAGCAGCCTTCACCAATGATGGCAGGAGGTGGAGGAAAAAGTACCCCTGCTTCCTTACCCCTCTGCCAGGAAGCTCTGAGATATGTATACTCTACATTGTGTCCCAAAGGCCCTCAGGAAGATGGAACTCAATTGCTCACGCTGGTAACCTGCATGATGACTCACCCTTCGGTGGCTTCCTTCTCTTCCCTGTCTTGCTTCCCCACTCCCTACCAGAGCTTCCTAGAATCACATCTTAGTCAGTTCCTTCTACTAAAATGAGAATACCTTAGACTTAGTAATTTATAAACAGGAATTTATTGCTCACAGTTCTCGAGGCTGGGAAGTCCAAGATCCAGGCGGCAGCAGATTCTGTGTCTGGTGAGGGACTGTTCCTCATAGATGGCTCCTTTTTGCTGTGTCCTCCCATGGCAGAGAGGGAAAGACAGCTCCCTTCAACCTCTTTCATAAGAGCACGAGTTCCATTCGTGAGGGTGGAGCCCTCATGACCATGTTACCTCCTAATTACCTCTTAATACTGTCACATTGGGATTAAGCTCCAACATGTGAATTTTTGGGGGACACCAACATTTAGATCACAGCAGATCACCTCCCAGATAAGCTACTTGCTTTCTAATCTTTGTCTCAGGCATTTCTTCTGAGGGATTAAAACTAAGACAACTATGGCTTATGGCTTCCTTTCAATTCTGAGCACCCAAGATAAGCACCCTTTGCAGTTGAACTAAGGCTCTGCAGTCTTCTCCCTCTGTGTGACCTTGAGTCAGCAGTCCCACCAGCTCTTGGCAGCCAGTACCAGGGACTGTGTCTAGACATTCTCGATTCCACCCAAGGGTCTGGCATCCAGATACTCCTTGCATAAGAAAATGTCTTCTCATATAAGACAGGGCTGAAACTTCTGAGACAATATTGGGAACTTGTAAGTCTCATGGAAACATGTGCTTTTGGTATATCCCTGAGTTGGAATGAACACCATCTAGTAATTGTCTTAGTCCATTTTATGCTGCTATAACAGAATAGCACAGACTGGGTAATTTATAAATGAACAGAAATTTATTGGCTCATGGTTCTAGAGTCTGAGAAGTCCAAGATCAAGGGGCTGCATCTGGCAAGGGCCTTCTTGCTGTGTCATCACATGGTGGAAGGGCAAAGAGAGAGGAAATGAACAAGAGTGGGTGAACCCACTCCCACAACAGAGAACCCACTGCCATGATACCAGCATTAGTCCACCCATTAGGGTGGAGCCCTCATGACTCTTAAAAGGTCCTGCCTCTTTTTTTTTTTTTTGAGACAGACTCGCTCTGTCACCCAGGCTGGAGTGCAGTGGTGTGATCTCAGCTCACTGCAACCTCTGCCTCCCAGGTTCAAGTGATTCTCTTGCCTCAGCTTCCTGAGTAGCTGGGATTATAGGTGCCTGCCATCATGTCTGGCTAATTTTTGTATTTTTAGTAGAGACAGTTTCACCATGTTGGTCAGGCTGGTCTCGAACTCTTGACCTTAGGTGATCCACCTGCCTTAGCCTCCCAAAGTGCTGGGATTACAGGTGTGAGTCATCACATCTGGCTAAGGTCCCACCTTTTAATACTGTTACAATGGCAACTAAATTTCAACACAAGTTTTGGAGGGGACAAACGTTCAAACCAAAGCAAAAAAAAAATCCTTACTTGAGAAACTGACAGAATGACCAATTTACTATGGATCTTTTCTGCAATATCTTTCATTTCCTTCCTACTTTTCATTCATCTTCTTTTGGTTATTTCTCCATGGTCCACACATAGTGTCTCTAGTTTATTTTCCTGCTGGGGCACGTCTTATTCTGATACACAAGGGGAGTTCACTAGAAGATGGAGGTATTTTTCTTTGAATTACAACTGCAGCTGAGAGGCTGGCGGTGGCTTTCTTCCAAGGACTTTTATTTTCAGTACCATAAACTTCTCTACCACAGTGAAGAAGAGGCCATCAAAAGCCTGTTTATCTGCAGAGCTAAAAGCCTAGGAGCTATCCTTATTTATAGGAGCCTGTGAACGTTCATGATATTGGGTGAGGAATAAAATTGCAGCAAACCTGCTACTGCTTGAGTGTCAAGAAATCTGTGTTTTGCAGGCTGTTCCGAGACCAGCAGAGAGGCAGACAGACTGGGTTCAAATGCTGACTTTGCCCTGCACAGCTTGTGTGATCTGGATTAAGTGACCGTTCTGAGCCTCAGTTTCTTTATCTCTAAAACAGGAAAGATAACAACTCCATGAAAGGGTTGCTGTGAAGGTTAAGAGTGATGATGTATTTGAGGCACACAGCTCAGTGCTGGTGAGTGGGTGGGTGGGTGGGTGATAATGGGGGATTCTTCTTGCTTCTCTATGTGACTTGATTTAGAGGTCCTCAAGTTCTTTATTAAAAATTCTTTACAATCAGCTTTATTGAGGTATACACATGTATAATAAAGTGCACTTATTCTAAGTATACAATTTGATGAGATTTGACAAACATGCACATCCATGTAACTACTATTGCAATCAAGGTGTAGAACATTTCTTAACCCAGAAAATTCCTTCATGCATCTTTACAGTCTATATTCATTTTCCAGGGCTGCTGTAACAAAAGTACCACAAATGGAGTGCATTAAACAGCAGACATTTATTGTCTCACAGGTCTGGAAACTAGAAGTCTGAGATCAAGATGTAGGCAGGGTTGGCTCCTTCTGAAGGCTGTGAGGGAGGGATCTATTCCAGGCTTCCTTCCTTGGCTTGTAGATGATTGTCTTCTATCTACGTCTCTTCATGTCATCTTCCTTCTGGTTGTGTCTCTGTGTCCAAATTTCTCCTTTTTGTAAGGACACCAGTCATATTGGATTAGCATCCACCACCATGACCTCATTTTAACTTGATTACTCCTGTAAAGGCTCAGTCTCCAAATAAGGTCATGTTCTGAGGTATTGGGCATTAGGATTTCAACATATAAATTTGAAGGGGGAACACAGTTCAATTTACAACACAGTTAACACCCCACCCTCACCCCAGGCAATCACAGAAGTGCTTTCAGTAAACCTAGATTAGTTTGCCAGTTCTAGAGTTTCATATAAATGGGATCATACAGTATACGTTCTGTTGTGTCTGTTTCTTTTGCTTAGTCTGTGATGTTTTTGAGTTTTTTTTTTTTTTTTTTGAGATGGGGTCTTGCTCTGTCGCCCAGGCTAGAGTGCAGTGGCACAATCTCAGCTCACTGCAACCTCCGCCTCCTGGATTCAAGCAATTATCCTGCCTCAGCCTCCTGAGTAGCTGGGATTACAGGCATGCACCACCATGCCCGGCTAATTTTTTGTATTTTTAGTAGGGACGGGGTTTCACCATGCTGGCCAGGCTGGTCTCGAACTCCTGACTTCGTGATCTGCCTGCCTCGGCCTCCCAAAGTGCTGGGATTACAGGCATCAGCCACTGCGCCCAGCCTTGAGATTCATTTCTACTGTGAATTGTATCAGTAGGTCATTCATTTTGATGCTGAATAGCATCCATTGACTGGATGTACTACATTTTGTTTATGTACTCACCTGTCAGTGAATGTGTGAGTTGTTTCCTGGAGTCGTTTTGACCATGATTCAAAGTACAAGAAATACATTTTACATTTATATGCTCACATGCACATATAAACACATATTAAACTACACAAACATTCCATAAATGTGTAGCTTTCCTGCATGTGAAAGACTATTTGATCTGTTCAATTCCACACAGTGCTGGATAAGACCACTAAATTGATTTTTTGACCCACAAAGTGGTCATGGCCTGGAGTTAAAAACTTCTCTGGAGTGGGAGTGGTAGAGAGGTGCCAGTCAGCGGAAAAAGAGTGAAGAAAAGATAACCAGACTGTACAATTTTGGCTTGTCCCTGCTGCATTCACCTGCTGAACAAACAAAATCTAATCTTGGATACCACAGTACATCTACCCAACACACAGAGAGAATGTCAACTAAGACACACTCAGATTTACAAGAAAGCATAGTTTGGCATAGTTTTTGTTTAAGACTTTTTTCATGTTCAGTCTTGGCCTTTGATTCTAAAGATGTGATTCAGAGCTGGGATACCTCTTTTCTACCAAAGAGGAGGTGACTTGACCAATGGTCAAGATGGTGCCTATCTCACAGACGAGGTTAGGGCAGACATGGAAAGACAATATCAGTTGACATAGGTTAAGTTAGTAACAACCCCAACATCTCAGTGGCTTAACCCACAGAGATTTATTTCTTGCTCACTGTAAGTCCACTGAGAATTTGTGGACTCTGCAGGTCAACTCTTCTCCATGTGGTGATTCAGGGATACAGGTTCCTTTGATCTTGTGGCTCCGTCTCAACATGAGGTCCCCTTTGTGATCCAGTGATGGGAGTGGGAGCCAGGAGATAGTTGGGGGGTTATGTTTTGGCCTGAAAGCAATACATATTACTTCTTTCAAACTCACTGACTAGAATCAGTCCCTAGAACATGGACCTATTTAACTGCAAGGCAACTGAGAAGCATAATCATCCATCCACCTTGAGGATAGGAGAAGTAGGCAAATTGGTGCAATGTCTTTACAGTGATGTCTTCAAAGACTTATAACCTGGAGGATGCCTTTCCTCCAGCTCCACAGATCTCCCTTACACTCCCTGCCACCTGCAGCCACTTGTACACACCCATTTTTCTTCCTGCTCTGTGGAGCCCAGTTCTTGCTCCAGCAGTAGAGTTGAGTCTGGGGAACTTTACTCTTGTTTTTCCCCATGCCTTGGCTTTGAATAGATGAAGAATTCAGTGGCACTTTGCCTGCCTCTTTGGAAGTACGTGAGAAGATGGCTCTGGGCCAGAGAAAGTGGGAGATTGAGAAGCTTGGCTGGGTTAGTAGTTTAGCCCTAGGTGGTCCTGCTTAAGCAAGAACACTTCTACAAGGACTGGCTCACCAGGAGACAAGGCCAGACATGTCAGAGAAGGCCCTAGAATTCATCAACTGTTTAACCATCTGTCTGAAAGTGGGCAAGGTCACTGACAATTCTTTTTATTGCCAGTCTTCTGTGCTAGCCTGAGACTTTCCCAAAGGGAGAGGGGCCTTGGCTGCAAAGACAGGCTTGAGTTTTCACTCTCCCAACCCATCCCTCTTCATACAAAGCTCTCTGCATAGGTTTTATGAAAATACGACTGTCGTGCGAGTGAGGACATCCCATGTGTAAGCCTTCTGCCGGCTCCAGCAATAAAGAATTCGGGCCTTATTTATAGGGCTGCCTCCAGGATCTGACAGGAAGAATTGAGAATGCTGCCAGGGTGCGAAATGAGATTTCCCAGAAAGCCATTCAGTGGGCTAAAGGGGCCTCTGGGGAGAGAGAGGAGACAGGCAAGGTGAATCAGACAGAATGATCGGGGTGGCAGCCTGTGGCGGGGGACCCTCCCTCCTCAGAAAGAGGGAAGACAGAAGAACCTTCCTGAAGCTCTTTCTCTAATCAAAGAAGCCAAACATGTTCTCAAGCATCCAGGGGCTTTCTAGAGGACACCTTAGCCTCAGGCAACTGGGCATTCCTCTCCTCTCCCCTCCTCTGAGTGTCCCTCCTGTCTCCCCTTCCTCATCCCTCCTCCCCTCCCTCCCACTTCCTTCTCCTTCTGTGTTCCCTCCCCTCTCTCCTCCCCTCCCCTGTCTTTTTCTTTCATCATATTCTCTCCCTCTAGGCATCAGGGCTGTTCATAAATGGCTCTCTCTCCTCTGCACTTCTGCTCCAGTTTGAAATGAGGTTCGCTCATGTGTTTTGTTTTGGCCAGTGGAGTGGGAGTGAATGTTTTGTGTGCAGATGCTTTAAGAGCCAGTGTCTGTGTTGCCCACTTCTTTTTCTCTGCCACAGTGACCAGCAATGCTTGAAATGCTGGCTACCCCATTGGCCTGGGGCCTGGAAGCAGTGTGACATAGCTGACCCTGGCTAAATGTGTAGCAAGAAAGAGAACAAATGTTTGTTGTTTTGTGCCACTGAGATTTGGGGGTTGTTTGTTCCTGCAGCATAACCTACCTGACACTGACTGATACACTCTCCATGCCAGAACCTTGGAATGACTTGTGCTTCTGCAAGAGACATTTAAGTGGCCAGATGTCTCTTTCAATACAGTGCTGTGTTAGATTATTCTTGCATTGTTTTTAAATAAATGCTTGAGATTCAGTAATTTACAAAGAAAAGAGGTTTAATTGATTCATGGTTCTGCAGGCTGTACCGGAAGCATAGCTCTGGCATCAGCTTCTGGGGAGGCCTCAGGAAGCTTCCAGTCATGGCAGAAGCTGAAGCAGGAGCAGACATCTCACATAGTAGGAGCAAAAGCAAGAGAGTCACACACTTTAAAATGACCAGATCTTGCGAGAACTCACTCATTATCATGAAGGCAGCACCAAGGGGATGGTGCTAAACCATTCATGAGAAATCCACCCACATGATCCAATCACCTCCCACCAGGCCCCACCTCCAACACTGGGGATTACGACTCAACATGAGATTTGGGTGGAGACAAATATCCAAAGTATATCACTGTACCCAGCTCTTTTTAATAACCACAAAGTGTGGTCTGGGGGACAGGGAGATAGAGGACAGTTCTTTGACCTGCCAAAGTTCGTGGGAAAGCTTCGAGATGTGTTCGTGTTGGGAACCTACCTAGCCACGTTCCTGTCATCGTGATGTTCCAGGGAGAAGTCAATGTCCCAAAGTGTAAGAGTTTTTCTCATTCTCTGGCAGTAAATGATTCTTAACCTTTACACCCGACAGCTCTTACGTGGGGATTTATGTGGTGCTTACTTCAAATGTGGACTGGCTCTCTTTCGCTCCATTTCCTTGTCAGTTGGGGCTTGGAAGAGGCAATTCTTTTTCTGGTGCTGAGGAATAGGTTTCTAGCCCAAATATTCATTTTTTTTTCTTTTTTGTTTTGCTGCTTTGACTGTCTGCTGCTTTTGGATTTTAAGATTGATTAATCTCTTCCCTGAAACCTTACCTTTTTTTTTTCCCCCTGGATACAGTGTTGTGGGGTCTCTGACTGGAACCTCTGAAGGTCAAGGGCGTGGAGAGAGGGCCTGACAATGCCTCTTAAGACCAGTCACTCATTCCTTAGTGCAAGCGCCCTGCCAAGGGTGGGGACACAGAAACTGGAAAGCATGAACCCTCATGGGGGCCATGTCTGTCCTGAGATCCACCTTTTTCTTTTACTTACTTTCTCTCTTTCTTGTTTTTTTTTTTGAGATGGAGTTTCACTCTTATTGCCCAGGCTGGAGTACAATGGCACAATCTTGGCTCCCTGCAATCTCTGCCTCCCAGGTTCAAGCAATTCTCCCACCTCAACCTCCCAAGCAGCTGGGATTACATACAGGTGCCCGCCGCCACAAGCCCAGCTAATTTTTTCTATTTATAGAGACGGGGTTTCACCATGTTGGTCAGGCTCCTGACCTCAGGTGATCCACCCACCTTGGCCTCCCAAAGTGCTGGGATTACAGGCGTGAGCCACTGCGCCCAGCTGAGAGCCACCTCTCTCTCTCTTTCTCTCCTTCCTTCCCTCCCTCCCTCCTTTCTCTCTCTCTCTCTCTTTCTTTCTTTCTTTCTTTCTTCTTTCTTCTTTTCTTTCTTTCTTTCCTTCCTTCCTTCTTTTCTTATTCTCTCTTTATTTTTTCTTTTGTTTCTTCTCTTTATTTCTCCTCTCCTCCCCTCCCTCCTCCCTCCCTCTCTGCCTTCCTTCTTTCCTTCCTTCCTTCCTTCTTTCCTTCCTTCCTTCCTTCCTTCCTTCCTTCCTTCCTTCCTTCCTTCCTTCCCTCCCTCCCTCCCTCTCTCCTTCCTTCCTCCCCCCACCTCTTTCCAGATAGAGTCTTAGAGTCTCACTCTGTTGGCCAGGCTGGAGTATGGTGGTGCAGTCATAGCTCATTGCAGACCTCGTTCCTCCTGGTCTCAAGCAGCCCTCCCACCTCAGCCTCCCAAGTAGCTGTGACTATAGGTGTGCACCACCGTGTCCCACTAATTTTTTTATTTTTTAAGAGATGGGGTCTCATTATGTTGTCCGGGTTAGTCTTGAACTACTGGCATCAAGCTATCCTCCTGCCATAGTCTCCCAAAGCACCAGGGTTGTACCCTATGGACTACCTGTGGTCCTGCCTTCATCACAGTTATGCATGCTGCATCCCTTGGAGCCCATACCTGGAATTGTCTGGTCATGCCAGAGGGTCATGATGGGTCACAGCAAGGCCACGTGGCTTTAGAGCAACCAGAAGAGGAGGATTCAGAGGACTTTGAGGACTTAGTGGGAGAGGGTGGGAAAGGGACTCAGGGCGAGAAGGTGTTATGGACTGAACATATGTGTTCCCCCAAATTGTATATGTTGAAACCTAATCTCCAATGTGATGGTATTTAGGAGGCAAGGCTCCTGAGAGGTGATTAGGTCATGAGGGTGGAACCCTCATGAATGGGATGACTGCCCTTCTAAAACAGTCCCCAGAGAGCTGCTTTGCCCCTTTTGAGGACACAGCAAGGAGGTACCATCTAGGAACTAGGAAGTGGGCCCTCACCCGACACCAAATCTGCTGGTGTCTTGATCTTGGACTTGGCAGCCTCCAGAACCATGAGCAACACATTCATATTATTTATAATCTACCAAGTCTATGGTATTTTTGTCATAACACCTGAACCAACTGAGACAGAAGGGAGATGATGAAGTGTTTCTGGGAAGGTGTGATGGTTAATATTGAGTGTCAACTTGATTGGATTGAAGGATACAAAGTATTGTTCCTGGGTGTGTCTGTGAGGGTGTTGCCAAAGGAGATTAACATTTGAGTCAGTGGGCTGGGAAAGGCAGATCCACCCTCAATCTGGGTGGGCACCATCTAATCAGAAGCCAGCAGGGCCTGCAAAAAAGCAGGCAGAAGGTGGAAAGACAGGCCAGACGTGGTGGCTTATGCCGGTAATCCTAGCTCTTTGGGAGGCCGAGGGGGTGGGGGTGGATCACCTGAGGTCAGGAGTTCGAGACCAGCCTGGCCAACATGGTGAAAGCCCACCTCTACTAAAAATACAAAAATTAGCTGAGCGTGGTGGCAGGCATCTGTAATCCCAACTACTCAGGAGGCTGAGGCAGGAGAATTGCTTGAACCCGGGAGGTGGAGGTTGCAGTGAGCCAAGATTGCAGCACTGCACTCATGCCTGGGCAATAGAGTAAGACTCCATCTCAAAAAAAAAAAAAAAAAAAAAAAAGAAGGAAAGTGGAAAGACTAGACTGGCTTAGTCTTTTCACCTACATCTTTCTCCCATGCTGGATGCTTCCTGCCCTTGAACATCAGACTCCAAGTTCTTCAGCTTTGGGACTCGGACTGGCTTCCTTGCTCCTCAGCTTGCAGATAGCTTATCATGGGACCTCACCCTGTGATCGTGAGAGTCAATACTCCTTAATAAACTCCCTTTTTATATATACATATATCCTATTAGTTCTATCCCTCTAGAGAACCCTGGCTAATACAGAAGGAAAGCAAGCAAGCAAGGGGAAGGGCTTAGTATACCGTGGTCATTGCAAGACAAGTGGCAGAGAGTTTGGAAAACTTTGCAATGGGGTGGAATGTCAGAGCCCCAAGTTCAGACAGGCGAGTTCAAATCCAGTCCCACCCCCTGCTGCTGTGTGACCCCTGGGCAGGGTTTTTAATGTCTCTGAGCTCCAATTTCCTCATCTGTAAAAACAAGAAGGATATCAGTTGCTCAGCAAGGGTGTCTTGAGAACAAAATGAAATACAGAATTAGAGGCATCTGGCACCCCATAACCTTGCATACATGAGTCTTGCTTTCTGAGATGGTGGGCTGCCTCTGTGGGCTGCAGATGGTGGGTGGTGTTTGTCACACAGTTGCACTGGAGCAGTCCCTTTATGTGGCCATGGCTTTATTAATCTGTCTGCATGTCTCACAGATCAAATCACAGTCCCTTAAACATCCGAATGCACTTCAGATTGCGCTTTCGAGAGATTGCCAACTCAAAAGGTTTAAGCTGATATGGTGAGTCATAGTTCTGTTCTTGGAAAATTCTTTTTTTTTTTTTTTTGAGACGAAGTCTCGCTCTGTTTCCCAGGCTGGAGTGCAGTGGCACGATCTCGGTTCACTGCAACCTTCGTCTCCTGGGTTCAAGCGATTTTCCTGCCTCAGCCTCCTGAGAAGCTGGGATTACAGGTGCTCACCACCACGCCCGGCTAATTTTCGTATTTTTAGTAGAGACGGGGTTCCACCATGTTGGTCAGGCTGGTCTCGAACTCCTGACCTTGTGATCCGCCCGCCTCGGCCTTCCAAAGTGCTGGGATTACAGGTGTGAGCCACCGCGCCCGGCCTGGAAAATTCTTTTAACAAGAAGCCACTGTATCTGCTGCTGCATTGTAACAAGCAGGATATCCCATTCATAAAAAATAATTATGGCTTGTTTAGAACCTACTAGCTGACAGACACTGTGTCAAACACTTTCCTCTTATTACCTTGAATCCATAAAACAATCTGCAGGGAAGTCATCTGTGACTTTCTTTTATAGAGGAAGAGTCAGACTCAGTGATATGACATCCAAGGTCACAGAGCAGTGAGTGGCCAACACCACTGAATATTCTTTTCTTTCCTGTGTCTTCCATCCTCACCTCTTGACTACACCTACTTTGTTATCATGTAACCATGGTCTCTGCCTACCTCTTCCTCCAGGCTCATCTCAAGGTCCATCTCTTTGGGGAACTCTTGGATAACCACTCCCATCTATAGGGATTTCCTTTTTCTCCATGTTTCCATAGCCTCATGGTTGGAAGCAATTTATCCTTATTCTTTGTGCCCTGTCTTTGGGGCTCCTCTTCTCTCCTTCTGCTAACTCCCTGAACACCTGGGTGCAGATGTTCTCAGCTGCGTCATGAATGTGCTAATGGCTGCCAGGTGTATATCTCTGGGACAGATTGCTGCTCAGAGTTCTGGGTCCATTTATTCTCCACCTCCTAGACTTTTGCTCTTCTCTCTTCCCTCCAATTCAGATCTCACTGGAATCAATATAGTCAGAACTGAATTCACCTCCTTCCCCTCCCAGCCAGCTTTTCTTCTGGCAATTCTGATTTGTCATCTCTCTTTCTCACTCCCAACATCTGATGTGGGATGGTCAACAGCTCATGTGAAGTTCAGACACTCCTCTCTATTGGTAAGGCTTATATGTCTTGGGTATTTCTTGGTGTCATTCAAGTATAGGCAAGATGTTGACCCCCTCCAGGGCAGATCAGACTCACTTCCCTGAATATACCCCGTCCCCAAGCCTGAGCTGGGCAGGGCCAGCTGTGGCTCCCAGCTCCTTCTCAACCTGTCTCATTTTGCAGGAGCAGATGCTAAGATGGAATTTGGAGTGCAAAATGTTTATAGGGATCACACCTGTGCAAGAGGAATGGGGAAGAAGCAGCTGTGGGCAGAGACAGAAGTTGAATGGCAATGTGGACCCTGCATAGCCTGCAGCCAGGGCTCCTTGGAAACACCTGCATGGCATTACGTCCTTATCCCACAATCCCATCCACCCACCTGCTGCAAGCAGATACTCTCTCCAGCTCCCTCTCTCAATGGAAGGCAAGTCTATTTAAATATTGCCATGTTAATGGCCGTGAAGTGGTTTGCTCAGCAGGCTAGAAAAGAACCTGACTCAATTTGTATTTATGCTCTTAACCTCTGCTGAAGATTTCCTCTTGGACTGCAGATCACGATACCACAGTTTCATTGCCCTGGCACAAGGGAAACAATTTCTCTCCATTTAAAGGCTGTGATAATGCTTTATGAGGGTGCCCTTCACTTGCTGAGATATTAAAATGATAATAAATCAAAGTTCAACACAGTGGATGAGCCGCAGCTTCATCAACATTTAGAGAATCCCTTGTAGATTTCCTGGTGAATTGCCCTTGATCCTTCCTACTCGTTCGTACTTAGGCTCCTGGAGAGAATTCAGAATGCAACAGAGAGAGGCTAGGGGATGCAGGAGAGAAGAAGGAAGTTTTGCAATTTTGGTATACCTGGTCTAAGTGGGACCTGTGGCAGGCAGAGCAGACAGGAGGGGCTGGCTCGTGTGTGATTCTAAGGGGCGGGTGGAATGGGGGTAAGTAGCTTTTAGAGACCTGCACATTCATGTCCCTCATCCCAATACTCCTTTTCTGGGGCCATGTATTCATGGAGGCTGAGAATGATGCATACCTTCAAGGCTGGGTGTGGTGGCTCACACCTGTAATCCCAGCACTTTGGGAGGCCGAGGCAGGTGGCTTACCTGAGGTCCAGAGTTTGAGATTAGCTTGGCTAACATGGTGAAACCCCATCTCTACTAAAAATACAAAAATTAGCTGAGCATGGTAGTGGGCACCTGTAATCCCAGCTACTCAGGAGGCAGAGGCAGGAGAGTCACTTGAACTCGGGAGGTGGAGGTTGCAGTGAGCTGAGATAGCTCCATTGCACTCCAGCCGGGACAACAGGAGCAAAACTCCATCTCAGAAAAAAAATAAAAATAAAAAAGAATAAAAATCCCAGCAGGGAAAGCAATGCCCCCAAGAGAGGAGAATAAAGGCCCTTTGCAAATAGCCATTTTCATTTTTGACCTGGAATGGAAAAGCCACTCAGAGGCAACACAGCCAGTGTGTTAGTTTGCTGGGGCTGCCAGTACAAGTGTCAGTCCATTTGGGGTACAGTAACAAAAATGCCATAGACTAGGTAGCTTACAAATGCCAGAAATTTATTTCTCATGGTTCTGGAGGCTGGGAAGTCCAAGAGCACGGCACCAACAGATTTAGCATCTGATGAGGGACGGGTTTCCGGTTCATAGACAGCAAATTCTTGCTGTGTCCTCACATAATGAAAAAGGCAAGGGTTCTCTCTCAGGTCTCTTTTATAAAGGCCGTAATCCCATTCATGAAGCCTCCACCCCCGTGACCTAATCACCTCCCAAAGGCCTCATCTCCTAATACCGTCACCTTGGGGTGCGAATTTCAGCATGAATTCTGGGGGTGACACAAACATTCAGGCCATAGCAACAAAGTGCCACAGACTGGATGGCTTAAGCAACAGAAATTTATTTTCTTTTAGTTTTGGAGGCTGAAAGTCTGAGACCAAGACATCAGCAGGGTTGGTTTTGTTTTGTCTCATGTGGTCTTCCCTGTGTATTGTTCTATGTCCAAATTTCCTCTTCTTTTCTTTTTTTCTGACTCATTGATTTTTTTTTTTTAACTTTTATTTTAGGCTCAGGGTTTGTTATATAGGTAAACTCATGTCATGGGAGTTTGTTGTACAGATTATTTCATCACCCAGGTATAAGCCTAGTACCCAATAGTTATTTTTTTCTGATCCTCTCCCTCCACTCACCCTCCACCCTAGAGTAGGCCCCAGTGCGTGTTGTTCCCCTCTTTGTGCCCATGTGTTCTCATTGTTTAGCTCTCACTTATAAGTGAGAACATGTGGTATTTGGTTTTCTGTTCCTGCATTAGTTTGCTAACGATGATGGCCTGCAGCTCCATCCATGTTCCTCTAAAGGACATGATCTCATTCTTTTTTATGGCTGCATAGTATTTCATGGTGTGTATGTACCACATTTTCTTTCTTTATCCTGTCATTGATGGGCATTTAGGTTGATTCCATGTCTTTGCTATTGTCAATAGTGCTGCAACAAACATATGTGTGCATGTGTCTTTATAATAGAACGATTTATACTTCTTTGGGTATATACCCAGTAATGGGATTGCTGGGTCAAATGGCAGTTCTGTTTTTAGCTCTTTGAGGAATCACCACACTGCATTCCACAGTGGTTGAACTAATTAACACTCCCACCAGCAATGTATCAGCGTTCCCTTTACTCCTCAACCTCACCAGCGTCTGTCATTTTTTTGACACTTTAATAATAGCCATTCTGACTGGTATGAGATGGTTTCTCATTGTGGTTTCAAATTTCCTCTTCTTATAGGGACCTTATTTTAACTCAATCACCAATTACCTCATTTTAACTTAATTAGCTCTTTAAAGACCCTATCTCCAAACATAGTCACATTTTGAGGTACTTGGGGTTTAGATTTCAACCTGTGCATTGTTGGTGGGAGGCACAGAATTTGGCCCATAACAGCACTGTTGGGAGAGAGACAATAAGAAGAAGCCACAGAGACCCTGACAATTTAATGACAGCTGTACTTCTTGTCCCAGCAGGGCGTAGACCAGGGTTTGATTTCACACTCGGAAGTGGCTATGGGAAAACTCTTTGTGCAGTGGGAGGCTGGCAGAAATTGTCTCCATGGAGACCCACAGCTTCTTCTTAATTGGCCCTATTTTAAGTGGCACCTTCCTTGGTGGCTTGCCCTGGTGAAGCAGGTGGACTAGAGTGGGCTCATGGAGGGTCCTTGGATGCCTGACACTGTGTTAGGGGCAGAGGAGGATGTCCTGGCTTTTCCAGCTAGCAGGGGAAGGAAATCTCGCCACCAAAGCGAGAGACCAAGAAAAGGCTCCTATTGGCCGGGCACAGTGGCTCATGCCTGTAATCCCAGCACTTTGGGAGGCTGAGGTGGACAGATCACCTGAGGTCAGGAATTCGAGACCAGCCTGGACAACATGGTGAAATCCCATCTCTACTAAAAATATTAAAATTAGCCAGCATCATGGTGCTCACCTGTAATCCTAGCTACTTGGGAGGCTGAGGCAGGATAATTGTTTGAACCCAGGAGGCAGAGGTTGTAGTGACCTGAGATTGCACCACTGCACTCCAGCCTGGGTGGCAGAGCAGACTGTCTCAAAAAAGAAAGAAAAGACTCCTATTATTGACTAAATGTTTGTGTTTCCCCAAAATGTATATATTGAAACCCTAACCTTGATGTGATGGTATTAGGAGGCAGAGACTTTGGCAGGTGATTAGGTCATGAGGATGGAGCCCTCACAAATGGGATTAATGCCCTTATAAGAAACAGCCAGAGATCAACCCTATCTGCAACTGGGAAGAGAGTCCTCATCAGAACATGGCCATGCTAGCCTTCTGATCCTGGACTTCCAGACTTCAAGACTGTGAGAAACACATCTCTGTTGTTTATAAGCCACCTAGTCTATGATGTTCTTGTTACAGCAGTGTGAACTGGCTAAGGCAGGTCCTCTGGGTGATGCTGTGAGTTCAAGACCTCAGAAGAAGGAGAGAGAAATGGGGACAGGAGTTCTTGTGGGGGGGGACTTGGCTTGGCCTTGGCAATGAGAGGCTGTGGATAGCTGCAAGGAGAGAAGAGGGGTGTTCCGGGAATTGCACAAGTAACTGTGTGGACATAGTGAAAATGGACATGTCCATAGATATAGGGAGATAATTTTTCCATCAACCTTTTACTTGCAACGTGAGTTTCCACAGCTCTCATGGCTTTCAAAGTCTCTCCAGCTCTTGCTGGTGTATGACCTGCAGATGTGGGAGCTCAAGTTCCCTGCAAAGCACTTCTCCCCATGTGGTTCTGGAGCCCTCAGGGGTATCTCACATGGGCTCATAAATATGGTCTTGACAGGCCTGGCCACTGCTCACTGTCCCTCGCTGGGCACTGCCACGTTGCCTGGGATACATCCCCACGGAGACCTACTGGGCATAGAGGCTCCGCAGGCTCTGTGGCTTCTCCATCAATAGCTGGCCATGCAGCTCCACCCTGCTCTGCCTCTTGCTTCATGGCCCAGAGCAGTGGGATGTCATGAGGTGTGGTGAGGGTTGCAGAACACCCCCTATTTTCTTCATGACCCTCTGGTAGTGGGTGAGGGTCACCATAAGATGAGGCTGGTGCTCCAAGGTCATAGCAGAATTTCATAGAAACAACTCATTTGGGTTTTATGGAGATCTGCTTTGCCTGCAGAAGACTCAGATGTGACTTTGCAGGACCAGCTGGGTTCTGTGTCACACGGCCACCATGCCACCCTCTGAGTTATGGCTTCCTTCTGCAGACTCAAGCTCATTGTGCTGGGAGCATTCCTCTCCCAGTGCAAATAGGGCCTCGGCGGACCTACCCATGTTTACGATGCCCTAGACACGCATGATATTATCTTACGTCAGGGAATTTGATTTGCACTGCACTTGGAGCATAACCAAGTTCAGAGGAGGAAAAGACCGGGGAACCCATTCTTGATTTTGCCACTCAGATGCTAGGTGACCTTGGGTAGGATAGTTGACCTCTCTGGTCTTGAGTTTTCTCATCTGTAAAGTGAGTGTGCTAGGCTAGATAGATAAAGTTTCTTTTCTTTTTTTTTTTTTTTTAATTGAGATGGAGTCTCACTCTGTCGTCCAGGCTGGAATGCAGTGGCGCCATCACTGCAACCTCTGCCTCCAAGGTTCCAGTGCTTCTCCTGCCTCAGCCTCCTGAGTAGCTGGGATTATAGGCATGCACCACCATGTCCTGCTAACTTTTGTATTTTTAGTAGAGATGGGGTTTCACCATGTTGGTCAGGCTGGTCTCAAACTCCTGACCTCAGGTAATCCACCCGCCTCGGCCTCCCAAAGTGCTGGGATTATAGGCATGAGCCGCCATGCCCGGCCGATAGATAAGGTTTCTTTAAGTAATAACGTGTAGCATATGTCAGTCTATGCACCAATAGATTAAATTGTTACAGGGTTAGAGAGCACATTTCTCAAGGTACAGAGGTCTCTCTAAGGTGGCTTTCCATCTGTGTCTTCTGCTAGGCTCTTTGATCCCATCCATCTGTCACCCTTTCTCTCCTTCCTTCTCATTAAACTTCTGGAAAGCATTGTCCACACTTCTCCTCTTTTTCTCATCTCCCACCCACAACTCAGCCTGCTACAATCTGGTTTCTTCTTACTATGACCTACCAAGAGTGTCTCCACCGAGACCTCCAATGGCCTCGTTATTGTTAAATCCCAAGAGTAATGTTCTGTCCTTATCTTATTTAGTCTCTTGGGACCATTTGTTACCACTGGCCACTCCATTATGGAAACTCTTTCCAGTACCTGGGGTTAAAGTTTAGGGAAGAGGGAAACGGCATTTTGTGAAGAAACAGAGGGTCTAGGGAAGCAAATTTTTCTCATCACAAAAACTCCAGAGATTGGGAGGGTGGGTCATTAGGAGAAGGACCCTGGGTAGGGGTGGGTGGTGGGGGAGGCTGGCATGTGGGCTGTGGTCAAGGATGGCAAAGACGTAGAGAATGGCAGAAACAGCCGGCCACAAACTTCAGAAGGGCTCTCGAGCTCAGCCTAGCGGGAAGCCTGAATCAGGCAATAATTTGAGTGGTTGGTAATGTCTGTCTGAGTTCTGCTGATAAACTTGGTAAAAAGTGGTTAGAGGGGCTGGGCACGGTGGCTCACGCCTGTAATCCCAGCAGTTTGGGAGGCTAAGGTGGGCAGATCATTTGAGATCAGGAGTTTGAGACCAGCCTGGCCAACATGGTGAAACCCTGTCTCTACTAAAAATACAAAAATTAGCCAGGCATGGTGGCGGGGGCCTGTAATCCCAGCTACTTAGGAGCCTGAGGCAGGAGAATCACTTGAACCCAAGAGGCAGAGGTTGTAGTGAGCCAAGATCGCGCACTGCACTCCAATCTGGGTGACAGAGCAAGATGCCGTCTCAAAAAAAAAGAAAAAGAAAAAGAAAAGATTGGTTAGGGGGTGGGGGACTTCGGCCATAAACCCAAAAGACACAATCCCAAACTACTCCATAATCTCAAATGTGGAAATCCTAAAAGCTCAACATCCTTCAAGTCTTCAATCCTAAAAATCACAGTCTCCAAAGATAAAAATCCTGAAAATATAATTCTTGGAAAAAAAATAAAAAAAATTGTTTAAAAGATTTGCATTTTAAAAAAGGTGTTTATTTGAGAAATAAATAAATGTATCTGCCAATATCAAGGGCAGATCTTCCTCATCTAGTCCACTCAGACTCACACACTAATCTCTGGAAACATCCTCACTGACACATCCCAATGATGCCTTACCAGGTTTCTAGCTATTCTTCCATCCAGCCAACCTGACGTCTAGAAGTAGGTCCACTCCTTGTCAGCTTGGGACCCAGACCCGTCTTCTTCTTCTTCTTTTTTTTTTTTTTTTGAGACCAAGTCTTGCTCTGTTGCCCAGGCTGGAGTACAGTGGTGTGATATCGGCTCACTGCAACCTCCACCTCCCGGGTTCAAGCGATTCTCCTGCCTCATCCTCCCGAGTAGCTGGGATTACAGGCACCTACCACCATGCCTGGCTAATATTTGTATTTTTAGTAGAGATGGGGTTTCACCATGTTAGTCAGGCTGGTCTAACACTCCTGACCTCGTGATCCACCCCTCTTGGCCTCCCAACATGCTGTGATTACATCTTCTTAAACCATAGTTAATTTTCGAAGAAAGGCAATCACAAGGTCCTAGTTCAGCCTAACTTGATGCAACTAACATGATGCTACTATTCTCTGTACAACCCCAAACACACTAAAACCTTCCTCAGCATTTGAATTTCAGGGTTTCAACATTTGGGATTTTACTGTTTCAGGATTGTGATTTTTGGGATTTTAGATGTTAGGGATTTTGATCTTTCTGAAGGTCAACATTGGGGATTTGATTGTGTCTTTTGGGATTATGAGAGACATGAGGGTGGGGGGGTGGGGGATGGTTAGGTTTGATAGTTGTCAACCAGTGGCAGAAATAGCAGGAGAGTGGCTGGGTGCGGTGGCTCATGCCTGTAATCCCAGAACTTTGGGAGGCCAAAGCGGGTGAATCACCTGAGGTCAGGAGTTTGAGACCATCCTGGCCAACATGGTGAAAATCCGTCCCTACTAAAAATACAAAAATTAGCTGGACATGGTGGTGGGCTGCTGTAATCCTAGCACTTTGAGAGGCCGAGGTGGGCAGATCACCGGAGGTCAGGAGTTTGAGACTAGCCTGGCCAACATGGTGAGACCCCTGTCTCTACAAAAAATACAAAAATTAGCTGGGTGTGGTGGCAGGCACCTATAATCCCAGCTACTCGGGAGGCTGAGGCAGGAGAATTGCTTGGACCCAGGAGGCAGAGGTTGTAGTGAGTCCAGATTGCACCACTGCACTCCAGCCTGGGCGACAAGGTGAGACTCTTTCTCAAAAAAATTAAAAAAAAAATTAATTAAAAAAGAGTTTTTGGCCGGGTGCAGTGGCTCACACTTGTAATTCCAGCACTTTGGGAGGCAGAGGTGGGCAGAGCTCTTGAGGTCAGGAGTTTGAGACCAGCCTGGCTAACATGGTGAAACCCTGTCTCTACTAATAATACAAAAATTAGCCAGACACAGTGGCATACACCTGTAATCCCAGCTACTCAGGAGGCTGTGGCAGGAGAATCACTTGAACCCAGGAGGCGGAGGTTGCTGTAAGTTAAGATCATGCCACTGTACTCCAGCCTGGATGACAGAATGAGACTTCATCTCTAAAAAACAAACAACAACAACAACAACAACAACAAAGAAATAGCAAGAGATTTCCATGAGCCAGGATGGCTCAGAACCTGTGAGGGGCTGTTAGTATCTCCATTTTAGAAATGAAAAATGATCCTCTTGGGAGATGAGTTGGGAGGATCACTTGAGGCCAAGAGTTCAAGACCAGCTTGGACAATGTAGTGAGAGACAATCTCTACAAACACACACAAAATAGCCAGGTGAAGTGGCTCACACCTGTAATCACAGGACTTTAGGAGGCTGAGGCAGGAGTATCACTTGGTGTCAGGAGTTCAAGACCCTCTCTGGCAACATAGTGTGACCCTGTTTCTACAAAAAATAATAAAAAACAAAATAGCCAGGCATGGTGGCACATGCCTGTAGTCTCAGGCTACAGGCCTGGGAAGGCTGCAGTGGGAGGATTGCTTGAGGCCAGGAGTTTGAGATCAGCCTGGGCAACATAGCAAGACTCCGTTTCTAAAAAAGAAAAAGTAATGAAAAATGGCAACAGTGGAGTGGGTGTCTGAAGTCAGTGGTGCTGGACTCCACAACCCATGTTCTTTCTGATCCATCCTCCAGCCTTCCACAGGCCATGTGTCCAACACTGGTACTACTTGGTGGTTGTGAAACTTACAGCGACCCTCCAAACTATATGGCAACTATTTGATTACATGCCTCTAACCTGCTACGGTGTGGGCTACTCTAGAACAGCGGTCCCCAAACTTTCTGGCACCTGGGACTAATTTCGTGGAAGACAATTTTCTACAGACTGGGAGGGGGATGGTTTTGGGATGATTCAAGTGCATTCCATTTATTGTGTACTTTATTTCTCTTATTATTAGATTGTAATACATAATGAAATAATTCTACAACTCACCATCATGTAGAATCAGTGGGGAGCCCCTAGTTTGTTTTCCTGCAACTAGACAGTCCTATCTGGGGGTGATGGGAGACAGTGACAGATCATCAGGCATTAGATTCTCATAAGGAGCATCGCATGCACAGTTCACTATAGGGTTCGTGTTCCTATGAGAATCTAACGCTACCAGTGATCTGACAGGAGGCGAGGCTCAGGCGGTAACATGAGCGATGGGGAGTGGCTGTAAATACAGATGAAGCTTTGCTTGCTCAGTGGCTGCTCAGCTCCTGCTTTACAGCCCGGCTCCTATCAGGCCACAGACTCAGTACTGGTCCATAGCCTGGGGGTTGGGGACCTCCCTGCTCTAGAATGAGCCCTGGAATCCTTGGTAGTAAGTGCAGGCTGACCCAGTGCCTGGCATGGGGGACATGTTAGGGAAATGCTTGTAGAACAGAAAAAAGGAAGGAATTGCTAAAATCAACCTGTGCTAGCTAGAAACTGAGGATGTCCATCAAGGAGAAGAGCAAGGAAGGCAATAAGGTATCTGGGGTGTTTTTACTCCAAGCCATTTCTTCCTGTGCATAATGTTTTTTGAAGCCCAGCCAACACTCTCCTAGAGCCTGTAGCTGCCCCGTACGGAAGGTTGATGGCTTGCAGAGCTGTGTGCAGATCCTAGTGGGATCTGATTCAGTGCAGGCGTCTCTGTCATTGGACACCCACAGCCAGCTGCCCATGGATTCCGGCAGATGCTCCTGTTTTCCGTGCCAGCGGGAGGCTTTGTGTGCTTGTCTTCGGTGCACATCTGTGGCAATGAGCCAAATAATGAAAGCCAGGGAGAAATGACCAGAAGAAAGCGGTGTGATCAAAATTCACAGCTTCAGTTGGAGCTCTCAGGAATGAGAGAAGAGCAGATTATTGACGATTTTGTTCAAGAAAGCCGGGTCCAGTGCTTTTAAAAGCAGCCTACGGTCAAGAGGGCTTGGAGCAGTACCCTGGTGAGCCCACAAAGTGATTCACTGAAGTCAGAGAATTTCACAGGGGTCTGAAAGTCATCTAAATGAAACATTGTCATATTGCAGATGTGGAAAGTGATACTTACAGAGGAGGGTAAACTGCTTTAAGTAGGACTGTGTCAGTCATCTGTGAGAATTAGAAAAAGTACAGCTGGGCGCGGTGGCTCACGCCTGTAATCCCAGCACTTTGAGAGGCCAAGGCGGGAGGATCACTTGAGGTCAGGAGTTTGAGGCCAGTTTGGCCAAGATGGTAAAATACTGTCTGTACTAAAAATACAAAAATTAGCCAGGTGTGGTGGCACATGCCTGTAGTCCCAGCTACTTGGGAGGCTGAGGCAGAAGAATTGCTTGAAACCAGGAGGTGGAGGTTGCAGTGAGCTGAGATCGCACCACTGCACACTCCAGCCTGGGTGACAGAGAGAGACTCCATCTCAAAAAACAAACAAACAAAAAAAAAGAACTTTGTTGGAGATGTATTGACCTGTATCTTTCATTTAGTGGAACTGAGGCTCCTAGAGGTACCTAGGTTCACCCCAGATCCCACCCTGGCAGGAGAGCTGAGCTGGAACCATGGACTGCAGACCCTGACTCACCCTTTCCCTGTTAATCCAGATATTTATAGGGCCACATGTGCCTCTCGGCAGACTGGTAGCATCTGTTGTAGGTGCTGAAGTTTTTATGTGTTTTAGGTCCCCCCAGGAGACAGCTTTAACATAAATCAAAGCTTTTCAGCATTTGTGAAGTGAGGAAAAGGCTGGCAGAGGCCACTTTCTTGACCATAAACCCTGTAAGTGCCCAAAACTCGCGTTTGGCAAAGGTGTAGCAATGGGACTTTGTCTTCAGGGCTCTCTTGCCATCTCCTAGGTGCCTCTCCCCATCTCTTAGGCCCTGGCCCTCTGGCTGACCAAGCCCCCTCAATTCCCCTATTTCCCAGTCTGGCTTATGTTGCCATTTTCCCCTTCCTTCCTTCCTTCCTTCCTTCCTTCCTTCCTTCCTTCCTCCCTCCCTCCCTCCCTCCCTCTCTTTCTTTCTTTCATGATGCAGTGCCACTCTGTCGCCTAGGCTAGAGTGCAGTGGCATGATCTCAGGTCACTGCAACCTCCGCCTCCTGGGTTCAAGCGATTCTCCTGCCTCAGACTCCCGAGTAGCTGGGATTACAGTTGTGTGCACCTATGCCCAGCTGATTTTTGTATTTTTAGTAGAGATGGGGTTTCACTGTGTTAGCCAGGCTGGTCTCAAACTCCTGACCTCAGGTGATCTGCCCGCCACCTTCCAAAGTGCTGGGATTACAGGCATGACCCACCAGCCTTGGCCAGGAAATACTATTGGAACCCTGCTACTGAAAGTATGGTCCACAGACCAGGAGCTTGGGCATTCTTGGGAGCTTGTTAGAAATTCAGAACCTGGGGCCCTATAGCCTAGACGCCACAATTTTTTTTTTTTTTTTTTTTTTTTTTTTTTTTTTTTTGAGAAGGAGTCTCACTCTGTTGCAGGCTTCAGTGGAGTGGCACCATCTCGGCTCACTGCAGCCTCCACCTCCCAGGTTCAAGAGATCCTCCTGCCTCAGCCTCCCAAGTAGCTGGGATTACAAGCACACGCCATCACGTCCAGTTAGTTTTTGTATATTTTTTAGAGACAGGATTTCACCGTGTTGGCCAGGCTGGTCTTCAACTCCTGACCTCAAGTGATCCACCCACCTCAGCCTCCCAAAGTGCTGGGATTATAGGCATGAGCCACTGCACCCAGCCGGATTTCCTTGACATGGTCTTTTGCAAAGCAAATGTTTTTAATTTTGACGAAGTCCAATTTATCCATGTTTTTTCTTTTATAGATCATGCTAAGAACTCTTCACCAAGCCCTATGTCCTGAAGACTTTTTTTCAAAGTTTTTATTCCTACTTTTTAAAAATATATTTTTAAAAATTTTCAGGGTATATGTGATAATTTAATACATTCATATAATTTGTAAAAATCAAATCAGTGTAATTGGGATGTTCGTCACCTTAAATATTTGTCTTTATGCTAGATATACTTCAATTATTGTCTTCTAGTTATTTTGAAATATAAAATAGATGATTGTATACAATAGTCATACTTATCATCTATCAGATGCTAGATCTTATTTTTTCAATCAAACCGTATATTTGGACCCATTACTCAACCTCTCTTCATAGCCCCCTGAAGATTTTCTCGTTTCTTTTCTCCTACAAGTTTTAGTACTTTGTGTTTTACATTTAAGTCTTTGATCTATTTTGAGTTTTTTTAAATCAGATGTGAGGTTTAGGTTAAGGTTTATTTTTTTTGCTGATGGAAATCCAATATCTCCAGCACCATTTGTTGAAGAGAATATCCTTCCTTCATTGAATGGCTTTTACATCTTTGTCAAAAATCAGTGGGCTGTACTTGTGTAGTACTGTTTCTGAATTCTCTGTTCTGTTCCATTGATTTATGAATCTGTCCTCCCCCAGTATCACAGCCTTGATCATTATAGCCATAGAATAAGTCTGGAAATTAGGTAGACTAATTCTTCCCATTTTATCTTTCTTTCTCCGAGTTGTTTGAGCTATTCTAATTCCTTTGTATTTCCATGTATACTTTATTTATTTTTATTTTTATTTTTTGTTTTGAGATAGAGTCTCACTCAGTCATCCAGGTTGGAGTGCAGTGGCGTGATCTTGGCTCACTGCAACCTCTGGTCCCTGGGTTCAAGCAATTCTCATGCCTCAGCCTGCTGAGTAGCGGAGATTACAGGTGCATGCCACCACACCTGGCTAATTTTTGTATTTTTAGTAGAGACAGGGTTTCACCGTGTTGTACAGGCTGGTCTCAAACTCCTGACCTCAACTGATTCACCACCTTGGCCTCCTAAAGTGCTGGGATTACAGGTGTGAGCCACCGTGCCCGGTCCATGTATACTTTATAATAAGCTTGTCTTTATCTGTAAGAAACCCTGCTGGGTCTTGATAAGAATTGCATTAAATGTTTAAATAAATTTGGGGAGAACTAATATCTTTATTGTGTTGAGTCTTCCAATCCATAAACACATCTTTCCATTTATTTATATTTTCTTTTTTTCTTTCATCAACATTTTGCAATTTTTTGCATACAAGTTCTGTACATCTTTCAGATTTATATTTAAGTATGTCACTTTTGGGAGCAAATTGTAAATGGTATTGTATGCTTAATTTCAGTTTCCTTGTGTTCATGGTTAGTATATAGAAATATAACTACTATCTGTATGTTGATTATATATTCTATGTCCTTGATGAAGTCATTAGTTCTGGGTGGTTTTTTTTTTTTTTTAATTTTGGTATATTGCTTAGGATTTTCTTCACAGACAATTTTCTGCAAACAAGGACAGTTTTATTTCTTTCTTTTTCCCTTCCCCTTCCCCTTCCCCTTCCCCCTCCCCCTCCCCCTCCCCTCCCCTCCCTTCCCTTCCTTTCCCTTTTTTTTTTTTTGTCGTCGAGATGGAGTCTCGCTCTGTAGCCCAGGCTGGAGTGTGGTGGCATGATCTTGGCTCACTGCAACCTCTGCCTCCCGGGTCCCAGTTTAAGCAATTCTCCTGCCTCAGCCTCCCGAGTAGCTGGGATTACAGGCATGCGCCCACCATGCCCAGCTAATTTTTTTGTTATTTTTAGTAGAGATGGGGTTTCATCATGTTGGCCAGGCTGATGTTGAACCCCTGACCTTGTGATTCGCCCACCTCGGCCTCCCAAAGTGCTGGGATTACAGGTGTGAACCACAGCACCCTTCCTTATTTTCCTTTCTTGTTGTGATGGCTAGGACTTCTAGCACAAAGGAGAGTGGTTAGAACAACCATTCTTAACTTTGTTTTCAATTTTAGGGAAACAACATTGCTTTGGTAAAATACATGGTCTTTTACCATTAAGTATGATATTCACTGTAGGTTTTTTGCAGACATTCTTTATCAAGTCAAGGAAGTTCCTCTCTATTTCTGGTTTGCTGAGAGTCTTTATTATAAATGGGTGTTGGGTTTTGTCAAATGGTTTTTCTGCATCTATTGATATCATCCTATGGTTTTATTTCTTTAGCCTGTTAATATGTTAGGTTACATTGATTGATTTGTAAAGAAACATCTTTGTATCCCTCCTGGACTAAACTTGACTTGGTTATGGTATATAATTCTTTTTTTTTTTTTTTTTTTTTTTGATATAGAGTTTTGCTCCATTACCCAAGCTGGAGTGCAGTGGTGTGATCTTGGCTCACTGCAACCTCTGTCTCCTGAGTTCAAGCGATTCTCCTGCCTTAGTCTCCTGAGTAACCGGGATTACAGACACCTGCCACCATGCCCGGCTAATTTTTGTATTTTTAATAGAGATGGGGTTTCGCTATGTTGGCCAGGCTGGTCTTGAACTCTTGACCTCAGGCGATCCACCCACCTTGGCCTCCTAAAGTGCTGGGATTGCAGGCATGAGCCACTGCACCCAGCCGGTTATAGTATATAATTCTTTTTATATATTGCTGACCTCTATTTGCTAATATTTTGTTAAGGATTTTTGCCTCCATAATCTTGAGAAATATCAGTCTGTAGTTTTCTTTCTTTGTACTTTGTAGCTGTATTTAGTCAGAGGAATAGATAGAAGTGTGTCTACTCCATCTTATCCAGAACCGGAGGTACTTAGGGAGCTTTTAAAAGATTCTGATATCCAGGCCATATGCCAGATTGACTAAATCAGAATCTTTGGAGGTGAGACCCTAGATGCTAGTATTGTTTTTAAGACTATATAGTATGGCTTTTTTTTTTTTTTTTTGAGATGAAGTCTCGCTCTGTTGCCCAGGTTGGAGTGCAGTGGCATGATCTTGGCTCACTGCAACCTCCGCCTCCCAGGTTCAAGTGATTCTCCAGCCTCAGCCTCCCAAGTAGCTGGGACTATAGGCGTGCACCACTGCGTCCGGCTAATTGCTTTGTATTTTTAGTAGAGACTGGAGTTCACCATGTTGGCCAGGCTGGTCTCGAACTCCTGACCTCAGGTGATCCACCTGCCTCAATGATGTAGTACTTCTAATGTGCAGCCATTTTTGAGAATCATTTTGAGAATCAGGAAGACTTTAATTCTTGAGAATCAAGAGACTTTTTGAGAATCAAGAAATTCCCACTGGGGCCTGTCGGGGGTTGTGGTCAGGGGAGGGAGAGCATCAGGAATAATAGCTAATGCCTGCTGGATTTAATACCTAGGTGATGGGTTGATAGATGCAGCAAACCACCATGGCACATGTTTACCTATGTAACAAACCATATCCTGCACATATACCCTGGAACTTAAAAATAAAAAAATAAATTTTGTGTGATGTGAATTCACATGGAATTGACATCAGCCAATCATTCACATCCATTTGAATGATTGACGGATAGTCCATTTGTATTCATTAGTATCTCAGCTGATAGTTTACAATAAGGTACTCAATGAAGGGACCACTTCTAGAGCAGTGGGCAGAGTCAAGGGAACCCACAAAAGATGGGGAGGCACTCAGGGACTAGCAATATCTGGAAGCTCTTACTACCCCTAGGTCTAAAGGGGCAGGATGGAATGGGGTTCCTGGAGTCTGGTGAGAGCTGTTATTGCGATGCCAGAACATGGCTATGAAGCAGGGAAGGAGAAGAGACGCACTGCAGCCTTTCCCTGTTCCTGTCATCTGATTTCCCACCCCTGTCTCCTATTTGCCCAAAGCTGGATGACATAGGAGTCTAAGAGATATTGTCCAGGTTGGCAGCACCCCCCAGAAGAGGAGAAGAGCCAGAGAAGAGCAAAAAGTGGATCTGGGGTGCAATGCACCTTTCCTAAATATCTGAATTTTAACCCAAACAGATTTTGAATGGGAGAAATAGAGGCCATGGAGATGGGCAGGTGGGAGGATATTCTGGCAGAGTGGCATTCTGAGTGGGGCTCAACTAACATGAAGCATGGTGTCCCGCCATCATCAAAGTGGGGCAATGTGCTCCCTAGACCAGCAGCAAGGCACCCCCTGGGCATTGTTAGAAATGTAAATTCTGGTGCATCAGACTGGGAGGAGGACCCAGTGATCTACATTTTGTTGTTGTTGTTGTTGTTTTAGAGACAGGGTTTCACTCTGTTGCCCAGGCTGGAGTGCAGTGGTGTGATCATAGCTCACTGCAGCCTCACACTCCTGGCCTCAAGCAATCCTCCCACCTCAGCCTCCCAAGTAGCTGGGACTATAGGCATGCCTTACCATGCCCAGCTAATTAATTTTTTAGCTTGAACTCCTGGCTTCAAGGGATCCTCCCACCTCAGCCTCCCAAAGCGTTGGGATTACAGGTGTGAGTCACCATGCCACCTGATCTGTGTTTTAACAAGCTCTCCTCACCCCACACCAGGTGTTGTTGAAGTGGGCTTGAGTTTGGGAACCTCTGGCCTAGAAATTTGCACATCAGCAAATATGGCAGGAAGCATTTTGAGAATGGAGGCAGTTGTCTTAGCCAGGTTGGTTAAGGGAGGGATGAAAGGAAGATATGGTTGTTCCACAATACGAAAAAATAAATACTGCTGGGGCCGGGCTCAGTGGCTCACACCTGTAATCCCAGCACTCTGGGAGGCTGAGGCGGGTGGATTACAAGGTCAGGATTACGAGACCAGCCTGGCTAACATGGTGAAACCCCGTCTCTACTAAAAAAAAACATAAAAAAATTAGCCAGGCATGGTGGTGGATGACTGTAATCCCAAGTAATTGGGAGGCTGAGGCAGGAGAATTGCTTGAACCCAGGAAGTGGAGGTTGCAGTGAGCTGAGATCACGCCACTGCACTCCAGCCTGGGTGACAGAGTGAGGCTCCATCTCAAATAAATAAATAAATAAATATATATATATAAATAAATACTGCTGATCCTTGAGCAACACAGGTTTGAAGTGTGAGGGTCCACCTATAACGGATTTCCTTCTGCCTCTGCCACCCCTGAGGCAACAGGATCAACCCTTCCTCTTCCTCCTCTTCCTCAGGCTAGTCAATGTGAAGATGATGAGGATGACAACCTTTATGATGATCCGCTCCCACTGAATGAACAGTAAATATATTTTTTCTTCCTTATGATTTTCTTTTCCTTTTTTTTTTTTGAGACAAGAGTCTCACTCTGCAGCCCAGGCTGGAGTGCAGTGGCATCATCTTGGCTCACTGCAACCCCTGCCTCCTGGGTCCAAGTGATTCTCATGCCTCAGCCTCCCGAGTAGCTGGGATTACAGGCACCCACCACCGCACCTGGCTGGCTAATTTTTGTATTTTTAGTAGAGATGGGTTTTGTCATGTTGCCCAGGCTGGTCTCAAACTCCTGGCCTCAAGTGATCTGCCTGCCTTGGTCTCCCAAAATGCTGGGATTACAGGCGTGAGCCACTGTGCCCTGCCTTCATTATGATTTTCTTAATAATATTTCCTTTTCTCGGCCCAGCACGGTGGCTCGCGCCTGTAATCCCAGCACTTTGAGGGGCCGAGGTAGGTGGATCATGAGGTCAGGAGATCGAGACCATCCTGGCTAACACAGTGAAACCCCGTCTCTACTAAAAATACAAAAAATTAGCCGGGCATGGTGGTGGGCGCCTGTAGTCCCAGCTACTCGGGAGGCTCAAGCAGGAGAATGGCATGAACCCAGGAGGCGGAGGTTGCAGTGAGCTGAGATCATGCCACTGCACTCCAGCCTGGGCGACAGAGCAAGACTCCGTCTCAAAAAAAAAAATTAAAAATTTCCTTTTCTCTAGCTTACTTTATTGTAAGAATACAGCCTATAATACATATGCCATGCGAAATATGTCTTAATTGCCTGTTCGTGTTTACCAGTAAGTCTTTCTGTAAATAGTAGGTTGTTAGTAGTTAAGTTTTGGAGGAGACAAACGTTATACTCTGATTTTCAACTGCATGGGGGGTTGGCACCCCAACTCTACCTTGTTCAAGGGTGAACTGTAACAATATGGAGAGAATTCCTTTCCTGCTCGCAGCCCTATGACCCCAGCTCACATGTCTAGTTATCTTTCGGCAGTGTCCTGATGCTCTGGGCCAGCTCATTGGCTGGCTCAGTGTTTTGCTGCAGAGCCCTTTAGAAATACATATTCCTTACTATGCAGCCATAAAAAAGAATGAGTTCATGTCCTTTGCAGGGACATGGATGAAGCTAGAAACCATCATTCTCAGCAAACTAACACAGGAAGAGAAAACCATTAAGTTCTCACTCATAAGTAGGAGTTGAACAATGAGAACACATGGACACAGGAAGGGGAACATCACGCACCAGGGCCTTTCAGGGGGTGGGGGGCAAGGGGAGGGAGAGCATTAGGCCAATACCTAATGCATGATGCATGCAGAGCTTAAAACCTAGATGATGGGTTGATAGGCTGAGCAAACCATGATGGCACATGTATACCTATGTAACAAACCTGCACATTCTGCACATGTATCCCAGAATTTAAGTAAAAAAAAAAAAAAGAAAGAAAAAAGAAATACAGATTCCTGGGCCCCTTCTCAGAATATGTGAGCCTGGGGCCTGGCCAGGCATCTGCATATTCAGAGTATTTCCTGGTGTTTCTTATGTGGGGCTTGGTTGGAACAGCAGCTAGCTAGATGCAATATGGGAGTCAACACGTGTGGTTGATTATCTCCTCTGGGCCAGGAATCTCAAAATACATCTTTTTTTTTTTTTTTTCTTTTTTTTTTTTTTTTGACATGGGTCTCGCTCAGTCACTCAGGCTGGAGTGCAGTGTTGCAATCTTGGCTCACTGCAACCTCCACCTCCCGGGCTCAAGTGATCCTCCCGCCTTAGCCTCCTAAGTAGCTGGGACTGCAGGTGCCTGCCACTGCTCCCAGCTAATTTTTGTACTTTTTGTAGAGACAGGATTTCACTATGTTGCCTAGACTGGTCTTGAACTCCTGAGCTCAGGCATCCCACCCACCTTGGCCTCCCAAAGTGCTGGGATTATAGGTGTGAGCCACCGTACCCAGCCACAATAGGCATCCTTTTATTTTATCTTCAAACAACCCTATGAGTGGATGCTGCTGCTCCCAGTTGGAAACAGAAGAGGCCAAGGAAGAGGGAAGGGCTGACTTGCTTAAGGTCACATAACTGGCAGAGAATGGATTGAGGTTTTCAACCCAGGCCTCCCAGATCCACTTTGCAATGCATTGTTCTGGCTACTGGCTCCTCTGCCCCCACCCCTTTTCCCTACTGCCTGCCTGGCTGAAAGATGTTTGTCCTGTTCTGTCAAACTCAGGCCCTCTGCTCTCTTGAAACAAGCAATTGACAGGAAGACAGTCTTCCTCGGAGGGTCATAACTACACAGCAAGAAGCAAAGTGGCCCCTCAGGAATATGCTCTGTTCACGGGGAACTTTCCTTCTTATGAATTCTGCTATTAGCACTTTAAGGGAGTTTTACTCTGGGGGGAGATTTGTTATGAAGCAGATCTTCCCTGGAATAGATCTTCTTCCCCTACGCTGCCACGTTGCTGGGAGAGTACACGCTACTCCTCGGCTATTTGTCTTCCCTGGCTCGGCTCTCCTCCTCTGTCTGGGGCCCCACATGCTCTTTCCATGGAGTCACCAGTCTGCAGGTTGAACAAAGAACTGCTGCAGACAGAGCAGAAACAGGAGCAGGGTGCCAGGGGGACGTGTCTTCAACTTGGGATGGGCAAAAGGGGCCCGAGGTTCTCCCTCGCTAATCAACCCTGGCCATAACCCCATCTCCTCCTCTCATTCCTCTTTCTGTTTCCTAGGACTTAGTGAAGGTGGGGCAGGGGAGGCTGGGGAGGAAAAGCAGGGGGAGAGAAGGAGGAGATATTAAACAGCTTCGGCTAGGAGCTGTCTCTCCTCCATTCCCACCTGGACCTGCCAGTCACTCCTTTCCATCCCCACAAGCTCCCTTTGTGCTCCCTGTCCATGTCACCGGACTTAGACACAGACTCTCAGATACCAGCAGTGTGACCTACAATTCAGTTCAATTCTGACACTCACTACCTGGAGTCAGCACAGAACCCCCAAATAAAGGGCTCAGCCCATGTGACTGCCCCCATGTCAGACATCAGCTGCAAGTCTTGGGCACCCCCAGGTGACTCCTACTTCTGCCTGGTCAGATACAAATTTAAGGTTCCCACAACTCCTTCTTAGGGTTGATAATTTGCTAAAATGGCTGTGGAACTCAGGAATGTGCTATGCTTATGATTACAGTTTTATAATGAAAGATACAGCTCAGGAACAGCCAAATGGAAGAGATGCAGAGGCAAGGGAGGGGGCATAGAACTTCTGTGCCTTCTCCTGCAGTGCCGTCTTCCTAGCGCGTGGGATGTTCACTAAGCTGGAAGCTCCCTGAGCCTCGTAGTTCCTGAGTTTTTATTTGGGGCTCCATTCTGTAGGCATGTGATATGGTTTGGCTCTGTCCCCACCCAAATCTCATCTCGAATTGTAGTTCCTATAATTCCCTTGTGTTGTGGGAGGGACCCAGTGGGAGATAACTGAATTATGGGGGCAGTTTCCCCCATACTGTTGTCATGGTAGCAATTAAGTCTTGCAAGATCTGATTTTTTTTTTTTTTTTTTTTTTTTTGAGATGGAGTTTCACTTTTGGTCCCCAGGCTGGAGTGCAATGGTGTGATCTCAGCTCACTGCAACCTCTGCCTCCCAGGTTGAAGCGATTCTCCTGCCTCAACCTCCTGAGTAGCTGGGATTACAGGTGCCTGCCATCACACCCAGCTAATTTTTGTAATTTTAGTAGAGATGGGGTTTCACTGTGTTGGCCAGGCTGGTCTCGAACTCCTGACCTCAGGCAATCCACCGGCCTCAGCCTCCCAAAGTGCTGGGATTACAGGCATGAGCCACCATGCCCAGCCCAATATGATGGTTTTATAAGGGGAAACCCCTTTCACTTGGCTGTTACCCTTCTCTTGTCTATTGCCATGTAAGACATGCCTTTCACCTTCTGCCATGATTGCAAGGCCTTCCCAGCCACGTGGAACTCTGAGTCCATTAAACTTCTTGCTTTTGTAAACTGCCCAGTCTTGGGTATGTCTTTTTCAGCAGCATGAAAACAAACTTATATAGCATGATTGATTACATAATAGGCCACATTATTGAACTCAATCCCCAGTCCCTCACCTCTCCCCAGAGGTGAGGAGTAAGGCTGAAAGTTCCAACCCTTTAATCTCGTCTGGGCTGGAGTGCAGTGGTGAGATCTCAGCTCACTGCAGCCTCCGCCTCCTGGGTTCAAGTGATTCTCCTGCATCAGCCTCCTGAGTAGCTGGGACTATAGGGGTGTGCCATCATGCCCAGCTAATTTTTGTATTTTTAGTAGAGACAGGGTTTCACCAAGTTGGCCATGATGGTCTTGATCTCTTGACCTTGTGATCCGCCCACCTTGGCCTCCCAAAGTGCTGAGATTGCAGGCATGAGCCAGTGTGCCTGGCCAATTCTGAGGGCTTTTGAAGCCTTGTTCCAGCAACTAGGAACAAAGACCAAACACATATTTGATTATACCATAGTCAGGTATCACATTCTTTCTTGTGTCATGGTAATTTGGTTCAGGCGTGATTGTCCCCATTAGAACATTCATCTTCGTTGTCACTGTCTTCATATCATCACCACTGTCACTGCAGCCACCATTTGTGAAGGCCCACTATGTGCAGGTGCTTCTGTGTGGGGCTTTGCAGACACTGCCATTTAATCCCTAAAGTGGCCTTGTGAGGTGGGAATTAAACTCATTTCATGGATAGGGAAATTGAGGAACAATTACTTCACCAGCCACCTTGCCTGGCCTCTCAGGTGTGTTTTTGTTGTTTGTTTGTTTTTTGCCAATTCTGGGTTCATGCAAGAGGCTGATTAATTCAGGCTTTGCTGCTGGAGACAGAGAAACTGAAAGTCTGATTTCTCCACCTGTATTTACAAAGCCCATTTCTTTTCCAGTCAAAGGGGAAGTGAGCAGGCTTGGGATACTGCCCAGTGACTAGCACACAGTGGGCTGTGATCAGCAAATCCTGGAGTTAAAATCCATGCCTGCCAGTGTCTGTTTGCAAGAGCCTTCCATTTCTTTTTTAATTCCTTTTTTTTTTTTTTTTTTTTGAGACAGGGTCTTGCTCTGTTGCCCACGCTGGATAGCAGTGGCATGATCATAGCTTACTGCAGCCTTGAAATCCTGGGCTTAAGTGATCCTCCAGCCTCAGCCTCCTGAGTAGCTGGGACTACAGGTAAGTGCCAGCATATCTAGCTAATTTTATTTTATTTTATTTTTGTAGAGACAGGGTCTCCATGTGTTGCCCAGGCTGGTCTTGAACTTGTAATCTCAAGCAGTCCTCCCCCCTCAGCCTCCCAAATTGTGGAGGATTACAGGTGTGAGCCACTGCCCCCAGCTGACCTTCCATTTCTGTTAGATTTCTCTTCACTCCAAACTTTGGAGCTTTTTTTTTTTTTTTTTTTCTGGAAAAAAGTGCTGCATGATCCGATTTTTTTTAAAGTTAAAATGTATTAAAGATTCATGTTGTTTAGAGGAGTATTTTGAGAATTTCACAACATCCCCGGGAGATAATTGGTGTCTCTCCAGGGAATTGCCGGGCGAAGGCTGGGAATGATGGCATAAATCATTTGAACGCCAACAGCAGTTTTAATTAAGTTTTTCTAGAATCAGATGCTTATTTCACTGAAAAATGCTGGGTTTTGTTGACAAGTGACACATAACATTTCATTCTCCAGAGATTTTTTTGTCATCGGAAAACTTCCTCGTGGAGACCTGGTCTTCACATTAATTAATCGACCAATCAATCAGGGACTGGTTCTTGGCCCATAGGGGATTCAGAGAGGGCAGGAGTTGGCCTCAACCTCCAGGAGAGGTAGGAAGTGGTTGGCTTCCCATTTGCTTGAGGCCTTTGGAGAGGCTGGTGCTGTGCTAGATTTTTATAGAAGTAATCTCTTTATTCACTTCTCTCACTCCTCACCTCTGCCTGGGGAGGGAGGTACTATTGCCTTCATTATCTGGATGAGGATGACTGAGGCTCCGGAATCCTTGGAAATTAGGGTGCTGGTTGAGTGTGATGGCTCATACCTGTAATTCCAGTAGTTTGGGAGGTCAAGGCAGGAAGATTGCTTGAGCCCAGGAATCTGAGACCAGCCTGGGCAACGTAGCAAGTCCTCATCTCTTAAAAAAAAACAAAAAAACAAATTAGCCAGCGTGGTGGTGCATTCCTGCAGTCCCAGCTACTCAGGAGGCTGAGGCGGGAGGATCACTTGAGCCCAGGAGGTGGAGGCTGCCGTGAGCTATGTATGATCATACCACTGCACTCCAGTCTGGGTGACAGAGTGAGATCCTGTCTCAAAAACAAACAAAAAAAAGAAATGAAAATTAGAATGCTTTTACACAGCTTGTAAACAGCAAGGCAGGTACCAAACCCTCTTCTTCTTCCTTATTGGGAGCACACTTTCTCCATAATCCCACAGGCCCTCTGGGTCCCTTACGGGGCTTCCAGTCCAATTGGCATGTAAGACCCCAACACAGCAGAAACAGTCATGGCCCCGGATTATCACTGGACCCCAGAGTGGAGGGGAAGGAAAGCCCCAGGTTAAATTGGGAACAGACTACTGGTATAAGGAGGGGAAGGAAATGAGGCGGCGCAGCCACCTTTGCTGGAAACACACTGGAGAGGGAGTGTAGACGTGTAGGTTCTATTCCCACTTCAGCCATGACCTTGGCATGGACCTTAGCTGGACACCTCCTCATCTCAGGACCTCTAAACTGGGATTGGCCACCAAGTATCCTCTTCATGGCAGAGGCTGTGAGTCTGTGATTCTAGAGGTTCACCCATTAGTACCACCGATCTCACTGGAGACCCTACAACACAACCAGTCTCCAGACATATCTGGGGCCACTTGCTTGTGTGGTGTGGCCCTGACATCTTACTCTGTTCCGTCTGTTTGCAATTTGAACAGGGCTGTTTTGGACACCATCTATGATTTTAAACAGCTCCTCAAGTGATCTCAGTGCATACCCAGCATTGAAGGCTCTTGGTTACAGGCCCGCCTCCTGGACCAATCACTGTTGAGAGGGGATGGAGTATTGTGATTGGCTAGGTTTGGGTCATATGTTCACCATTAAGCCTCACTCATGGACCCTCTAGTTTGGATGGGCAGTGGTCTTGGTGGTAAGGATGGGGGTCCCACCAAAAACGTGGAGAAAGAGAGAAGAATAGTTCTCCCAAAGGAAACAGGGTTACTGGATCCTCTAGTGAGTGGCTGGTTCAAGGGACCCAAGAAAATCGATTATGAAGCCAGAACCAGGACCTCCATCCCCTCCCGGTGGTCCTCGGCACTTTCTCTGGGCCATGTGCCCAGTGGAAGACTCTAAGGTTTGGAGCAGAGGCTGATCTAAGAAAGAGGCCACCCCAGCCTGCTTGTCTCACAGGCATTTAGAGACAACGGTCCAGGTATTACTCTGGGTGCCGTAGGTCATGAAACACAGCCTTGTGCATCTATGATTTTAAACAGCTCCCCAAGTGATCTCAATGCATCACAACATAGCAAGACCTCATTTCTAGAAAAAATAAAATAAAACAAATTAGCTAGGTGCAGTGGTTCTGGCTTCATCATTGAATTTCTTGGGTCCCTTGAACCAGCCACTCACTAGAGGACCCAGTAACTCTGTTTCCTTTGGGAGAACTGTTCTCCCTTTCTTCATGGTTTTGGTGGGACCCCCATCCTTACCACCAATACCGCTGCCCATCCAAACTAGAGGGTCCATGAGTGAGGCTTAATGGTGAACATGTGACCCAAACCTAGCCAATCATAATACTCCATCCCCTCTCAACAGTGATTGGTCTAGGGGGTGGGTGTGTAACCAAGAAGAGCCAATCAGAGTGCCTCCCTCAGGCTGAGCCGAGAAAACTGCTCTGTTTATTCTTTGTGTGTTTGCTTTGCTTTTTTTTCATTGTTTGTCAGGAGTTGTTAATCTGGGAGGCAGTGAGTACAAGGTGTTGGCAGTCATCTACTTGGATGAATGGAAAAAGTCAGTCTATATAGTGGGAGAGAAAGAAGCCAACACACAAAGGCATACGGGGGGGGGGGGAGAGAGAGAGAGAGAGAGCGAGCGAGCGAGAGAGAGAGAGAGAGAGAGAGAGAGGAGAGAGAGAGAGAGAGACCATTATTTGAGGGACTGTCTATCCTTGTAGCTAGTGGCAACCTTTCATGCACCTGCCCTGTGGAATGAAGTTGCCTCTAGCTTCTGTCACCTGACCCAGGAGAAGCCCTCGTCTTACCCTCACTCTCCTTGCCCTGATCCTTGGCCCCTGCTCTGTCTCCCCACTAAGGGGTTGCTAGACATTTTCTGTTGGCCCTTCCAGCAAAGATAGTCCATGATTCTGGATAGCTTAGGCTGCCCTGACTCAAAGCTGAAAAACTGCAGCTCTAGCCCCCAACCGTGTATAGCAAAAGTGCTGATAACGTAACAGCTTTGCAAGTAAATCCAGAGCTTCTGTTTCCAAGGGAGGGCTGAGGAGGGCTGTGTGTGCCGTTGTTGGGGGGCGGCGGGTAGGTGAGCGAGGCAAATTACTTTTGTTCTCTGCAGAGCCTGAGCTGGGCTTTGAAGAGGTTTTTCTGCCTCCCTGGTGCTCTGCAGATTTGGGGAATCTTCCAGCAGGGTCGGCTTCCAGGCGGGCGACAGTTAGATTCAAATCACTTCTGCTCCCCAGCTCAGCACTTGGGCCCAGGTACCTGCTGGATTCAGAGCACAGCCGCTCCTTTCTCCAGGAAATCTCTGCTTAGCACAGCCAGGGCCTTTACTGTTGTCATTAGGAGGCATAAAATCCTAATTTATATTGCTAGAAGGGTAATTTATACACTAATGTAAATTTCTTTTACTGCTGATTTTTGAGCAACTGATGTGTGATTATTTCCAGCTCTCTTTCCAATGCAATTCTGAAACGACGGCTGCTAATACCTTAATATTCTTTATGATTGCCAGAGATGATATTTTTCCCGGATCAAATGTATCCAGTGGGGTTTGACATAATTGGGTTAAAGATTTCTCTTTCTGAGGCTGTAAGACTTGTTAGGCTTATGTGGGTTGGTGGGGGATGATGGCTAAGGCCTTCTGTTTGTGTTTTGTTGTCCTCTCAGTCTGGCCCCTTCTCCTTTACTGAGCGTTAGATCCCCCTTGGATGCCTACTGTGTGCTCAGCTCCAAAGGAAACTCATTATATGCAAATGTGGTTTAAGAAAGAAAAACATCATGTTAAGTGCTGATGGAACAATACCTCTTCTGGATAGAATGGTTTTAGGAACACAGCGGGGCATGAATGGCTGGTCTTGATGTCCTGAGCATGAATGGTGGAAAGTTGAGAGGCTGGTTTCACCTCTACAGCAAGAGACAACAGTGTCTCCAGGGGGTCTCTCCCTCCCCAGCCCTACTGTGGGCAGCTGAGAGCTGGTCAGAAGTGGGCCAGAGACCACAGAAGTCTGTCTCCAAGCCATGCTCTGGCCTGTAGCCCATGCTGCCCCCTTCCAAGTAATTAACACTGATCCTAAGACCATGCTATGGTCAGAATGTTTATGTCCTGCCCAAATTCATACGTTGAAACCCTCACCTCTTTGTACCCCAAATATCTGAGACAGATCTTGGTTAATTTAGAAAATTTATTTTGCCAAGGTTGAGGATGTACGCCCGTGACACAGCCTCAGGAGGTCCTGATGACATGTGCCCAAGGTGGTCGGGGCACAGCTTGTTTTTATACATTTTAGGGAGACATGAGACGTTGATCAATATGTGTAAGATGTACATTGGTTCCCTCCAGAAAGGTGGGACGATTTGAAGCAGGGAGGAGGCTTCCAGGTCACAGGTAGGTGAGAGACACATGGTTGCTTTCTTTTGAGTTTCTGACTAGCCTTTCCAAAGGAGGCAATCAGATATGCATTTATCTCAGTGAGGAGAGGGATGACTTTGAATAGAATGGGAGGCAGGTTTGTGCTAAGCAGGTCACAGCTTGACTTTTTCCTTTAGCTTAGTGATTTGGCCGCCCCAAGAGTTATTTTCCTTTCCCACCTCCAAGATGATGGTATTAGGAGGTGGTGGAGCTTTTGAGAGGTGATTAGGTCAAGGGGAGGTGAAGTCTTCATGAATGGGGTTAAGGTCCTTATAAAAGAGGCCCAAGAGAGACCTTTCTGCCACATGAGGTTAGAATGAAAAGATGCTGTCAGTGACAAAGTGTCACCAGATGCTGAATCTGTCAGCGACTTGCTCCTGTGACTTCCCCAGCCTCCTGAATTGTTAGAAATAAATTTCTGTTGTTTATTTATTTATTTTATTTATTATTATTTAAAAAATTTTCAGGCTGGCTGCGGTGGCTCACGTCTGTAATCCCAGCACTTTGAGAGGCCGAGGTGGGTGGATCATGAGATCAGGAGTGCGAGACCAGCCTGGCCAAGATGGTGAAACTCCGTCTCTACTAAAAATACAAAAATTAGCCAGGCACGGTAGTGGGCTAATGTCACCCAGGGTGGAGTACAGTGGCATGATCATGGCTCACTGCAGCCTCATACTCCTGGGCTCAAGTGATCCTCCCACCTCAACTTCCCGAGTAGCTGGGACTACAGGTGTGTACCACCACACCTGGCTAATTTTTTAATTTTTATTTTTAGAGACAGGGTCTTGCTAGGTTGCCCATGCTGATCTCGAACTCTTGGCCTCAAGTGATCCTCCTGTCTCAGCTTCCCGTGGAGCTGGGATTACAGGTGTGAGCCACTGTACTCAGCTACATTTCTGTTGTTTATAAGCTATCCTGTCTATGGTATTTTGTCATGGCAGCCCAAATGGAGTAAGACAGAGCATAATTACCACCAATCCTAATGATGGTCAAGCATCAACTTTTGATTTTGATTTTATCTAGATTTTATTTACAAGTCTAGTTGGGACCTGATCCCAAAATCCTCTTGGCCTTTTTTTTTTTTTAATTTTGTGTTTTTTTGAGATAAAGTCTTGCTCTGTAACCCAGGCTGGAGTGCAGTGGCATGATCTCAGCTCACTGCAACCTCTGCCTCGTGGGTTCAAGAGATTCTTATGCCTCAGCCTCCCGAGTAACTGGGATTACAGATGTGCACCACCATGTCCAGCTAACTTTTGTATTTTTAGTAGAGACAGGGTTTTGCCATGTTGACCAGGCTGGTCTTGAACTCCTGACCTCAAGTAATCTGCCCGCCTTGGCTTCCTAAAGTGCTGGGTGTGAGCCACCATACTTGGTCACTCTTGGCCTTTTAAAAACTGAGACCACTTTGAAACCACAGTATCTCTCGAGATCCAAGGTGATGAAATTTGTAAAGCACTTGGCTTCTGCCTGATGCTTATTGAGAGCAATACTTGGTAGCAGTGTTATTGCTTTCATTTTCATTACTTTGTAAAATTTCAGCTTGGAAAAGGTGATTCCATAAAAGTAAAATCCAGACATGATGTAGTTGTAGCAATAATAATAATAATAGCTAACATTTATATAGCACTTCCTCTGTGCCAGAGGCTATTCTAAAGATTTTAATATTTAACTCATTTACTCTTAAAACAGCCTCTCAAAGTAGTCACTATTATTAAGCTCATTTTATGCATGTGGAAATTAGGGCACAGGGTAGTTAAGTAACTTGCCATAGATAAAATAACTTGCCACAGCTGGTGCTCAAGCATTTGGGCCCCAGAGTCTGTCTTCTTAACCCCTGTGATAAGCTAAATTATGTCCTGTCCCCCCAGCGCCCACCACGTTGAAATCTGCTATGATTTGAATGTTTTTCTCCTCCAAAACTTAATGCTGAAACTTAATTCCTAATGTGGCAGTATGGAGAGGTGGGACTTTTAAGAGGCGACTGAGCCATGAGGGCAGAGCTATTCCTGGATTAATGGATGAATCACTTTTCATGGGAATGGGACTGGTGGCTTTATAAGAAGAGGAAGGAAGACCCTTGCCATGTGATGCTCTATACCATCTCAGGACCCTGTAGAAAATCCCCACCAGCAAGAAGGTCCTCACCAGACACAGTGCCCCGACCTTGGACTTCTCAGCTTCCATAACTGTAAGAAATAAATTCCTTTTTTAGTTTGGGAATGGTGGCCTAAAAATGGAATTTATGGCCAACATGGTGAAACTCCATCTCTACTAAAAATATAAAAATTAGCTGGGCATGGTGGTGAGTGCCTGCAGTATCAGCTACTCAGGAGGCTGAGTCAGGAGAGTTGCTTGAACCTGGGAGGTGGAGGTTTGCAGTGAGCTGAGATCGTGCCACTACACTCCAGCCTGGGCTACAGAGCAAGACTGTCACAAAAAAAAAAAAAAAAAAAAAAAAAAAAGAGAGAGAGAGAGAGAGAGATTATTTTATTTTTGTAAATTACCCAGTTTTGGGTATTCTGTTATAAGCAACAGAAAATAAGCTAAGAGACAAAGTCCGAACCCTTAGTATCTCAGAATATGACTGCATTTGGCCATAAGTTCTTTAAAGAGATAATTAAGTTAAAAAGAGGTCTTTAGGGCAAACCGTAATCCCATTTGACTGTTGTCTTTATAAGAAGAGGAAATTTGGCTGGGTGTAATGGCTCATGTCTGTAATCCCAGCACTTCGGGAGGCTGAGGTGAGAAGGATCACTTGAAGCTAGGAGTCTGAAACCAGCCTGGCCAACACAATGAGATCCTATCTCTAGAATTTTTTTCTTTTTTTTTTTTTTTTGAGTTGGAGTCTTGCTCTGTCACCAGGCTGGAGTGCAGTGGTGCGATCTTGGCTCACTGCAACCTTTGCCTCTCGAGTTCAAATGATTCTCTTGCCCTCCGAGTAGCTGGGACTATAGGAGCGCACCACTACACCCAGCTAATTTTTGTATTTTTAGTAGAGATGGGGTTTCACCATGTTGGCCAGGATGGTCTCCATCTCTTGACCTCTTGGTCAGCCCACCTTAGCCTCCCAAAGTGCTGGGATTACAGGCGCGAGCCGCCGTGCCCGGCCTATAAGAAATATTTTTTAAAAAAGAGAGGAAATTTGAACACAGAATAATGCTGCTGTGAACATGGATATACAAATATCTCTTTGAGACCCTAATTTCAATTCTTTTGCATATACATCCAGATATGGAAATTGCTGGACCTTTTGGTAATTCTATTTTTAATTTTTGGAGGAAACTTAGGCCTGGTTAGATGAACTGGTTTGCCCAAGTTCCCACATCTGGTAAGTTGTGGGGAGCTGAGTTTTTTTTTTTTTTTTTTTGAAGAGACAGGTCTTGCTCTGTTGCCCAGGCTGCAGCAATGTTAGCTCACTGCAGCCTTGAACACCAGTGCTCAAGGGATCCTCTCTGCTCAGTCCCCCGAGTAGATGGGACTACAGGTGCAGGGGTTAGAGGAGGGAGGAATTGGGAGTTGTTGCTTAATGGATATATATTAATAGTTTCAGTTTTGCAAGATGAAAAGAGTCCCAGAGATTGGCTGCACAACAAAGTGAATGTACTTAACATGACTGAACTACGTATTTAAAAATGATGAGATGATAAATATTATTTAAAAATAAAAATAAAATAACAAGAACAAAAGAAAACTAAAGCAACCAAACATGGTTCTGGGAGGTTGAGCTGGCTGGGAATTCTCTGCCAAGCTGTAGATAGATCCCTTTCTTGCCTTCTTTTCTTTTCTTTCTTTTTTTTTTTTTTGAGATGGAATGTCACTCTGTAGCCCAAGCTGGAGTGCAGTGGCACGATCTTGGCTCACTGCAACCTCTGCTTCCAGGAGTAAAGCGATTCTTGTGCTTCCGCCTCCTGAGTAGCTGGGATTACAGGTGTGTGCTACCATGTCTGGCTAATTTTTGTATTTTTAGTAGAGACAGGGTTTTGCCATGTTGGCCATGCTGGTCTTGAACTCCTGGCCTCAGGTGATCCACCCACCTTGGCCTCCCAAAGTGTTAGGATTACAGGCATGAACCACTGCGCCCGGCCAGAGGATGGCTCTTCTAATCCCTGCAATGCCCAAGGATTTGAAGCATTAGTTCTAGGCAGGAACACTCCATGCTAGAGCTTGGCCTACTCAGCTGTCATCCATAGTTCCTCCTTCTGTGCCAGGAGATCCTAGTTTTATTCTATTTTCAGGCAGCAATGTGCTCAGTGAAGGTAAACCTGCCCTCAACCCAGAGAATGAACCTTAAATTTCCCAGATCAGTCATGATAATCCACTTCCTCTTTGCCAGTGATTGCTTTAGGGATGGCCATGAGACCTATTCCAGCCAATAAGACAGGATACAAGTTTTGGGGGGCTCCTGGGAAAGATGTCTTTCTCTAACAGAAGAGGATGCTACAGAAACAAAGCCCCTTTCCTGAACTTTCCCATCTTCCCATCTTGAATGTGGTTCTGTGGTGCTTCAGCAGCCCTTTTGTGATCATGAGGTGACAATTCTAAGGACAGAAAGCCAACACCCTGGGGTTGGTACTGCAGGAAGACAGAAGGAGCCTATGTCTTTTATGATATGGTCGAGCCACTGCATTCAACTTGGAACTGCCAACGCCCAGGCTTCTTTTATTCATAAGAACTGATGTCTTTATTGCTGTTGGTCAGGTTTACTGTTGCCCTTTGAGCCCAGTGGAAGAAAGCAGGATGCACTGGTGTGCTGCCTTGGCCCTCACCACACCCTAGCTGGGAGGAAACTTCCTTAGCTTCTTCTGAGGATGCTTGGGAAAAAAAAAATCCCAGCTCTGCTACCCCTTTTATCTTTCTTCTTTCTTTCCAATCTTAGTTCTCCTTTCACCAATATTCCTACTTGCTCATTTTCTTTCCCGAATTGGAATCATTCATTCATTCATTTTATTAGGAGAGAGTATAGCATGAGCTCCAGAATAGATTGAGTTCAAAAGTCAGCTCCCAGGCCATGCCTGGTGGCTCATGCCTGTAATCCTAGCACTTTGGGAGGCTGAGGGAGGAGGGCCACTTGAGGCCAGGAGTTTGAGGCCATTCTGGGCAACATAGTGAGACCCTGTTTCTACAAAAAAAATTTTTAAAAATTAGCCAGGCATGGTGGTGCATGCCTGTAGTCCCAGCTACTCTGGAGGCTGAGGCAGGAAGATCCCTTGAGCCCAGGAGTTTGAGGCTGCAAGCTTTCCTGCCTTTCCTTTCCTTTTTCTTTCTCCTTATTGCTTGGTGACCTCATTGCAGACCCATCCTCACTCCTGCTGACTGTCTGTGCTCCACCTCTTTTGAAACACCTGCCTCCTCCCAAAGCATTCAATACTCTTTCGGTCATTCCAGCCAGAGATCAGGGGAGGCCTGATTGCTTTGTTAGCCCTAATTGGTGTCTTGATTCTTTTTCTAATGCAGTGAACCAAAGATTCTGAACTAAGGCTTAGACATGAGACCGAAGGGATTTTAAACAAAGGCCCTTTTATTTTTCTACTCAAGATAATATTATGAAATAAGGTAATAGTCTCCATGGTCTATTGGTCCTTTGCTGGATGAATGTTTCCCCTAAATGAATAGGGGAGGGTGACAAAGAGAGAGAGTTTTGTTTCTGGGCAAATTCTGTGAGCTTGGCCTGGCTTTCCCAGGGGAGGGCCCTGAGATCTGAGATGATGGCAGTGGCGACCTTCGATCACAGCTTTCCTTTGCTCATCTGGGACTCTAGAAGGAAGATCTCATCTATTCTTTGATAAGAATATAACGAAGTGGGGCCAGGTGCAGTGGCTCACACCTGTAATCCCAGTACTTTGGGAGGCTGAGGCGGGCGTATCACCTGAGGTCAGGAGTTTGAGACCAGGCTGATCAACACGGTAAAATCCCATCTCTACTAAATACAAAAAATTGATTGGGTGTGGTGGCGCATGCCTGTAATTCCAGCTACTGAGAGGCTGAGGCAGGAGAATTGCTTGAACCCAGGAGGCAGAGGTTGCAGTGAGCTGAGATTGCGCCACTGCACTCTAGCCTGGGCAACAAGAGTGAAACTCTGTCTCAAAAAAAGAAAAAAAAAGTCAAAGAAGCCCATTCTATGGGGAAGACCAAGGTGTTTAGCAGGGGAAGAACCCAGAAATATCCTGGGGTGCAGGGAAATGCAAGGATTGAGGAGAAGTACCTGTGTCTGTATCGTGGCCTTGCTTTGTTGTATGACTTTGAGCAAATTTCTCGAGCTTCATTTGCTAAGTGAAAATTTTTATTCTTACTACAAAGAATTAACTAAGCAAATATTTACAATGGACCCAGCACAGCTACTGATCCATGGTGTCTGCACCATGAGCATGGGTTCTCTTTCATTTGCATGGGGACTGATGTGGTTTGGCCATGCCCCTACCCGAATCTCATCTTGAATTGTAGCTCCCATAATCCCCACGTATCGTGGGAGGGACCCGGTGGGGGGTAACTGAATTATGGGGGCAGGTTTTCCCGTGCTGTTCTTGGGATAGTGAATAATTCTCATGAGATCTGATGGTTTTATAAAGGGCAGTTCCCCTGAACTTCTCTTTGCTGCCACTATGTGAAAAAGGACATGTTTGTTTCCCCTTTGCCATGATTGTAAGTTTCCTGAGGCCTCCTCAGCCCTGCAGAACTGTGAGTCAATTAAACCTCTTTCCTTTATATAAATTACCAGTCTTGGGTATGTCTTTATTAGCAGCATGAGAATGGACTAATACAGGGACATTTTAATGATGAAGGCAGGACATGAGAGTAGGCATCTCCCAGCCTCCTTTGCAGGTAGGTGGGGCCATGGGACAGAGCTCCAGCCAACGAAAGGGGGTAGAATTAATGTATGCCTGTAGGTCCTCTCCACGAATCCCCTGCTTCTTACATTTTATTGGAGAGAATTTTGTCATATGATCATAACCAAGTGCAAGAGGGCTTACAAATGTAGCATCCCTTGATGGGGACAACAGCTTTTGATGCATAGTTAGCAGCCCCTACCACATAATCTTAAAAGAAATGGGCATGCACTTGCTTTAGACTTTCCTCCTCTGCACTGGCTCAGATGTAGATGTAATGGCAGGAGCCAAAGCAGCCACTTTGGACCCAGAGACAGAAGCTGCATGTTGAGGACAGCAGAACTGCTCTTCTATCCCTGAGATGTCTCAGGACTGTTAAATGACAGATAAATATGCTTTTAACTTGTTTAAGCCATTGTGTTCAATGAACTAGTTTCTCAGTATAAGATGCAGGAGCTTTTTAAAATTTTTTTAATTTATTTTTTGCCCTGGCTGGTGTGCAGTGGCACAATCACAGCTCACTGCTCAACCTCCCAAGCAGCTGGGACTACAGGTGGGCACCACCAAAATGCCCAACTAATTTTAAATTTTTTTGTAGAGATGGACTCTCCCTATGTTGGCCATGCTGGTCTCAAACTCCTGGACTGCAAGCAATCTTCCCACCTCAGCCTCCCAAAGTTCTGGGATTACAGGCGTGAACCACCTCACCTGGCTAGACACAGGAGCCTTTAACTCTTTTATATATTAATCTCCATCTTTTCGTTAGAATGATACTCTCCATCTTCAATACAAAGGGAATCTCAAGCTTGTACTTACTTGGTCCTCATCACGATTTCTCCAGGAAAGCCCGTGAGCTCCTCATCCAATAGCATTCCTGGTCACTTGCCTTGATGTCATGGAGATAAAGCAGGAAACTTAATACCCAACAAAGATCTCTATCTCTAATGAAAAGAACAAGAGCACTTGAGATAGCAAAGCAACAGGCTGACGGAGATGACAAAACAAATACAGTATGTTTAAAATGGCTAAAGAAATCAAAGAAAGCATAGAAACCATTAGGAATTAAAAACATACCAGATGTTTTTTTTTCCTACCTTTTTTTTCTTGTTACATGACCCACACCTGGTATTGATCCAATAAAATCCAAACCCCAAACAATGCAGGCGAAAACCTCATCATGAGCCTCAGAAAAATGCCAGACATGTGTAGGTAGTTAAACTTTGTGATCCTCTGAAGAAAGAGAATGAACTTAAATATTTTAATTGGATTCACATGTCTCTTATGCCCTGATCATATGGTTTCAGGATGCTTCTTGATTTAATGCCTGTAACAGGGATGTAGTTCATTTTATTTTAGCCAAGAAATACATCCACTGGTTCTTATAGAGGTTTTCCACCCCCTCCCTGTGATTCCACTTAAGCAACAGTCCTTAAGAATCAGAGATGGGTGCAGAAACTTAGACCCATTGAGGAGCATGGAAAAGTCATGTGTCTTCTCTCAGTCACTTTGCAGATGAGTACATTGGCCAGTGGGAGCAGCTGGTGAGGGCAGGCATTGGGATTAGCACGTGTACTTTGGCTTTCTCAGCCTGTTGGAGAAGAATCTGACTGCTTCATTTATGAACTTGTGTTTCTTTTTCCCACTCTGCCTTTGCCTTAAAGGTCTCTGAGCCTATAGGCCGACCATAACTAAATGGTTGACAAGTGCATATTACTTCCATCTGGTGGGGGTGGGTCTTTTAAAGACAAGCTTCAGACTTTATTGTTCATTTTTATTTCTATAGTGATGAAAATCTGCTCTGCTTCCACCCCTGCAGAACCCTACCGTGCTGTTGGCCCATCAGGGTCTGCTTTGGGTGGGGAGGTGGGAGATGAAGGGAATGGCTGGACCCGGGCTGGGTTTCCTGCATGTTGGCTCAGTGGGAGGAGTCAGTCATTTACTTTTGAGTTAGAACTTTGGTGCTCATGACTCATGCCTGGAGGAATTTGCATTTTGAGCTGGGTTACCCCTGGGTGGGGGTAAAGGGTTTGGTTTGTGGTAGCAAGGTTCAGGGATGAGAAAGCCAATGGTGGGTGTGGGGTCTGGGAGCTCTCCAGGGCTTCCCTGATCTTTCTGTGTTGATATCTCAAGGCTAATCTCCGAATAAGCCATGGACATGGTGTCTTAGTCCATTTTCTGTTGCTTATACTGGAATACCTGAAACTGGGTAATGTATAAGGAAAAGGAATTTATTTCTTACCATGATGGAGGCTGAGAAGTCCAAGGTCAAGGGACTGCATCTGGTAAGGATCTTCTTGCTGGTGGAGACTCTGCAGAGTTCCCAGGCAGCACAGGGCATCACTTGGCGAGGGGGCTGAGCATGCTAGCTCAGTTCTCTCTTCCTTTTCTTGTAAAGCCACTAGTCCCACTCCCAAGATAACCTTGTAATCTACTAACCCATAACACCATTAACCCATGAATGAATTAATCTATTCATGAGGGTAGAGGCCTCATGACTTAATCACCTCTTTTTTTGTTGTTGCGGGGGGAGACGGGGTCTTGCTCTGTTGCCCAGGCTGGAGTGCAGTGGTGTGATCTTGTCTCACTGCAGCCTCGACCTCCTGGTCTCAAGTGATCGTCCCACCTCAGCCTCCCAAGCAGCTAGGATTATAGGCCCAAGCCACCATGCCCGGCTCTTTTTTATAGGTTTTGTAGAGACCAGGTTTTGCCATGTTGCCCAAGCTGGTCTTGAACCCCTGGGCTCAAGCTATCTGCCTGCCTCGGCCTCCGAAAGTGCTGAGATTACAGGCCTGAGCCACTGCACCCCAATCATCTCTTAAAGCTCCACCTCTCAGTACTGGTGCACTGGGGATTAAATTTCAGCATGAGTTTTGGAGGGGAAAAACATTCAAGCCACAGCAAAAAGCTTTCTTGAACAACTCTAGGAAGATCAGGGGAGAAGGTGGCAGATAAACCAAGGGTCATGAGCTGCTCCCAAGCTGTCAATCCATCTGCTTTCCAGCATCTTGAGTTTGGGATAGAGCAGTTACCTCCTTTCTGTTACAGACCAGCAACTTCTGCCCAGTTGGGGCTGGCCTCCTTGTAAGTCTGTGCAGTGGAAGCTGGAGTGAGGAGCATGGATGGCTTAAGACACACCCACCCGTTAGAAAACCTACTGGTCATGTGACCACAGTAAAAAGCAGCATGGTGCATCAGTTTATGCCTTGGGATGCGTCTGTCCAATGAAGATGCAGCTTTGATGTAAATCTTCATTGGACAAAATCTAACAAGGGCTCTCCCTCTTAGCGAACTTTGTGTGACTCCTGCATACTTGACTGAAAGAGAAATTTTTTGGAATGGTTACTAGTTCTCACATAGACAAAACAGAATCTTTTTTTTTTTTTTTTTTTTTTTTAGAGACAGGGTCTTCTCCATCACCCAGCTGGAGTGCAGGGTGTGACTGTGGCTCACTGCAGCCTCAACCTCTTGGGCTTAGGCGACTCCTATATCAGCCTCTTGAGTTGCTGGGATTACAGGGATGCACCATCACACCTGGCTTATTTTAAAATGTTATTGTTGTTTGTAGAGATGGGGGTCTCACCATGTTGCTCAGGCTGGTTTCCAAATCCTGGGATCAAGCCATCGTTCCACCTTGGCCTCCCAAAGTGCTAGGATTACAGGTGTGAGCTACCGTGCCTGGCCCACAGATTATTATTATTACTATTATTATTTTTTGAGATGGAGTCTCACTCTGTTGCCCAGGCTGGAGTGCAGTGGCGCAATTTTGGCTCACTGCAAACTTCGCCTCCCGGGTTCAAGCAATTCTCCTACCTCAGCCTCCCGAGTAGCTGAGATTACAGGCACGTGCCACCATACTCAGCTAATTTTTGTATTTTTAATAGAGACAGGGTTTCACCATGTTGGCCAGGCTGGTCTCCAACTTCTGACCTCAGGTAATCTGCACGCCTCGGCCTCCCAAAGTGCTGGGATTACAAACCAGATTCTTGATTTTTGGATTGAACTAGGCTTCCTTCCCCACACTGCATCCTATGAAACTTGTTGGGTTGGGTGAGCTACCCTGAGCCTGCCTCCCTATCTCCCTGCCCTTAGTTGATCCCGTATTTCTAGAGGCCAGAGGGGACCAGTGGCCACAGGTTGCTCACCTGAGAGTTTTTCCAGAGTCTGCAGAGAGAGTCTGAGGCACCTTGAGGCTCAGCCGGAACGATCTGACTGCGCTGCTCTCAGCTTCATTTTTTCTTAATTAGCTCTAATTACTCTGTCATCATAAATGTACTGACATCGAAAGCCTTCAAGTTCCTTTAAGCAGCTGGCAGTAATCAGCCTCATTAATCTTGCCGATTCCCATCTTTTGAAGATTGCTGGTTTGCTTTAGAAACGATCCTCTGTTCAGTGCTGTTTTTCATCTCTCCATTGTACTTCCCGATTCTGCCGCAAAAATGTGGTCAAGAGCCTGAGGACTGGTCAATACCCTGGTGCCGGTCACCCTGTCTGAGGTCTGGTGTTGGGGAAGGTGCCTCTCTCTAGGGGAGGAGGTGGGGGCTTGCTTCTGGGCTGTGGCTGTGCTCTGAGGTTACAGAGCATGAAGTCAGGGGCACAGAGCTTCACCCATGTACACCTTGGCACCCCCAGGAGCCAAGTGTATGTGTATTTAAGTGATAACAATCAGTTAAATATTTCATCTTGGGCCTCCTCTCCACTCCAATGCTTTGCACCTGGAATTCCGAGCTGTCCAGAATGTCTTTCCAGCTGGGCCTCCAAGCAGTGGACCAAGCATGGTCCATCTTGGCCATCTTGGTCCATCCTTTTAATCTGGGCTTTGCTAATGGGGCCAGAAATGGTACCCAGGGAGGCCAGGCCCTAAGGCAACACGTTCTGGAGCCAGCATGACTTAGAGATTGTGTATATTGAGGGTAGACTGAGGCAGCTTGGAGGAAAGGCTGAGAAATCAGTGTATAAGTAAGGGGGGCGCTAAGGTCATGGCTGCAGAGGTGGTATCAGTGTGTGGCCCACAGGACAAGTTGAGGCCAGAAATGGGGTGTGACAGAGGACTCTGGGAGGGGGACTGTGTGTTTGTGTCCATGTTTGTGTATGTATGTGTGATTCTGTGTATGTGGATAGGTCTGTGTGTGTATAGATCTGTGTGTGTGTGCACGTGTGTGCATGTGTACCTGTGAGTGTATATGAGTGCATATTTATATGCGTGCATGTATTGTGTTTGCATGTATATATGTGTGCATGTTTGCACGTGTGTGTGCAAGTGAGTGCACATATGTGTATGTGTGTGTATATGTATGTGTGTATTATGTGCAAATGTGTGTATATGCATGTATGCGTATGTAAATATGTGAGCGTGTATTGTGCATATGTATATATGTATGCATGTGTGTATGTGTGTGTGTGAATGTGTGTATATGCATATGTGTATGTGAATACATGAGTGTGTATGTATGTATATGTGTGTGCATGTGTGTATTATATGTGAATGTGTATATGTGCATGTGTGTATATGTGAATTCATTAGTGTGTATGTGTGTATGTATGTGTGTGCATGTGTGTATGTGTATTGCATGTGAATGTGTATATATGCATGTGTGTATATGTAAATTTGTGACTGTGTGTACGTATATATGTGAATGTGTATGTGTGTATTGTGTGCTTGTGTGTATGTATGTGTGTATATGAGTGTGTGCATGTATGTATGTATGTGCGTGAGTGTGTATATGTATGTATGTGTGTATTGTGTGTGAAAGTCTGTCTATGCATGTGTGACTGGATATGTATATATGTATGTGTATATTGTGTGTTCGTGTGTGATGCGATTGTGTGCATGTGTGTGCATGTGCGTGTTTGTGTGTGTGTGTTCATACAGAGCCAAAGCTGGGAGAGTGAGGAAACATTGGAATTCCTTTCCTATGGTGCTTGTGGGGATGCATGCACAGAGACAGTTAAAAACATTGAAGTTATTATGAGAGCTGGGACCTTTAGAATCAGTTCTCCAGGGGCTGGGCTGACATTTGACATTGGTCATCAGGCTCAGAGCCTTCTTTCTTGGCCTCAACCCACTGCCCAGAGCCATTTGCTGCCCCTGACAGCAGGAGTTGGGCCCACTTTCATTCACCTTCTGCCATTTGATGATTTTTTTTTTTTTTGAAGAGACAGTGGGGGTTGGGGGGGGTGGGTCTTGCCATGTTGCCCAGGCTGGTCTCAAACTCCTGGCCTTAAGCGACCCTCCCGCCTTAGCATCCCAAAGGGCTGAGATTCCAGGAATGAGCCACTGTGCCCAGCCTGGCTTGACTCTTCAGAGGGACAGTCCTTGGTGGCAATAGAGAGGAAAGCTCTCCCACGTGGCCAGCCAGGGTCTTTCCAGGTACATACTATAGACACCGCTTTGCTTCTATCTAACCTCCCTGCGCCGTGAAAAGCTGCTTATATACCAGCAGATCCAGGTTTTGCCTACTCTGAAAAAAGCTCTGGGTTGGGGATGGGACAAGGTCAGGAGTGCTCCTTTCAGGGGCCGCCTTCTGGACTTCCCTCCTTCCAACGCCTCCCACTCCTCTTCTGCCTTGAGAGGCTCAGCCCTGCAGCTGACAGACCTGATTACCTCCTGTGAGTGATAATATAATTCAGTTCCCCTCAAGGAGAGATGCTATCAGAGAGGCTTTTTTTTAAGAGGAAAAAATATATAATATACTGGTTGAAAAGGGCTATCTTTCTTCCTGGAAGAACAGTTATTAATCTCTTCCTAGTACATTTTCATATCATTTTGGACATTTATTTCCAGGCCGTGATATTATAAAACCAGGCGTCTGTGTCAGTTTTGATGCGGTATAACACACAGGAACATGAAAAGGCATAATTACCGCTGCGGCCATTGGAATTGCTAACGAGATCCTCACATTTTCAAATCGGACCTGTTTCTCAGTGATCCAGAAGTGAGCCCCGCAGCTGCGCTGGCCGCATGTCAATGAGGCAGCTCCAGGCTCAGGGGAAAAAAGGAGGAAGTGGTTGGGGTGGGGACAGTTATCTCCTTTGAGCTGAACCCAGTGACCACAGCTGAGGAATAAAAATGGGTGGAGGGACTGGTCCTCTGCCTCCAAGTTGCCTTTACCATCCAAAGGAGGGGGGTGGGTTATCTTGAGCTTTGTGGCCCGAATTTTCTTATATAGAAATATGTCAATTCAACAGATCTTTGTTGAAGACTGACTGTTTACCTGGCACTCGGGAGAGAGCAATGAACGAGACAAACATTCACACTTCCTGAAAGAAGCCTCGGAGAGAGAATTCCTCCAGGGACAGCCACCACTCTTTTTGTTTGTTTGTTTGTTTGTTTTTTATTTTGTTTTGAGACAAGGTCTTGCTCTGTTGCCCAGGCTGGAGTACAGTGGTGCAACCACAGCTCATTGTAGCCTCAACCTCCTGGGCTCAAGCGACCCTCCTGCCTTAGCCTCCCTAGTAGCTGAGACTACAGGCATGCACCACCATGCCCGGCTAATTTTTGTACTTTCTGAAGAGATAGGGTCTCGCTGTGTTGTCCAGGCTGGTCTTGAACTTCTGGCCTCAAGTGATCCTCCCATCTTGGCTTCCCCAAAGTCCTGGGATTATAGGCATGAGCTGCTGCACCTGGCCAACAGCCTGTCTTCATAGTTCTCATTCCCTAAATGCAGAGCCAGCAGCTGCAGCGTCACCTGGAACTTGTTAGAATGCAGATTCTCAGGCTGCACCCCAGACCTACTGAATCAGAAACTCAGAGGAGGAGCAGTGATCTGGATTTAACAAGCCTTCCAGGGGATTCTTTTGCACTGTGCAGTTGGGGAACCACTGCCTTACTTCTTCTCTTGCCCTGTCCCAAAGCCTCCCAGGGTAAAAGGCAGACCTTGAAATCCACCTTGGTGTGGTGAGGGACAAGCGGAAGGATCTGGGGTGGCTGCTGCAGCTAAGCTCCCTGGGCCGGTTGCCTCTTCTCCTGGCATCTTATTCCCTTCCCCTCCTTCCAGATGTCCTCACCCATGAAGATTCAGGAGCTCCAAGCCTCAATGGCCTCCATGAAACTCAGTAAATGGAGTAGAAGGCTGTGAAACCACTGGCAGTCAAGCCCTCAGAGGGTAACAGCTGTCAGCTAGGATGTCCCTGGAGGGAGTTGCTGGAGCATTGGGGTGGTTGGAATTAGGGTTTGGGGAAGGAAGGGGGCAGGCCCAAAGGAAGGGATGGAGAAAGGGTAGGTGCCTTACAGCTTCTGTCCCGCCATATTTCCCTGAGCCTTCTCTTGGAACTTCGGCACCCCTGATGTCTTCCTCCTTGCTCAATGTGTTAGCCCCTTCAGGCTCTAGGGTCCTCAGCCCAACCCTCCCTACCCCATTGGCTGCAACTCTTCTTTTCTTTTCTCTTTTTTCTTTTCTTTCTTTCTTTCTTTCTTTTTCTTTCTTTCTCTCTCTTTCTTTTTCTTTCTTCTCTTTTTCTCTTTCTCTTTCTTGCTTTCTCTCCTTTCTCTCCTTCCTCTTTCTTTCTCTTCTCTCTTTCTCTTTCTCTCTCTCTTTCTCTCTTTCTTGCTTTCTCTCCTTCCTCTTTCTCTCTCTCTCTCTCTCTCCTTCCTTCCTTCTTTTCTTCCTTCTCTCTCTTTCTTTCTCTCTGTTTCCTTCCTTCCTTCCTCTTTCATTTTTTTTTTTTCGGAGACAAAGTCTTGCTCTGTGACCCAGGCTGGAGTGCAGTGGCGTGATCTCGGCTCCCTACAACCTCCACCTTTAGGGTTCAAGCGATTCTCCTGCCTCAGCCTCCTGAATAGCTGGGACTACAGGTGTGTGCCACCATGCCCAGCTAATTTTTGTATTTTTAGTAGAGATGGGGTTTCACCATGTTAGCCAGGCCGGTCTTGAACTCCTGACTTCATGATCTGCCCACCTCGGCCCTCCAAAGTGCTGGGATTACAGGCGTGAGCCACCATGCCCGGCACTGCAACTCTTCTTGAACCAGCATCCCCAGTTTCCCCAGGTTGAGGCTGCAATGGGCTGTGGTCATACCACTGCACACCAGGCTGGGCAACAGAGCAAGACCTTGTCTTAAAAAAAAAAGGGTGGGGGGTGGCATTTTCTCTCCAAGGCTTTCAGGAAGTACAAATGTTTGTCTTGTTCATTGCTGTCTTCCCAGTGCAACTCAAGATGACCCCCTTCTCCTTTGGATGGCAAAAGGACAGCTGGAAGGAGGGCTTTCTGGGTCTACCTGGTGTTCCCTAACAGAGACTCTGACTCACAATTGTTCATTCTCTGCAGACTCCTGCGCTGCAGTGACAGGCAGGGGAGAAATGCCAAAAGCAGATTGACTGCCTCCATCACACAGTTAGGATTTCTAACTGCAGTGGGAACCTCAGCCCAAACCACTTCACAAAGCTTTTGTGCCCTTAATTCATTCCCCTGGCCCCACCCTCGATACTTCATCTAAAATTTTGATTGTCTTTGTTTTGGAGGCTGGATCTCACTCGGCCCCTGCAGCTGGAGTGCAGCGGTGAGATCATAGCCCACTGAAGCCTCCACCTCCTGGGCTCCAGTCATCCTCTTGCCTCAGCCTCCTGAGTGGTTGGCACTACAAGCACATGCCACCAAGCCTGGCTAACTAAAACATTTTTGTTGTTGTTGTTGAGATGGGGTCTTGCTATGTTGTCCAGGCTGGTATTAAACTCGTGGCCTCAAGGAGTCCTCCCTCCTTAGCCTCCCAAAGTGCTGGGGTTACAGATGTAAGACACCATGCCTGGCCTTGTTTTCATTTCTGATTGCACATCTAACAGACCACCATTGTAGAAAATTTGGAAAATTCAGAGAATGTAACAATGAAAATGGCAACGAGGCACAAGCACATTAGCAAAAGAAGCTGCCAACCTTTGGCACAGCAGTTCTCAGAATGTGGTTACTGGACAGTTGCAGCAGCATCTCCTGGGAGCTTGTCAGAAATGCAAATTCTTGGGCCCCAGCTTTTCCCTCCTACCTCTGAGACCCTAGGATGCTACTCAGCCCTCCAGGTAATGCTGTGGTCCACACAAGTTTGACAACCACCGCATAAGGTATTTCCTGTCTTTTTCCTATGCTTAAAAAAAGTCATGCTTATTCTATGAATATGACTGTATATTTTGATTATTTTACCCCAACATTATATGAAAGAATTCTCCCAGATCATTAAAAACCATTCAAATACTTTTTAATGAGCAGCCTTCCTAATGTCTGCATAAAGCATGTCCTGTGGTTCTACCATCATTGACTTAATGAGAATTACTGTCTAAACACCTTCTGGGGAGTTAGTCCAACCTATCTAAGGGGACCCTACAATGTCAGGACAGTAGGGAACAGAAGGAGAAAATCACAGCTGCCAACTCAGCCAAGACACCCCTGGATTTATCACATGCCCTGGTGAAAACGCCTTTGCAAAAATGATAACCGAGGAAATCACGACAGTGAAAGAGATCAGACCTAACTGACTCCATCTTGCTTCTAACCTTTAAGCTGTCCTTGTTCATCCCTGGGCATAGGCTGAACTAACTTTGGGAAGGATTTCCATTCATAGTTTGACTCTGAAACAAAATTGATAACAGCCCTTTCCCAAAAAGACCCCCTTCTTGCCTGGGGACCTGTCTACCTTTGCAGGACTAACAAATTAGCTGCAAGATTAGAAATTACAGTTTAGGGTTCATGCAGCCTCTGGCTCCGAGAGTCTGAGCCTCCCCTAACTGCTCCTGGGAATAACTTTAGTATTGTAAAACCTAAGATCAGTGCTTCAGATATTTTGCAGACCCTGCACTGGATGGATCAGCTAATAGCACGCAGACCAAAAATCTGGCTCAGCCAGTTCTGCCATCCCACCTAGGAACAGAAGACAGCAAGGAAACATCACTTTGGGCTGGGCATAGTGGCTCAAGCCTGTAATCCCAGCACTTTGGGAGGCAGAGGTGGGCGGACCACTTGAGGTCAGGAGTTCGAGATCAGCCTGACCAACATGGTGAAACGTCTTCTCTAATAAAAATACACACAAAAAATTAGCCAGGCATGGTGGTGGGCACCTGTAATCCCAGCTACTTGGGAGGCTGAGGCATGAGATTGCCTGAACATGGGAGGCGGAGGTTGCAGTAAGCCGAGATCATGCCACTGCTTTCCAGCCTGGGTGACAGAGTGAGGCTCCATCTCGAAAAGAAAAAAAAAAAAGAAAGAAAACCTCACTTTGACCCCCTATGATTCCATCTCCAACCTGACCAATCAGTTCTCCCCACTTCCCAAGCCCCTACCCGCCAAATTTCTTTAAAAACTCTGATCCCCCAATGCTCAGGGAGACTGATTTGAGTAATAGTAAAACTCTGGTCTCCTGCACAGTCAGCTCTGCGTGAATTACTCCTTCTCCATTGCAATTCCCCTGTCTTGATAAATCAGCTCTTTCTAGGCAGCGAGCAAGGTGAACCCACTGGGCAGTTACACTGGAGCCCCATGAAAGCTGTATCCCCATTTATGACCTGGCCTTGGAAGTCCCATAGGGTCAGTTCTGCTGCATTTTCTTAGTTAGGGAAGTCTTGTGGGGCCACCTAGGTTCGAGGGGTGGGGAGGATGTAGACTCTACCTCTTGATGGGGCAATTGACGAGGGTCTCAAAGAGCATGTGGGAGCAGAAACATGGTTGTGGCTATTTTTGGAAAATACAGTCTGGCACAGGGGGTTCTTGCCGAGGTGGGATAGTTACCAGTGAAATGGGAAAAGTTCCCTTATCTCCCCGGTAGGGCCTGTGATGGGGGTATGGCTCACTTCTTCAGTGCCCTGCTGCTCAAACCTCTAGGGGAGCCTGCAGATGGGCAGGTTGTAGGGATCCAGCTCCACTGCAGTGTCTACAGGTGAATGCTTACAACTACTGAAGCCCCAGTGGGCGTGTGTTACAGTGCATTCTTTTAGTTTAGCCGTCCATAGGCGGCTTGTGTTAATCAGCTCAGTTAGACCCTCTGCCTTATTGCAAGGACAGAGGGCTTTCTATATCCCAGGTTCTTGCCCTAGTGGACCAGAAAAATCGGATCATATGTGGGCTTGGAGAATGAGTGCAAGGTTTTATTGAGTGGTAGAAGTAGCTCTCAGCAGATGGATGGGGATCCAGAAGGGGGATGGAGTGGGAAGGTGGTTTTCCCCTGGAGTTGGGCAGCTCAGTGGCCGGACTTTCCTCTGACTGCCCTCAGCCGAACTCCACGTCTTTCCACCGTAGATGACCAGTTGGTGTCGGCTGGTATCTGTTGGTGTGTTCTTCTGCCAGTGTGTTCCTCTCGATGTCCAGCTGCTTGTGTCTATGCCCACTAGGGTCTCAGGTTTTTTATAGGCACAAGATGGGGGTGTGGTGGGCCAGGGTGGGCTTGGAAAATGCAACATTCTCTACCCAGCACTTCCCTGCCCCCCTCCCGTATCACCAGCTTGCTGGTAGAAGCAAACAAGAGGCTGCAAATGCTGGCAACACAATTCCAGTCCCTCTTCAGGAGGTAACATAAATACCAAATTTCCCACTTGTTCCCTCTCATCCTCCTGCCCAGCCCGTTCTCCACTTTTACCCACTCTACTCTTCTCTAGCTACTGTTCTTTTTCTTCTTTTTTTTTTTGACAGAGTCTCACTCTGTCACCCAGGCTGGTGTGCACTGGTGTGATCTCAGCTCACTGCAACCTCCACCTCCTGGGTTCAAGTGATTCTCCTGCCTCAGCCTCCTGAGTAGCTGGGACTACAGGCACACGCCACCACGCCCAGCTAATTTTTTTTGTGTGATTTGAGTAGAGATGGGGTTTCACCATGTTGGTTACTAGAATTAAGTAACTCACTTTCTGATCATTGTCTTTCTGCTCAACCCTAAAAGCCCTTTAGTTTTTTTTTTTGTTTGTTTGTTTTTTTGGAAACGGAGTCTCCCTCTGTTCCCCAGGATGGAGTGCAGTGGCGCAATCTCGGCTCACTGTAACCTCTGCCTCCTGGGTTCAAGTGATTCTCCTGCCTCAGCCTTCTGAGTAGCTGGGACTACAGGCGCATGCCACCATGCCTGGCTAATTTTTTTTTTTTTTTTGTATTTTTAGTAGAGACAGGGTTTCACCATGTTGGCCAGGATGGTCTCGATCTCCTGACCTCATGATCCACTCGCCTTGGCCTCCCAAAGTGTGGGATTACAGGCATGAGCCACCTTGCCCGGCTATTCTCTGGCCTTCTTTCTGTCCCGGCTACACAATGACCTTACCTCCCCACCCCTGCCCCCAGGGCTTTGCAGAGACTCTCCCCGCTCCCAGCAAATCTCTCCCCCAGATCTCTGCCCAGTGGCTCCCTTCTCTCCACCCTGACTTCAGCTTGGTAGTTAGTGCTCCCTCCTTACCCTATCCCTTTCCATTCTTCTGTCTGGTCCCTCCTTCTTCATGGCCCTTGTGGTGTTCTGAAATTGCATTTTTATTTATTTATGTATTTATTTCCCGTCACTAAAATAAAATATTTTTGAGAGCAGAGAGTCTGTCTTATTTGCTCCAGAATCCCCAGGGCCCTGATGCAGAAAAAGCACTCAATCTGTGGCTAATTGAATAAGCCAATTTTCTGCCTCCTTCCACCCCTAGTCTTCCTTGCATTTCACCTGCAAGGCTTGACCTGCCTGAAACTGACCAGTTGTGGCCTTAGGCAGGTAACATTTCAGGTGTTTTAGGCCAACAAACCAGGAAGGGATTGGAGATCATCAGACGTTGATGAAATGTTTGGGTCTAAAGTTCTGCCCCTAGCGGAGGGCTGCCATTCAGATCTCATTGAAGAAGGTGAAAGGAAGAGAGAGAACTTTCACATTCCTCGGGGCAACAGTGGGGCTGGTAAGGGGTCAGAGAGGAACATTATAAGATTCCTTGAGGATTAATCTGCTAAAGGTGTCGGAAGTGAAGAAATCAGAAAGATGTGCAGCCAGGTGAACTCAAGACTGACCAACAGGGCTTATGTAACCAGAGGGGTCCACAAGCATGTGCCATTTAGTGGTAAATTTCAAAAAGTCATCATCCTAACCTCAATAGTGCCGCTTGTCTCTATTGAGGTTAGGGTGGTGACTTTTTGAAATTTACCCCTAAAGGCAGGTGGCCAAAGAACAAGAGTGCAGTTTTTTTTTTCTTTTTTTTGTGACAGGGCCTTGCTCTGTTTCCCAGGTTTGAGTACAGTGCCAGAGTCACAGTTCACTGCAGCCTCAACCTCCAGGCTTAAGTGATCCTCCCACCTCAGTTTCCCCAGTAGTTGGGACTACAGGCATATGCCACCATGCTCAGCTAATTTTTGTATATTTTGTAGAGATGGGGTTTTGGCATGTTTCTCAGGCTGGTCCTGAACTCCTGAGATCAAGCAATCCACACACCGTGGCCTTCCAAAGTGCTGGGATTATAGGTGTGAGCCACCACACTCTGCAAGAGTGCAGCTTTGAGAGGTGGAATCTAGGAAGGCATCCCAGGTTATTAGAACGCAGGGAAATGGAGCTCGATACAGAGAATGCAGAGTCCCAAAGCCGAGTGCAATAGCAGGAAAGGAGAGCTGGGCTTTCCTGATGGGGAACAACTCCATGTTCAGCAGTGTAATGTGCACAGACGTGAAAAGGCAGAAAGAGACATGCCCCAGGAGGAGACAGCTGAAGCAGGTAACTCTAAGAAAATGAAGCAGTCTGGGGAGCCCAACCTGGTTTCTGGAGACTTAATTGCCTTAAGAAAGTACTGGTCCTAGGCCTATGTGGTGGCTCACGCCTGTAATCCCAGTATTTTGGGAGGCCAAGGCGGGCAGATCACCTGAGGTCAGGAGTTCAAGACCAGCCTGACAAACATGGTGAAACTCCATCTCTACTAAAAATACAAAAATTAGCTGGGTGTGATGGCGGATGCCTGTAGTCCCAGCTACTCGGGAGGCTGAGGCAGGAGAATTGCTTGAACCCTGGAGGCGGAGGTTGCAGTGAGCGGACATCGCGCCATTGCACTCCAGCCTGGGTGACAGTGAGACTCTGTCTCAAAAAAAAAAAAAAAAAAAAAAAAAAGAAAGAAAGAAAGTACCGGTCCTGTGGGCCAGGAAGCCCACAGAAAAGATCCTGGGAGGAGGATGTGAAGTACCAGAACCTGGACAGACACTTTGGCTGGAAGACTTGGCTGCTCTGTAGGGAGAAGTGCTTAATTGCACCTGCTTGTCCTGTTGGTTACCTGGTGCTTTCATACTGGTGCACGGGGCTTGTTTAGGAAACTGAATTCCAGGCTGTGCTAAGTGCCCCTCCCTTTCTTTCCATAGCCTCCTTTCTCAAAACTGGCCAGAGATGGAAATGATCTGTGTATGTTTCCATCACTATTCCGTGAATGCCTTTAGGGTACCACAGAACCCAGCACACAGTAGGTGCTCAATGAAAATCTCCTGAATGCTTGGTTTTTCCAAGGCTGGCTTTAGCAACAGTCATTGTCTACTTCTCAGGGCTGACTTGCTGAGTCAGGACCTCAGCCTCCTCATCTGTAAAGTGGTGGGGTTGGACCCAGTGACCCTGAGGGTCCATTTGAGCTCAAATGTCCTATGAGTCTATGATTTTTTGACTTCAGAGTCCAGAAATCTCTTGGATCATGTCCCCTAAGGAGATGCCAGGGTTCCTTTCCAGCTTGCAAACCTGTTTTTCAGCCACAGATGGGCCTCCAGGGCAGCAGGGAAGCCGGGAGCCAAGAGGCTGCCTTGTGCGAGTGAGCGATCTGTGCAAGGATGATTTGTGAGGGCAGAGCGGAGGGCAGCAGGGCTGGGGTTTCCCGGGGCTGCTGGCGCACTCCGACATCTGCTATTTTTCACTCCAGTGAGACTGATTTGCTCCAGATGGGCCCCTGCAGACTGTTTTTGGCTGTGCTGGGAAGTGTGGCGGCTGGCTGTGTTTCATCTCTGAGCCCTCTAAGAGACAGCAGAGCACGTGTTAACTGCTTCAGCTAAAAGGCCAGCAGATTCTACAAGAGGGCCCCAGTTCCAAATGATCCCTTCTGAGCAGATGGATTTTTATTTCCCTGAGGCATTACTCTCACTTCAAAGAAAGGTCTGCTCTGGATCTCATGGAGGAATACCTGGTTTGGTGGGCCTTAGTTAGGAAAAATCTTTCAACTGGAGGGAAGACTGTTTTATTGGGTTAAGTCAGATCTTTGGGTCAGTGTCTGTGGTTCTTCTCCAGCTAACAGAACTTTGACTTTACTGAAGGGGACCCTACCACCTTTCGTAGACTCAAGCTTTACTAGCAAGACCACTTTAGGAAGCTTCCTCTATAAGCCTTAGCTGACTGAGCCCTTCCCTTGGGGGCCAAATCTGGTGACTTTCTGAGTCTTTATTTCACAAAGCTGCTTGACAGAGGATAAAGACTTCCTTGGCCAGGAGTCAGGAAACTTGGTTTGGAAGCATGAACCTGTTGCTTCCTGGCTGAGTGATCTTGGATGGGTTATTTGACTCTCCAGCACCTCCATTTCATTTGTAACTTATGATGCTAGTATCTTTTCAAGGTCTGATGCTCATTGGGTCTATAATTTTCAGTTTTCTCAGAGATAAGCATTGCTGGGAGCAGTGGGGACCAGCCTTTCTAAACATAAAGAATCTAGGGACAATGTCACAGTTTTTGCAAGACCCAAGGACAACTCTTATTTGCATGGACCTTTGTCAGGGCAACCCATAGATACACTGAGCAGTGGTGAGGGTCCTGGATTCTGACCTTGAGGGGCTCAGCCAACAGAGGTGGGCCAATGCGGACCCCTGTAGCACCTTTGGCCTGGGTGGTAGGTGAAGACTTGACTTCCACTGTGGGTTTTTCCTCCACTAACTTTACCAGATAGCTTTTTTTCCTTCTTTCTTTTTTTCCCCTATCTCCTTCATCCTAGTCCATTTGTGCTGCTAATGGACAATACAAAAATACCATAGATGAAGTGGCTTAAACAAAAAGCCATTCATTTCTCACAGCTCTGGAGACTGGAAATTGCTGGCAGATTCGGTGTCTGGTGCAGGCCTGGTTTCTGGTTCACAGATGGCTGCCTTCTGTGCATGACAGGGAGCAGAGAGCTCCCTGGGGTTTCATTTTTAAGGGCACTAATCCCATTCATGAGGGTTCAACAAAGTTGAACACACATAGGCTCTTACTAAATATTTAGATTTACATAGGAGCAAACCATCATGACTGAAAATGCTTTGAGATATTTGCAGGGAAAAAGGAAAAGAGAAAGGAGAGGGAAAGTTGAAGAGAGAAAAAGAAAGAGGGGAGGTATGGTAGATTCATACCGTGCCTATTTAGCTAAGCTGGATTTATGTTTCTTGAAATCCCCTTCTGTTATGGTTTGAATGTGTCCCCCAAAAGTTCATGTATTGGAAAGTTGGTCCCCAGTGCAACAGCATTGAGAGGTGAGACCTTTGGGAGGTGATTGGGTCATGAGGGCTCTGCCTTCATGAATAGATTAATACATTAATGGATTATCAAGGGAGTGGGTTAGTTATCATGAGGGTAGGTCTGTTATAAAAAGCCATGTTGGCTGTCTCTTGTGAGCCCTTCTCACTCTGTGTTGCCTTCTGCCATGTTATGTTGCAGCACGAGGCCCTCATCAGAAGCCGGCCAGATGTATCTGCTGGATCTTGGACTTTCCAACCTCCAGAAGCCAAGCCAAAATAAACCTCTTTCCTTTTAAAATTACTCAGTCTTGGGAATTCTGTTATAGCAACAGAAAACAAACTAAGACACCTTCCCTGCTTAGTTCTGGCTTAACCTGGGCCTTAAGGGACATTGTACATAATATTTGGAAGGTGGATGTGAAACAGCAGCCATATTCTTGATTCACTTGGAAGGTGAGTGCAGGCATGGGACTCTGTTGCGGCTCATGTGGGCTGGCACTGATCTATGCTTCACCTAATTGGCTTCAGCTTCTCTGATTCCTGGGCCAGGTGTGCAATTGGCTCCATAAGGAAGGACACCTGCTTCTTTCTCCTTTGATCAGCCCCATTATTGAAGGTGGAGACTTAGAGATGATGAGACACCAGTGCATGGTCCAGCCTATCCTTGTGGGTTGCAGATTGTTTTTGCTCTTTTCTACTTTATGTTCATCTTCCCTTCCCACCCACCTACCCCATGGTCTTCTGCAGTAGCCACAGCAGCAACAGCTGGAGCATGGCCCAGGCATTGATTTTTCGAAAAAGCTCCCCATGGGCTCTGGGGGAACATTACCCATATGCCATATCTGGAGGGCAAAGAGAAAGAGGAAAGGAGGAAGTGGTTAGAGATGGTGGCTGGGATTTCTAAGAGCTGGAGGATAAAATGTGAGAGTCAAGGAGAGGGATTCAGGGTTGAGTCCAGGGATGGAGAATATGTTGGGTCCACTCCTTTTTGGAGGACTTAAGGACCCCGTGGGTTGTGTAGCATACCCCTCTGCTACTCCTTAAGAGGAAAAAGGCAATTTCTGATACCAACAAGCAGAGCAGGGGAATTGCCACATGCCACTTTGGATCATCATAAATGGTATCTTTGTGTTTTTCTCCATGCCATGGCAGGAAATCTGAGATGACTCTGACAAGAGTTTTCAGACTTTCTAGCAGGTAAAAATGGTGTTGTTGCAGAATACTGGGAAGGAGACCGTATTCCCTCTTTGTTAATGTGTACAGCATCCTGAGGTCAAAGATGGATACTTGGCTCAGCAGGATAGAGGATTACAGCCTCCAATGTCAGCTAGTTGCTAACTGCTTTTGGGGACTCATGCTGTTCCTGGCTTTTACTGTTCCAAAGGACAACAGTGTGTCTATAAGTGAGGTCCTTTGGGTCAGAGATATAAGCAAGGCTGGAACTTTGGGGGAAAAACCAAACTGGACATTTCCACGAAAAGGAAAGCTCCAACTGATTTTAAGAGCTTGAGGATAAATGCAATGCCACTCAAACCTCACAGCATCAATGTATTAATGGATAGACTGGGACCCAAAAGCCCAGAGTGAGTAAGGATGAGCTAACACAAATTGTTGGGTTGCTTCCTTAGAAAACCCCCGGATATTAGATCAATTTTATAGATAAGGAAACTGAGGTATGGAGTGGTTAAGGAACTCATTTGATGTCACACAGTAAGTGGCATGGCTGGGATCTAAACTAAGTCATCTGGGTCCAAGGTTCACACTTTTTGTTTCCTTTCCTTTCCTTTCCTTCTTTTCTCCCTCTTCCTCCCTTTTCCTTCCTTCATTCCTTCCTTCCTTCCTCCCTCTCTCCCCTCCCCCTCCCCTCCCTCCCTTTTTCCCTCCCTCCCTCCTTCTTCTCTCCTTCCTTCTTCCTTCCTTCCTCCCTCCCTCCTTCCCGCCTTCTTCCTTCCTTCCTTTTTCCCTCCTTCCCTTCTCCCTTCCTCCCTCCCTCCCTCCCTCCTTTCTTCCTTCCTTCTTCTCTCTGGTATTTGCATATGTTTTAACATAATTAAGCATATTATAAATCCAGCATGAAGAGTTATGGAAAGAAAGAAAAGAAAAAATTTCACATTCACAATCCCAGACTCTAATATACTCTTAAAATGTTTATATCTTTTTTTTCCTGTGCACACTTTTAGAATGGTGGCCATTTGAACTTAGATACTATATTGCAAGTATTTTGATTTTTTCACTTAATCTTTGTATTAATAATAATCTTTTGCATTTTCTTACACTCTTCTTATCTTTAGGTTTATTAGGCAGTGTGCTAAGAACTGGGAATCCCAAAGAGAGGAAGAGAGGAAAGCCCCAGTCCTCATGGAGCTGCCTACCTACTGGGGAATTGAACGAAGTTATAATATAGAGTCCCCATAAGAATTTACATTTCCCAGGTTTTCTCATTACCCTTGGTGCAAAGTCATGAAGCTGCATTCTACACCATTTATTGTTTTGGACCATATCCTACTCTTACTTGTTTTCTCTGATACTTGCCAGCCCTTGAGTTGTCTTTGTTGCTCTTGTCAGATTCTCTAGAGTCAACACATCTCTCAAGCTGAGGTCTCAGTCACTTTCCACTTGCCTGTTTTTCCTTTGTATCATAACAGGCTTTAAAAAAGGCTTTCTGCCTTACTTTGAAAGCTGTGTCTTTTTGCTTTCTTTATTCACTAATCCATCTCTCTCTCCTTCTCTTTTCTTTATTTTTTGAGACACAGTTTCAGTCTGTTGCCCAGGCTGAAGTGCAGTGGGGCGATCTCGGCTCACTGCAGCCTCCGCTTCCCAGGTTCAAATGATTCTAGTGCCTCAGCCTCCTGAGTAGCTGGGATTACAGGCACCCGGCACCATGCCCAGCTAATTTTTGTATTTTTAGTAGAGATGGGGTTTCACCATGTTGGCCAGGATGGTCTCAAATTCCTCGCCTCTAGTGATCTGCTCACCTTGGCCTCCCAAAGTGCTGGGATTACAGGCATAAGCCCAGCCTCCATCTCTCTTTTAGAACTCTGCTATGTAATAACAATTGTTTTAAATGTATTTTTATATAATGACATGAAGAAAAGTACAACATAGTTGTACATAAAATATTTAATCCCCTTTTGTTGGGCACTTAGATCGTGCCCCTTTTCCTCCATGATTTATAATGTGGTGGGGAACATCTTCCATGAATGCCATTGTCCTTTCCATTCACTGCATTCTCACCTTCCCTCCTTAAAACAGACATCCTCAATCCCTGAGCCACGGGTTGGTACTGATCCGTGGCCTGTTAGGAACTGGGTTGCGCAGCAGGAGATGAGCAGCAGGCAAGTGAGCAAAGCTTCATCTGTATTCACAGCTGCTTCCCATCACTCTCATTACTGCCTGAACTCCATCTCCTGTCAGATTAGTGGCAGCATTTGAGTCTCATCTGAGCATGAACCCTATTGTGAACTGCACATGTGCGAGGGATCTGGGTTGCATGCTGCTTATGAAAATCTAATGCCTGATGATCTGTTGCTGTCTCCCATCACCCCCAGATGGGACTCTCTAGTTGCAGGAAAACAAGCTCAGCACTCCCACTGATGATGGTGAGTTGTAGAATTATTTCATTATATATTACAATGTAATAATAATAGAAATAAAATGCACAATAAATGTAATGCAGTTGAGTCATCCCCAAACCACCCCCCCCTCCGCCCAACCACCCCACTGAATTGGTACTTGGGAAAATTGTCTTCCATGAAGCTGGTCCCTGGTGTCACAAAGGTTGGGGACTGCTGCCTTAAAACATTCTGCCTTTTAACTTCTTTGTGGCCAAATCCAATAGGCCTTTGTCCATGTTCATCTCACTTTACCTGTCTGCAGCGCTGAGCACTTTCTCCTTCTCAGCACACTTTTTCTTCTTGGCTTCTGTGGCGTGTTCTTACCTGGTTCAAGCTGAGCTATTTTTTCTCACTCTTCCACCACTTCCTCTCTAGCAGCTCCTTAGCATGGGTGCCCCCTTTTGCCTCCCTGCTCTCCAATCTCCTAACTGTGCATGTGTGCTTTGGGCAATCAGGTCCACTTTGATGCCTTAAACTGACATCCATTTGTTGATTCCGACTCTATATTTCTGACCTTGACCTGCAAGCTTATATAGTAGTGATATTGGTCTAAGTCATACTCATTTTAGGACCTGATCTTCAATGAGCCTAATTCAGCCACGTACTGTTCTAAGCACTTTCTATGTGTCATTTAACTTGATCCATGAACTCCTTTGTAGCACTTATTATTATTGTCGTTATTTAAGGAAAGTGGAGTCTCTTCGATGTCCTCACCTGAATGTTCTACAAATCAAGACCTATCACTTCTACTTCCTTCATATCTCCTGAGTTCTCCTTCTTCCCATCTCCATCTGCCCCATCTGTGGTTTGGACTCTAATACCTCTCTCCTTGACAACTGTAGCATCCCTCTCTCCCTTCCCTTTCCTTCCTTCCTTCCTTCCTTCCTTCCTTCCTTCCTTCCTTCCTTCCTTCCTCCCTCCCTCCCTCCCTCCCTCCCCCCTCCCCCCTCCGCCCTTTCCCCTTCCCTTTCCCTTCCCCTTCCCTCACTCTGTAGCCCAGGCTGGAGTACCATGGCACTATCTCAGCTCACTGTAACCTCTGGCTCCGGGGTTCAAGTGACTCTTCTGCCTCAGCCTCCTGAGTAGCTGGGACTACAGGCACGTGCCACCACGCACAGCTAATTTTTTTGTATTTTAGTAGAGATGGGGTTTCACCATGTCGTCCAAGGTGTTCTCAAACTCCTGAGCTCAGGAGTTTCACCCGCCTCAGCCTCCCAAAGTGCTGGGATTACAGGCATGAGCTGCTGTGCCTGGCCGGACAATTGTAGCATCTTTCTAACATCCTACAGTCCCAAACTCTTCTGCAAGTATCCTTATTGTACCAGATTGACCCTCCTAAAGTAAAATACCATCTGTCTGCCCAGCTTGGACCAAAACTTAGGATGAAAGCATTTTCCCCTTGTCTTCTGTCTCTTGTCTTCAGCACAGATTTGTGCACTGCCCTCACCAAATGCATTGCATATTTCCACTTAGTTTTGCCATCATCTTCCAGCCACCCTTCCTGGGGCTATATCTGCCATGAGGTAGGGTATGTGTGGCTCCTCCCTATGCCTCCTCCTTCCCTTTGGTGCAGGGCTCTGAGCATGCCTGGAGCAGACCTCTTCTTCTGGGGTCTGGACATGAGTGTTGCAGAGTGATTTACACTTGGGTGGGATTAAAACCATGCTGCATCTTTGCTCCCCGGGCCCTACTAATCAGTAAGCCAGTTTTCTGTTTTGTTTTGTTTTGTTTTTTTTGGAGACGGAGTCTCACTCTGTCGCCCAGGCTGGAGTGCAGTGGTGTGATCTCGCCTCACTTCAACCTCCACCTCCCGGGCTCAAGCGATTCTCCTGCCTCAGCCTCCCAAGTAGCTGAGATTACAGGCATGCAGCACCATGCCCAGCTAATTTTTGTACTTTTAGTAGAGACGGGGTTTCACCCTGTGGGCCAGGCTGGTCTCGAACTCCTGACCTCCAGTGATCCGCCTGCATTGACCTCCCAAAGTGCTGGGATTACAGGCGTGAGCCACCTTGCCCGACCGTAAGTCCAGTTTTGAGAAGGACATCCCGTGTATTTTGCAGAAAAAACTAGAGTGGGCTGATGTGCACACAGCCAGCTGAAGCTCGTCCAGCCCTTGGACCCAGAACTCATAATCTGGGCCAAGACATGGTGTTCACATTCCTTGAATGCTGGTCAGTTACCATGCCCCACAATCCTTGCTCAGGGTCGGGGAGGCAGCGGGGGACTCGCCTGGCCAGCCATTGCATTTCAGGAAAGGCAGACTCAGAGAATAAGCAGGGCAGGCCCCAGGCTTGACAGGAAGATTCTGGGGAGTAGAAAGACTTTGGGAAAGCATTCCTGGGTGTGATTAAAACAGCATGTTCCTTTGAAAACAGAAGAGAGCAGCCACTGTTCCCCGGTGTTTGCTCAGAGCCTGAGTGACCCAGGCAGTTTCTTTCCATTTGCTTGATGGGCTGTGATGACAGCACTTGCAGCCACTGAGCCGGCACAGGCTGGTTGTAAGTCACAGGGGTTGCCCATTCCAGGAGGAGAAAAGAGTTTCAAATTTCCACCAAGAAAGAATCTGTCAATGTCTTTCAGAAACCCCAGGCTGTGAGAAGTGTGGCCATGTGCTTTCCCCTCCAGCCAACCAGAGAAAGGCCAAAAGTAAAAGGACCTGATAAAATCACCCCATTGTCTTTTAGGAAGAAGTTTGTTTTAAGTAACACCCTTAAACTTGTTCAAATAAGTCTTTTTTTTTTTGTTTTTTGAGACGGAGTCTCGCTCTGTTGTCCAGGCTGGAGTGCAGTGGCACGATCTCGACTCACCGCAAGCTCCGCCTCCCAGGTTCACGCTATTCTCCTGCCTTAGCCTCCTGAGTAGCTGGGACTACAGGTGCCCGACACCATGCCTGGCTAATTTTTTGTATTTTTAGTAGAGACAGGGTTTCACCATGTTAGCCAGGATGGTCTCGATCTCCTGACCTTGTGATACGCCTGCCTTGGCCTCCTGAAGTGCTGGGATTACAGGCATGAGCCACTGTGCTCGGCCTTTTTTTTTTTTTTTTTGAATCTTGCTTTGTCGCCCAGGCTGGAATGCAGTGGCATAATCTCGGCTCACTGCAACCTCTGCCTCCTGGGTTCAAGTGATTCTCCTGCCTCAGCCTCTTGAGTAGCTGGGATTACAGGCGCTTGTCACCATGCCTGGCTCATTTTTGTATTTTTAGTAGAGATGGGGTTTTGCTATGTTGACCAGGCTGGTCTCGAACTTGTGACCTCAAGTGTTCCACTCGCTTTGGCCTCCCAAAGTGCTGGAATTACAGGCATGAGCCACTGCGCCCGGCTTCAGCTAAGTCTTTTAATCCTTGGACCATGCCAGTAATTTGTCTTAAAGAAATAATTAGAGGCTGGGGATGGTGGCTCACACGTGCAATCCCAGCACTTTGGTAGGCCAGGGTGGGTGGATTGCTTGAGCCCAAGAGTTCGAGGCCAGCCTGGGCAACACAGACAGACCTCGTCTCTGCAAAAAATAAAAAAATTGGCCAGGTGTGGCGTGTACCTGCACCTAGGTACTTGGGTGGCTGAGGTAGGAGGATCGCCTGAGCTAGTGAGCTGCAGTGAGCTATGATCATGCCACTGTACTCCAGCCTGGTTGACAGAGCAAGACCCTGTCTCAAAAACAAAAATTAGAAAAGATTACCCAAGATTTATACAGAAACATACTCGGCACAGGGTTTTATCATAGCAAGAACAACAAAACAGTATACACATGCACACATACAGACACAGAAACATATTAAATATACAATTATAGGGACAAACTTAATGTAAGTACACGCATGTTGAACTCTGCTTAGCCACTTAAAAAGCATATTTTCCAGGAAATATGAGAGACCTAGAAAAATGCTCATACTACAAAATTAAGCACATAAAACACATATATATATGAATAGAAGAAAAATAGAAATATTCTCAAATATCAATAATTTCTAAGAAACAGGATTACGAGTGGTTTTTAAAATGTTATTTGTTATACTTTTATGTACATTCAAACATTTTCAACACCATATGCTGAGGTTATAGTCTATTAAAAAAAGACATTAAAAAAGATATTTAGGCTGGGTGCCATGGCTCACGCCTGTAATTCCAGGACTTTGGGAGACCAAGGTTGGGGGATTGCTTGAGAATGGGCTCAGGAGTTTGAGACCAGCCTGGGCAACATGGCAAAAACCTGTCACTACAAAAAATACAAAAATTAACGGGGCATGGTGGCGCACACCTGTGGTACTAGCTACTCTGGAGGCTGAAACTGGGGGATTGCTTGAGCCTGCAAGGTTGAGGCTGCAGTGAGCTGTGATTGCGCCATTGCACTCCAGCCTGGGTGACAGAGACCTTGTCGCTAAAACAAAAAACAACAACAAAAAAAACCTTAAAACCTTAACAAGGTCAGTCTTTTCCTGGTGTGGAGTTCAGGAAATGAGATTCACCCCATGGGTCATGTGCACATGTTTGTTCTATTAGGAATGAAGGAACAAGAGGACCAGGGTTACTGGGCACAAGCAAATAATCACACAAGAAACTTGAGACATTATGACTGTCTTTGGATATCTGAAACGGAATCAGGGTTTGGGATGTCCCAAGGGCTAGGTCAGAGCTGCCCGAAAGAGATCAAAGGGGTCTTTTTTGTTTTGTTCTTTTCTTTTCTCTCTCTCTTTCTCTTTTTTTTTTTTTTTTTGAGGTTGAGTTTCACTCTGTCACCCAGGCTGGAGTGCAATGGCATGATCTCAGCTCACTGCAACCTTCACCTTCCAGGTTCAAGCAATTCTGCCTCAGCCTCCCGAGTAGCTGGGATTACAGGTGTGTGCCACCACACCCGGCTAATTTTTTGTAGTTTTAGTAGAGACAAGGTTTCACCTTGTTGGTCAGGCTGGTCTCGAACTCCTGACTTCAGGTGATCCACCTGCCCCGGCCTCCCAAAGTGTTGGGATTATAGGCATGAGCCACTGCGCCTAGCCTGTTTCTATTTTTTAAGAGACAGGGTCTCACATTGTCACCCAGGCTGGAGTATGGTGGCATGATCATAGCTCACTGAAACCTCAAACTCCTGGGCATAAGCCATCCTCCTGCCTCAGCCTCCCAAGTAGCTGTGACTAAAGGCGCTTGCCACCATGCCTGGCTAATTTTAAATGTTTTGTGGAGATGAGGTTTTGCTGTGTTGCCCAGGCTGGTCTCAAACTCCTGGATTGGAGCAGGAGCTTGCAAAAAGGGGTGTGTTCCATGCTATGCCCCCCGACCTCTGCCTACTATAATTGTTAGTTGTAGTTGGCCGAATGGCACCGCCCCAAGCCAGAAATCTGGGATCATCCTTGTTTGATTTCTCTGCCCCACCCAATTGATCTCCAAGTGCATCTTTTAAATGGTCTTAAGAAATGTCTTCTACATCTCCATTGCTTTATTTCAGGAAACCCTCATCTCCTGACTGGGCTATTGAAAAGATTCCCGGTTTTCCCTCTTTCAATTTGAGCTTATCGCTACAGCCAGACCATTCTTTCTGAAATGCAAATCTCCTGCTATACCCTTACTTAAAACCCCTTCATGGCTCTCCATTGCTTTCAAGATGGAATCCAAACTCAACCTGGTTTACAAAGTCCTTCTCAATTTAACCCGAGTTTCTCAGCCTCATCTCTCCAACCTTTGCCTCACGCCCTTTGCTCTCCTTGCCACTCAAGTCTCCTAACTGATCCCTGAAATTGGCAGGCCCTTTCAACCCCCATGCCCCTATTCCATCGCCTTCCTCTTCTCCATCTGGGAAATTCTTTTCATCCCTTTGGAGTCAGCTCACTGTCGTCCCCCACCAAGCAGAACACATGTTCCCCTTCACTGCGTTTCCTTAAAACCACACAGTGCTTCTGTTCACATTCATGATCAGTTGTTGGTGGCTCTCCTAAATGCTTTGGTTCAAAGGAATCTAAGGGTACTTCTCAGTTATGGGAGATGAGTCAGGATGTTTGTTATTATTGCAGTATAATAAATGACCCCTAAACTTAAAAGCTTAAAATGATAATAATGATTTAGTTTGCTCATGAGTTTGAAGTTTGAGCAGGACTTAATGGAGACAGCTGTATCTGCTTCATATGGCATTAGCTCGGAAGATGGACTGAGTGGATCAGCTGGAATATCCACTTCCAAGATGGTGCACTCACATGGCTGGCAAGCTGGTGCTGGCTGGCTGTTGGCTGGGAACTCTTGTCTGGGGGTCTCAGCTCCTCTCCACATGGGAGTCTCACAGGGCTTCTTGGGCTTTCTGGTAGGGTGGTGGCTGCATTCCAAGAGTGTTTCAAGAGTCCTTGGAGGAAGCCACTTCTGCCACATTTAACTGATCAAGCAAGTTACTAAGGCCAGTCCAGATCCAAGGGGAGGGGAAGTAGAATCCACCTTTCAATGGGAAGAGTTACAAAAAAAGTTTCCCTGGACATTAAAGAGGATAGGGGTGTCACAAATAATGGCCTATTTTCTAATTTTTTTCTAACCAACAAAAGTAATCTCACAGTAGGATAGTATGGATGTTCTTGAGATTGCAGAAATATTAAAGCCCTAGAGCCAATGTGTTGGATCTTGCAGTTGGAATGAGTTGCCTGGGAAGGCCTTCAGCTGCCCACCAGGATAGGTGGACAAACATGGGTTGGCAACTGCTTTGTGGAGATGTTGTAGAGAGCAGTCAAGCTTCAATGGGATTGGCTTGAGGAAAAGGAAATATATTTAGTTATATTTATTAGTTGCCTGTGAATAGCTATTGTCATAACACTAGCCTGGTGTTCCCATCTCCAATTATTAGGCTCGGGGATTGAGCAGAGACTGGATGATGATGGTGGTGGTGCTGATGGTGGTGATGATAGTGATGGTGGTGATGGTAGTGACGATGATGATGGTGATGGTGATGGTTATAATGATAATGACAATAGTGATGATGATTGTGATGATGATGGTGGTGATGGTGGTGATGGTGGTGGTGATGATGATAAATAATGGTGATGATAATGGTGGTGATGATGGTGGTGGTGATGATGGTGATGATGATGATAGTCATGATGATGATGGTGATGATAATGGTGGTGGTAATGATAGTGGTGGTGATGATGGTGGTGATGATGGTGATGGTGATGATGATGGTCATATTGATGATAAAAATGATGATGATGTTCATGGTGATGATAATGGTGGTGATGGTGGTGGTGGTGATCATGGTGATGATGGTGATGATGATGATGGTGATGATAATGGTGGTGATGATGATAGTGGTGATTATGATGGTGATGGTGATGATGGTGATGGCGATGGTGATGGTCATAGTGATGATGATGATAAAAGTGATGATGATGGTGGTGATGGTCATGGTGATGGTGATGGTGATGATGATAATCATGATGATGATGGTGATGATAATGGTGGTGATGATGGTGGTGGTGATGATGGTGATGGTGATGATGGTGATGGTGATGATGGTGATGATAATGGTGGTGGTGATGATGGTGATAATGGTGGTGGTGATGGTGGTGATGATGGTGATGGTGATGATGGTGATGATAATGGCAGTGATGATGATGGTGATGATGGTGTATGCCTGTAATCCCAGCTACTCGGGAGGCTGAGGCAGGAGAATCGCTTGAACCTGGGAGGTGGAGGTTGCAGTGGTTGCAGTGAGCCGAGGGCACCCCATTGCACTCCAGCCTAGGTGACGAGAGCAAAACTTCGTCTCAAAAAAAAAAAAAAATATATATATATATTAGAAAATTCCAGGCTGGACACCCTGTCTCATGCCTGTAATCCCAGCACTTTGGGATTCCAAAGTGAGAGGATCACTTGAGGCCAGGAGTTCGAGACCAGCCTGGGTAACATAGTGAGACCCCATCTCTACCAAACAAAACAAATCAAAACAAAACAAAAAATTAGTGGGACATGATGATGCATGCCTGTGGCCCCAGCTACTTGGGAGGCTGAGGTGGAAGGATGGCTTGAGCCCAGGATTTTGAGACCCAAATGAGCTGTGATTGCACCCTACCCTCCAGCCTGGGCAACAGAGCAAGACCCTATCTCAAAAAAAAATATATATGTGTGTATATATATATATATATATATTCCAGCATTTGATGAGGAGCTGACTTTTAAAAATCCTTCTGAGGCAGGGAGCAGGCGGGGTTACAGCCGGTCTGCGTACTGGTTTTGAATGTAACTCTGAACCACCTGGCATATATTTTCTGCACAAATTGGCATCTTTGCTGGCCCTGGAGAATGAAGCATGATCTTCAAGCAACCCAAACCTCCCACATACGTATCTGAGTTCCCAGGGCACATCCAGGTCCCTTAATAATCTCGCTCTTTTTTTTTTTTTTCACATGTAGCTCTCCCTGTTTAATGTGTAGTTCTCACTCCTTCCTACACACTCCCCCTGCTCTTTCAAGTCAAGTTTAAGGGTTTTCTCCCCTGTGGATATCCCTTATTACCCCAGCCAGAGTGAGGGCTCCTTTTGTGCTCACCCCACCCTTGGCCCATGTATCTGAGTTAACACCTATGACATGTAATTATCCTTAGGATTTTCTACCTCTCTGTCTCAAAAAACTATAGGCAGCGACTATCTCTTATTCTGCTCCAAATCCTTACTTCCTCGCACAGTGTGGGAACTTCATCAGTGTTCTTATTTTATTTTTTTAGAGACAGGAGTCTCGCTCTGTTGCCCAGGCTGGAGTGCAGTGGCACCATCATACCTCACTGAAGCCTTGAACTCTTGGGTTCATCAAGCAATCCTCCTGTCTTAGCCTCCTGAGTTGCTGGGACTACAAGTGAGTGCCATTATGTCCAGCTAATTTTTGTTTATTTATTTTTTTATAGAGACAGGGTCTTGCTATGTTGCCCAGGCTGGTCTTGAACTCCTGGCCTCAAGCATTTCTCCCTCCTTTGTATCCCAAAGTGCTGGGATTATAGGCATGAGCCACTGTGCCTGCTACATCGATGTTTTTATTTTTTTTTTTGAGACAGGGTCTCACTCTGTCGCCCGGGCTGTAGTGAGTGGCATGATCTTGGCTCACTGTAACCTCCTTCTCCCAGGTTCAAGCGATTCTCCTGCCTCAGCCTCCTGGGTAGCTGGGATTACAGACATATGCCACCATGCCCCGGCTAATTTTGTATTTTTAATAGAGATGGGGTTTCACCACGTTGGCCAGGCTGAGCTCGAACTCCTGACCTCAAATGTTCCACCCTCCTTGGCCTCCCAAAGTGCTGGGATTACAGGCGTGAGCCACTGTGCCTGGCTTCATTGATGTTTTTAAATGAATGATCCCGTCAAACCCTAACCCTAGCAGCAGTATCTGATAGCGGTGAAGCCCTAAGCCTATTGTTAGGGTTTTACAGATAAACAGTGGGGTGAGGGCTTTACTGCTATCCGGTACTGCTGCTTGGGAACATCTCTCTCTCTTGCTCTCTAATCTCTATTTGTCTTCTTGAACCAGTAACTCATTGCCAGTTTTTAGATGACTTTTAAGTTCAGGGGTCCAAGTGCAGGTTTATTACACAGGTAAACTTGTGTCATAGGAGTTTGTTGTACAGATTATTTCATCACCCAGGTACTAAGCCTAGTACCCATTAGTCACTTTTTTCTCATCCTCTCCCTCCTCCCACCTTCCACCCTCCAATAGGCCCAGTGTCTGTTGTTTCCCTCTGTGTGTCCAAGTGTTTTCATCCTTTAGCTTTTTTTCTTTTTTTCTTTTTTTTTTTTTTGGAGACTGGGTCTCACTCTGTTGCCCAGGCTGGAGTGCAGTGGTGTGATCTTGGCTCACTGCAACCTCTGCCTCCCAGGTTCAAGCGGTTCTCCTGCCTCAGCCTCACAAGTAGCTGGGATTATAGGCACCCGCCACCATGCCCAACAAATTTTTGTATTTTTAGTAAAGATGGAGTTTCACCATGTTAAACAGGCTGGTCTTGAACTCCTGGCCTCCAGTGATCCATTTGCTTCAGCCTCCCAAAGTGCTGGGATTATAGGCGTGAGTCATCATGCCTGGCCCTTTAGCTCCCACTTACAAGTGAGGACATGAGGTATTTGGTTTTCTCTTCCTGTTTTAGTTTGCTAAGGATAATGATCTCCTTTTAACGAGCTCCAATAACCAGAACTCTTTAGTTCTCAAACTTGATCATTCATCGGAATTACCTAGAAGCCTTGTTAAAACCCTAGTTTAAAGCCCCAGAACCCAGCCGGGAATGGTGACTCATGCCTATAATCCCAGTACTTTGGGAGGCCGAGGGGGGCAGAGCACCTGAGGTCGGGAGTTCGAGACCAGCCTGGCCAACATGGTGAAACCCCCGTCTCTACTAAAAATCCAAAAACTTGCCGGGTGTGGTGGTGTATGCATGTAATCCCAGCTACTGGGGAGGCTGAGGCAGGAGAATCACTTGAACCCAGGAGGCACAGGTTGCAGTGAGCAGAGATTATGCCATTGCACTCCAGCCTGGGTGACAGAGCAAGGCTCTGTCTCAAAAAAAAAAAAAAAAAAAAACCCAGAACCCAGCATGCCTAGTCAGTAGGTTTGGGGTGAGACTCACAAATGTTCACTTCCCACAAGTTCCCAGGGGTTGTTGCTGTGGCTGGGCTGGGGCCTGCTCTGAGAACCGCTGTTTGAGACCACGTGCACCAGAATGCCTTTCAGCCTTTCCATCATTTTTTTTTTGGTTGTTTGTTTTTAGAATCCACAAAATGTATGCACTGTAGTTTGAGTCCATCAATATATGGCTCAATTTCTGTTTTTAATGATAACTCGAGGAAACAGAAATGTATCTTGTTGTGAAAAATGTTACCTCCATCAAACAAATGCCTAACACCACAGCATTAGAATTGCACTCTGATCTTTCCATTTATTCAAAACAGCATTAAGTGATTTGATTTATTAGTGGCAGCCTGGGGTGGGGGGAGGAGACTCTGATAGTCACAAAACCAACGCATATGCGAAGAGTGGGCTTTGCAATGTGCTTAGAATAAGTGGAGGAATTTCTTTTGAGGAATGTACTTTGTCTGACATAGGAAGGTGCATGAAATATGAATGAATAGAATGCTTGCTGTTAAAAATTTCTTTTCATGAGCTACAACATAGATAAATTAGAGATTTAAGTGCAGGGGACCTCAGACTTCAGACAGCTGGAGAGGGAAGAAGATGGGAAAAGGAAAATAATTTTCTCTTCTTTCTTTTTTAAAGACAGGGTCTTACTCTGTTGCCCAGGCGGGAGTGCAGTGACACAATCTCAGCTCACTTCAACCTCCACTTCCTGCTTCCCGGGCTGAAGGCAACGTCCCACTTCAGCCTCCTGAGTAGCTGGGGCCACAGGTGTGTGCCACCATGCCCAGCTAATTTTTTGTATTTTTTGGTAGAGACAGGGTTTTGCCATGTTGCCCAGGCTGGTCTTGAACTCCTGAGCTGAAGCAATCTGCTTGCCTTGGCTTCCCAAAGTGCTGGGATTACAGGTGTGAGCCATGGTGCCCGGCCAGGAAAATGATTTTCAAACATCCTTGATCACCTGTCTCCCTCTGCTTAGGTGCCTGTAGGCTTTCTTGTGTATTATGTGCTTCTCTTCTAGGCAAAGATGGTGAAGACCCGAGGAGAGGCAATATGCATATAGTTGAATTTGCTTAAGAGGGATGAGAATTTTATGCAGGAATTAGGCAATCCCAGATATGGGATCTGCCAGCCACTCAGCACTGGATCAAAATTTTCTAGCCTGGATAAAACTCCGGTCTTTACCAAACTAGTTTCCCAGTGTTTCTGGCCACCATCTCTCTTAGTCTTATCTTTATAGGTCTACATGCCAACACACTACAAACATACCAAAGAGATCGTGATCACAAATTTCATTAAAGAAGAAGGTGGCCGTTTCTCCCAGCAGTAGCAGATTATGTGTAGTTGCTTTTCAGGTCCTCAAACAGTTAGGTCCAGTGTCCCTAGGTGAATGACACTTCCTGGAAATCTACAACAGAGAGATACTGATGATCTTAGATCCAATTGGTCTAGGGAGTAGGAATCCAGCATAATGGTCTGTGCCTCCTGAGCCTGTGCTTGGTCAAAACTCTTGCTGGAAAGAAACAGAAACCCATTGTGCTAGCTCATGGAAAAGGATTACTATGAGGACACAAAAGGCAATGTCATGGTCACAGGAATAAAATATAGCTAGAGACAGTACTGCCATGTTCAGTTGCACAAGCTGTGCACTGCATAATTCCAAAGGTATTGTTTGCATGGACCATGAGGTGTACATAGTGATCTCTGGAGTTGTACAACATTGTGGCATTGAATATAGAGGTTGGGAGAGCCAAGGACTGAGGCCTCTTTCTCCATCCATCAGGTGTGAGGTGATCACTCTCATTTCTGCTCATCTTTGTGTCTGCCCCATTCTTCTTTCTCATTCATATTTCTCTGTGTACTCTCTTGCATGTGACCCCCAGTCTGCTCATCACATTCTCTCTCTACTTGATAACCTTTCCATTCTGGTACCTGCCATTGACCATCAAATGTCTTTGTCTCTTATTTCAGAGTTTCAGGAGGGAATTTGATGGGTCTTTGACATACTAAGCATTTGGAAACCTTGTGTCAGTATCCACCACACTTCTGGTTCAACTGGCTGTGTCCATTGGGAGGTAGATAGAACGAAGGTGGGGCGACCTTAGGCCTCTTGGAATAAAACATGTTTAGAGTGTCAGGGACCCTGGGTGAGGAAAGACTCGTTGAGAAGGAGGCCTGGCTGGGGCAAGCATTCGAAAATATGCATCATACAAGCCCCATCCAAGGTGCTCCTCAAACCTACTCTTTTTTGCCTTTGGGTCCGGGGTGGCTTTTGTCCTCTCTGAGGGATCATGGGATGTTTCTGAAGCTGCCCCTAGTCTTAGCTTCCTGGCCTTTTCTCCTGCTATGTCTGAACTTGCCAACATTATACAACCTTCTCTCCATCAGAGCTTCAGCTCTTGGCTAGCCTTTGCAGGGTGGCCTGTTTTCTTAACCCATACAGCCTCTTTCCTTTCTTTCTTTCTTCCTTTTTTTTGAGACAGTCTCGCTCTGTTGCCCAGGCTGGAGTGCAGTGGTGTGATCATGGCTCATTGCAGCCTCAAGACCCCAGGCCCAAGCGATCCTCCCACCTCAGCCTCCAAATAGCTGGGACCACAAGCGTGCACCACGACACCCGGCTAATTTTTAAATTTTTGTAGAGATAGGGTCTCCCTATGTTGCCCGGGCTGGTCTTGAACTCCTGAGTTCAAGAGATCCTCCTGCCTTGGCCTCTCAAAGTACTGGGATTACAGCCGCAAGCCACTACACCCCAGCCTAACTTTTTGAAACCAGTTAGCACCGTATCTTCTGGGCCAGTGTTTATGTAGTGCCTGAATGGGGGAAGATACTCCAATCGAGTGGTTCTGCATAGTTACATTGGCATCTGCTGGAGATGTTAACGCTTCAATGTTGGACTTTTTATCTTTCCCCCAAACCTACTCCTCCTGCAGCCATCCGCATTTCACTTAATGGCAATGGAGGCCTTGCAGCTGCTCAGTCTAAAAACCCTGGAGTCCTCCTTGCCTACCTTCTTTCTGTTTGCAGCACATCTGACCTTACAGTATTATCCATACTTGGTTCCACCATCACAACATGCGGTATTTCCTGCTTATCCACAGGGGATACCTTCCAAGACCCCCAGTGGATGCTTGAAACTGTGGGTAGTGCCGAATCCTATAGATACTATGCTTTTTCCTACATGCCTATGATAGAGTTTAATTTATAAATTAGGCACAGTAAGAGATTATCAACAATAATAAGGAAACAGAACAATTATAATAATATCCTTTTTTTTTGGAGACAGGGTCTCACTCTGTCACCAAGGCTGGAGTGCAGTGGTGCAATGACTGCTCACTGTAACCTCCACCTCCTGGGCTCAAGTGATCCTCCCACCTCAGTCTCCTGAATAGCTGGGAACTTCAGGCGTGTGCTGTCACGCTTGGCTATTTTTCAATTTTTTTTGTAGAGATGAGGGTCTCGCTCTGTTGCCCAGACTGGTTTCTAACTCCTGGGCTGAAGGGATCTACCCTCATTGGCCTCCTAAAGTGTTGGGATTACAGGTGTGAGCCACTGCACCCAACTTATAATAATACACTTTAGTAAAAGTAATGTGAATGTGATCTCTCTCTCTCATGAAATAGCTTATTGTACTGTACCTTTCCTTCTTCTTGTGATGATACCAGATGATAAAACACCTACATCTTGAGAAGAAGTGAGGTGGATGATTCAGGCATCGTGACATAGCGTTAGGTTGCTATTGACCTTGAACACCAATGCTGTGATACCATGACAGTCCATCTGATAATTGAGACAGCTACTAAGTAACTATTGGGTGGGTGGTGTAGACAGCATAGATCCACTGGACAAAAGGATGATTCGCATCTTGGGTGTGACAGAGCAGAATGGTGAGAGAATTCATCACGCCACTCGGAACAGCATGCAATTTGAAACTTATAAATTGTTGACTTCTGGAATTTTCCATTTACTATTTTCGGATAACAGTTGACTGCAGGTAATTGAAACCAGGGACTACTGTGTCCTGAATCCAGCTGTTTCTTACCACCCACACTGCTACCACCCTGGTCCAATCCACACTCTTCTTTTTGCTTGGATTACTGTAACAGCCTCCCAACTGTTGTACCATTTCTACCACTGTGCCCTGAACGTGCAGCAGAATGTGTGCAGAGGTTAACATAGAAATCAGACTAGGTCCTCAAAACCCTGCAAGGATCCCCTTTCATCAGAGGAAAAGTCAACATCTGTAATGGCCTGCAAGTTCCTATAGTATCTGGACCCAGAGATCTCTCTGCGTCTTCTTCATCTATTCTTCTCACTTTCTCTCTTGCCGCCATATTGGCTCCTTGATGGTTTCTTAAGCATGGCGAGTACCCTCCCATCTCAGGGACTTAGTGCGCACTGTTCCCTCTGCCTGGAGTTCCCTCTCTCCTCCAGAAGCCAAAGGTTATTCCTCACCATCTCCAGGTCTTCCCCCATCACCACCCCATCACTCCTTGTTGCTTTTTGTGGCTGTGGCTGTTTTACTTAGCACCTTCTTAATATCCTATGTGGTTTACTTACCTATTTTTTTTTTATTCTGTGTCTCCTTTTCCTCCACAAACACAGGAACTTTTGTGTATTTGGTATTCTTAGCACTGGGTTAGCGCCAGGCACCAAAAACTATCTGTTGAAGGAACAAATGAATCTAGACAAATGAATAGGTGAATCTAAATTTACTTATGGAGAAAATACCAGATACCAACAAGTATGACCTACATGTAAACATCTGCTGTTGTTTTTTTTTAACTAAAGTTGGGGTCTTGCTATGTTTCCCAGGTTGGTCTTGAACTCCTGGCCTCAAGTTATCGTCCCTTCTTGGCCTTTGGGAGGCCTAAGATTTCTTAATTCCTTTTTTTTCTTGGGCAGAAAGCTCCAATGCAGACTGAGTTCCAATCGGGGTACTGGCCTCACTGCGTGTTTGTCTCTCCAAGCATCACTCCTCTGCCAGTGAACCCATGTCTGGGGAGAGAGTCTTCCAACTCACTCCACTCTTGTTTTGCACAATAAATTCACCTGCTGGCCAGGTGCAGTAGCTGACGTCTGTAATCCCAGCACTTTGGGAGGCCAAGGCGGGTGGATTGCCTGAGGTCGGGAGTTCGAGACCTGCCTGGCCAATATGGTGAAACCCCATTTCTACTAAAATTACAAAAATTAGTTAGGCACGGTGGCGCATGCCTGTAATCTCAGCCACTCGGGAGGCTGAGGCAGGCAGGAGAATCACTTAAACCCAGGAGGTGGAGGTTGCAGTGAGCTGTGATCGTGCCACTGCACTCCAGCCTGCGTGACAGAGTGAGACTGTCTCAAAAACAAACAAACAAACAAACAAACAAACAAACAACCTCTCGCCTGCTGACCAAAAGAGAGAATAAAGAGTTTCATTCTCATATCCTGGGGCTGTAACATCCCTTCCTCCTTTTTTCCTTGAGGACCCAGCCTCCCTGGCAACTTGCTTTCAATTCCTAGAATTTCCACGTGGGAAGCAGAACTAACCTCTAGACTCCTGCTGCGGGAGATAGAGAGGTCACATGCGGAGCGGGGGAGTTCTTTGCAAGTATCTCCAAGGAGACATTTAAAGGCCATCCCCTAATTGCAGCGTGAAGCTTGCAGCAGGTGGAATTCCTGACTTTCGCCAGAGGATGGCACTGTGGGTGTTTCCAAGAAGGAGCTGAGCTTTTTTTTTTTTTTTTTTTTTTTTGAAAAAGCCATTTCCAAATGGCAGTAACAGCTGCACTTCAAACCCTGCAGGGAACATTAGAAAATGTTAACCCCCGGTTGGGTGGGGAAGAAGGACTGGAGGCGGACATGGGGATCGTGACCGCGGAGGCCAGCCCCGGAGGAAGGGCAGGAGCTAGAGAAGTGCCAAAAAGGAGAGAGAAAAGGAAACTGCAGGGCAACCTAGCTGTGGCTGGGGACTAGCGTCCTTCTCTGGTGGAGGTTGAGCAAGGACAAGAGCCCTAGCTGGTGGGGATTTGTTTTCCAGAGTCGAATTCAACCTGGGAAAAGTAGCAGGGTGCAGCGGGGTGCAGCGTATACATGTGTCATTTGCCAACTTTCTCCGTCTGTACCCACTTTGGACCGGTCATTTAAGAGCTGACACCAAGTATTTTTCATCTTCCAGTTTTCTATCATGCCTGGCAGGTACTAGACCCTCCATTAATAGTTGTTGGATGAATGATTGACTGAATGGAAAAAAATGCATCTTAGATTTGGGATGGGGAAGTGATGTTTTTTTCCAAGAGTAAAAAAGTTGGGCAATTCATGTGTCTTCCTATATTTCTCTCCAGATTACAGCCATCATTATCGCAATCACTGAAATACCAAGCCCTTGACTATTTGCAGAGGACTTTCTCTCATTCATCCTGGTCTGTCCACCTGTTCATTCTTCCTAATTACATTACATCCTTATTAATCTCCCCGTCTGTAGCAACTCATCTCTTTCATGTGCTTTCTTGAATTAGAGTGATTTAGGTACACACTGCCTCTTTCAACTAGACGGGCTATATGAAGGCAATACTTTACATCACCCGAGTGAGTTTACAGCCACACAGCGCTTAATCCTTGCGCGGGCTCTTTAAGGAAGATATTATTGGGGCATACTGTATTTTCCAAAAATGGCCACACTGATCTTACCCCATCCCATGCTCTTCTTACGATGTGACACTGACATTCTCCATTGAGAGGTGGGGGTCTACATTTCCTTCCTTTGGATATGAATTGGCTTTTTTTTTTTTTTTTCTTGAGACAGGCTTTCACTCTGTTGCCCAGGCTGAAGTGCAGTGGCACGATCACAGCTCACTGCAGCCTGGACCTCCCGGGCTCAAGTGATCCTCCTACTTCAGTCTCCCGAGTAGCTGGGACTACAGGCACGTGCCACCACTTCTGGCTAATTTTTTTTTTTTTTTTTTTTTTTGTAGAGACGGGGTTTCATCATGTTGCCCAGGCTGGTCTGGAACTCCTGAGCTCAAGTGATCCACCTGCCTCTGCCTCACAAAGTGCTGGGATTACAAGCATGAGCCACTGCACCTGGCCTGGATGGACTTTTTAATGGCCTAGTTAATAGAAAGCTGCAAAACGAATGCAGTGTGATTTCTTTTTTTTCTTTTTTCTTTTTTTTGAGATGGAGTCTCACTCTGTTGCCTAGGCTGGAGTGCAGTAGCACGATGTCAGCTCACTGCAACCTATACCTCCCGGGTTCAAGTGATTCTCCTGCCTCAGCCTCCCGAGTAGCTGGGATTAGAGGCACATACCACCACAGCCAGCTATTTTTTTTTTTTTAGTAGAGATGGGGTTTCACCATGTTGGCCAGGCTGTTCTCGAACTCATGACCTCAGGTGATCCACCCACTTTGGCCTCCCAAAGTGCTGGGATTACAGGCGTGAGCTACTGTGCCCAGCTGCAATGTGATTTCTGAGGCTGTGTCACCTACGGTGGCGAAGCTTCCTCAGCCTCTCTGTCAGGACACGTGTCTTTGAAACACTAAGAAGCCTCCGTGCAGAAGGGGTCACAAGGAGAGACCATGTAGAGACAGGGCTGGAGAAGCCCCAGCTGTTCTAGCCTCAGCTGTTAAAATCCTCCATCTAAGGCCCCAGACACCGTGAGGCAGGTATAAGCCATTCCCCTTCTGCTCTGTCTTAATTCCTGACCCACAGAATCTGTGAGCCTAAGAAATGGGTGTTTTACACTGCTCAGTTTGGAGTGATTCATGATATAGCCGTAACTGCAAAACTTAATTATCCCCCTCCCATTTCTTCTAGCTGAGAAAACTGAGGCTTAACAAGCAGTTGGACTGGCCCTCGGATTCCTCTTTCTTGACTTCCAGCCCAGTGTATTTTCCAGAGCCCTGTGCATGTCCTGATGTTGGCTTTAATTGCCAGGCTGAGCAAAAGACACGGTGGATTCCATTCAGGGGTCACTTGAGGGTGGGGGACATCTTTGGTTTTGTTCATATATCAGCAAAACAGGAATGCAGGCTTTAGGATCTATCTGAGCTTTTATTTATTTTTTTTAGAGCCAAGGTCTTGCTGTATCACCCAGGCTGGAGGGCAATGGTGTGATCCTAGCTCACTGCAGCCTCCAACTCCTGGGCTCAAGCGATCCTCTTGCATAAGCCTTCCGAGTAGCTGGGACTACATGTGCACACCACTATGCCCCACTAATTTTTGTATATATGCATATTTTTTGGTAGAGATGATGTCTCGCTGTGTTGCCCAGGCTGGTCTTGAACTCCTGGCCTCAATCAATCCTCCCACCTCAGCCTCCCAAAGTGCTGGGATTATAGGCATAAGCCACCACGCCTGGCCAGGAGTGGAGCTTATAGTTCCGGCTTATGGTCCAGGGAAACTTATAATTACTATTTTGAGACCGGCAGCCTCATGAGCATCTGCTAGTGGCAGGACCGTCTGAAAGCTGCCCACCTATCCCTGCAAACCTACTAGCTTCTAGTTCTAGAAGAGTCCTGGTCTAATCACAGCTATTAGGCCGGGGTTAATTGGTGCTATTATCTTCACAATGGGCCATATTTGAGGGTGAGGCTAAGAGGCCACGAGAGCAGGTAAAATCAAACAAACCACAACATTGCTTCTATTTTATTAGTGGTCTTGTAAAAATCATCATTGCTATCCATTTGTCTGAGCCATTAACACCCCTTTTAGGAGCCTCCCTGAAACTGACTAATCATCTTGTGGTCTGGCAACCTGGAGACGGTCTTGACAGTAGGATGTTCTCATCAAAGTGGATTTTCCGGATGACCAGCAGTTCCTGGTTGGAGGGCCACAGCCTCTCCTCCGCGGGTGTGGATAAGAAGCTGATAGGTGCCTCTCCTCTGAGATGAACAGTGACGTCTCATTCTGGGCTTGGGAATAGTTGACGAGGAGACTTTCCATGGCAACACAGGAAGCCTGATTCTCAATGTCAATTTCAGCATCCTTGGGAATCAGAGACCACAGACAGCCTTCACAAACCCTATGGCCATTGAGAGCTTTGTGGCAGTGAGTCCTGTAGTATAGGTTCCTGGATAAGCCATCTTTCCCAAGTCCATTGTGGACCCCCAGTCATGGGGTAGCGGACAAGAGGGTGCTAGCATGCACAAAACAATAATGTAATTCTGGCAATGGCTATGGTGTGTTACCATATGGTATGTTATGGTGTGTTACCATATGGTGTGATGGCTGTGACCTTGTTTGCATGGTCATAGCGACCTGGTTGTCATTGATGGAGGCCACGATGCCTGTGACTTATGTTGATTGTAATGCTGAGATGCTGGAAATTGTTGTGTTGTTTGAGTGTGCCGTCATTGCAATGTCGGGTTTTATAGAGGCTGTGATGTTGTGTCCTAACACTGGTGGGCTCTGATAACATCATTATCCTGGCCTAGTGGCGCATGTCTGTAATCCCAGCTACTCGGGAGGCTGAGGCAGGAGAATCACTTGAACCTGGGAGGCGGAGGTTGTGATGAGCTGAGATCGCGCCATTGTACTCCAGCCTGGGCAACAAGAGCGAAACTCCGTCTCAAAACAAAACAAATCAAAACAAACAACAAACAAACACAGACTCCTGGGCTCCATCTCCAGGAGGTCTGAATCGGGGTCTAAGAATTTGCATCTCTCTCTTTTTAGTTTAAATTTTTATTTTTTATTTGGAGATGGGATCTTACTCTGTTGCCCAGGCTGGGCAGCTGGAATGATCATGGCTCACTGCAGCCTCAAATTCCTGGGCTCAAGTAATTCTCCTGCCTGGGCCTCCTGAGCAGCTGGAACTACAGGCATGCACCATCACACCTGGCTAGCTTTTTTTGTTGTTGTTTTTTGTTTTTAACATTTTTATTTTGTAGAGACTGGGTCTCACTTTGTTGCCCAGGTTGATCTTAAACTCCTGGCCTCAAGTTATCTTCCTGCCTTGGCCTCCCAAAGTGCTGGGATTATGAGTAGCCAGAATTTGCATCTCTAATGGGTTCCCAGGTGATGCTGATGCTATGGGTCTGAGAACCATGTCACCTGGTAAACTCCCCATCCCTGAACACACCTGAATACTGGCTGCAGGAGGACAAAATTATGGTTTGATATGAACTTACCTCTAACAACAGGATATGAGCTGGAGTCCACTGAGGAAGAGTTTGTGGAAGGTTCAGGAAGGACCATTATTTTGAAACAAAGTAGAGAGAGTGCTAATTAAGACTGGTCTCTGTAAACTCACAGACACAAAGGCTGCTAGCAGGAGAAGACCTTCGAGGCCATCTGGTTTGCATTCCCAGTTTACGGATGGGGAAACTGAGGTCCAGCCAAGAGTAGCTGGCGTGAAAGGTGGTGGTGAAAGGTGCCACCTGCCCCCAGCATAGAACTTGAATTTCCAGATTCCTCACCAAGGGTGGGCGCTGCTGTTCCACGCTGCCTCTGCACTGGACCAGAGCTGAGATATAGACTCTGCTTAGAGAAGCAAGGCTTGTCCAGACCAGCGCTACCCAAAAGAAACTTCCACACAGGACAGGATGGGACAGGGTGGCATAGGAGGGCCGGAGGTGACACTCAGACTTTGCAGGTGTCACATGCAAAGAGTAAGTACTCACTTCGGGGATGAGGCAGAGTCTCCGATGCCCAATTCTCCACCACAAAAAAGAGAAGCTGGTAGCTGTGGATGCCACCTTGGGTCCAGTCCTCATCACCCAGAGGCTCCAACCCTGTGATTTTTCTCCTCCTTTCCTATCTCAGGGGGATTTGATTGACAGTTGGCAGCTTTGATTAAAAAAGAAAAAAAAAAACAGAGATCTGGGGAAAGATGGAAACATTTGATGGAAATGTTCTTTTGAGGGTCTTATGTAAAATTTCAATAATCTATGCTGCCCCTGTTCCCCATGCTGAACATGCAAGGACAGGTATACCACGGCGACATGAAATTGCTGCCATTTATCAAACACCTGCCGTGTGCCAGACATGGGATCAAGTCCTTTATATTCCCGAACTCATTAAAACTTCACAAAAAGCCTACGAGGTAGATGTTGTTATCATTTTTTTTAAAAGATGGAGAAATGAAGGCCCAGAGTGATGAAATAGCCAGCTCAGGTCATATAGCTGGTAAATGGAAGGATGAAGACTTGAATACAGTCTGCCTGGTGCCAAATTCTGGGTGTTTTTAAAATTGTGCCAAGAGGGTGTACCCTGGGAGGTGCCATGAGCTTTTCATCTTGCTTTTGTGGGGCTGGGGCTTCTGTACATTGCTGCTCTCCAGACATGGCCCCTGTCTGTCCCAGTCCTGCCTAGCACCCAGGAATGAAGGCAAGACACCAGAAGATTGGACCTCAGCCCATTCCTGAGGCATTGAGTCACATGTGGTGTGCGTCAGAACGATTTTGGTTATAAGTCATGGAGACCTGAATTGAAAGAAAAAGAGATAGTGACTGGCTCATGCCCTAGGGAAGCTCAAGGGAGAGGAGTATGGTTTTCAGGTACGGTTCGATCTAGGGTTTCATCGACTAATCATCAGGACTTTCTTTTTTATTTCCTGGTTCTTTTTCTCTGGGTGGTTTTCATTCTCAGACAGACTTTCTCCCCATGCGTTGGCAAGAATGACCTCCAACAGCTATTGACCTACATTGTCCTTGAAGCTGGGTAATCCCAGTGAAAGAGTGCACCCCCCCTTGATATGGTTTGGATCTGTGTCCCCACCCTAATCTCATGTTGAAATGTAATCCCCAGTGCTGGAGGTGAGGCTTGGTGGGAGGTGACTGGATCAGAGGGGTGGATTTCTGATGAATGGGTTGGCACCATCTTCGATGCTATTCTTGTGATAGAGAGTGAGTGAGTTTTCATGAGATCTGGTTGTTTAAAAGTGTGTAGCACCTTCTCCTCCCAACCTGGCTGCTCCAGCCGTGTGACATCATGGCTCCCCCTTTGACTTCTGCCATGATTGTAAGTTTAGTGAGACCTTCTGGAAACTGAGCAGATGCCAGAATCATGTTTCCTGTACAGCCTGCAGAACTGTGAACCAATTAAACCTCTTTTCTTTATAAATCACCCAGTCTCAGGTATTTATAGCAATATGGGAATGGACTATTTATAGCAATATGGGAATGGACTAATACACCCTACCACCCCCACCAACAGCTCTAGCCAAAATCCCAGGAATGACTCTCATTGGTTCAGCTTGGTTCATGTAACCCTCCACTGACCAATTATTGCAGCAAGGGGATGGAGTAGTCTAATTATGTAGATCCAAATCTCATAACTGTCCCTAAATATGCAGATGGGATCTGTCCCATCATCTGGGTGCTTCTTCTTCTTTTTTTTTTTTTTTGAAATAGAGTTTCTTTCTGTCACCCAGGCTGGAGTGCAATGGTGCAGTCTCTGCTCACTGGGATCTCCACCTCCTGGGTTCCAGCGGTTCTCCTGCCTCAGCCTCCCGAGTAGCTGGGATTACAGGTGACTGCCGCTATGCCCAGCTAATTTTTTAATTTTATTTTTAGTAGAGATGGGGTTTCACCATGTTGGCCAGGCTGGTCTTGAACTCCTGACCTCAAGTGATCCACCCGCCTCAGCCTCTGAAAGTGCTGGGATTACAGGTGTGAGCCACTGTGCCTGGCCTCATGGGTGCGCCTTTGAAAGCAGAATATATTCTGTTATCAGAAGAAAGCATAATTAAAAAAAAAAAACCTGCAGCTACCACCATCTGCTAAACTGGTCTACACAGTACATTGCATACACCTTCCCTGCCAATGGAGTAATCTAAAACTAGATTGTCGTACAGATGGTGCTAATTCTGGATGATTTTTGAACATCAGCTCCCTATTTAACCCTTGTTATGGACTGCAGGTTTGTGTTCCTCCAAAACCCATATGTTGAAGCCCTAACTCCCAATGTCATGGTATTTGCACATAGACCTTTTGGGAGACCTTAGGTTCAGATGAGGTCATGAGGGTGGGGCTCTCATGATGGAATTAGTGTCTTTATAAGAATAGGAAGAGATGCAGAGCCTTCTCTCTCTGCCATGTGAGGACACAGTGAGAAGGTGGCCATCTACAAGGCCAGGAAGAGAGCCTTCACCTGAACCCACCGTTGACCACTGAACTTGAACTTCCCAGCCTCCAGAGTTATGAGAAATGAATGTCTGTTGTTTCAGCCACCCAATCTGGAAATTTACAAATTAGGCAGCCTGTGGTATTTTGTTAGGGCAGCCTGGGCTGAGTAAGACAAGCTCCCTAACTACACTGTGCATCCTTTGAAAGCCAACACCAGCCTCATCCCATGAGGTCTGAGCTTGCTGCACCCCATGGAGCTGGTCACATGGACTGTGGGCTCCTGGTGGTGTGGGGAGAATCTTAATCTCCTAGCTTCCCGGCTTCTCCTCTAGGTGCCCTTCATAGCTGTTACTCTTTTTTATTTTTTTTAACTTTTAAGTTTAGGGGTACAAGTGCAGATTTGTTACATAGGTAAACTTGTGTTATGGGGGTTTCTTGTACAGATTATTTCGTCACCCAGGTATTAAGCCTAGTATACATTAGTTATTTTTCCTGATCCTCTCCCTCCTCCCACCCTCCACCCTCCAGTAGGCCTCAGTGTGTGTTGTTCCCCTCTATGTGTCCGTGTGTTCTCATCATTTAGTTCCCACTTATAAGTGAGAACATGCAGTATTTGGTTTTCTGTTCCTGTGTTAGTTTGCTAAGGATAACGGCCTCCAGCTCCATCCATGTTCCTGCAAAGGACATGATCTCATTCTGTTTTATGGTTGCATAGCATTCCATGATGTATATGTACCACATTTTCTTTATCCAGTCTATCATTGATGGGTTGATTCCATGTCTTTGCTATTGTGAACAGTGCTGCAATGAACATACGTGTGCATGTGTCTTTATGGTAGAATGATTTATAAATCATTACTAGGTATATAACTCCTTCGGGTATATACCTAGTAATGAGATCACTGGGTCCAATAGTATTTCTGTCTTTAGGTCTTTGAGGAATCACCACACTGTCCGCAATGATTAAACTAATTTACACTCCCACCAATGGTGTATAAGCATTCCTTTTTCTCCACAACCTCACCAGCATCTGTTATTTTTTGACTTTTTAGTAATAGCCAGTTTTGACTGGTGTGAGATGGTATCTCATTGTGGTTTTGATTTGCATTTCTCTAATGATCAGTGATGTTGAGATTTTTTCACATGATTATTGGCCGCTTGTGTCTGTCACCCTTACTCTGCCACTCTCCCAACTCCATTATCCCCTGAGTCTGTCCAGCAAGTGAGACCACCTCCAGCCGTACATTATCAGGGAGATGGTCATTTAACAAACCAGTTCTTTTTTTCTTTTTTCTTTTCTTTTCTTTCTTTCTTTCTTTTTTTTTGAGACAGAGTCTCACTGTGTCACCTAGGCTGGAGTGCAGTGGCGCAATCTCAGCTCACTGCAACCACCACTCGCCTCACGGGTTCAAGCACCTCTCTAGTAGCTGGGATTACAGGCACATGCTACCACACCTGGCTAATTTTTGTATTTTTAGTAGGGACAGAGTTTCACCATATTGGGTCAGGCTGGTCTCGGACTCTTGATCTCAGATGATCCACCTGCCTCAGCCTCTCAAAGTGCTGGGATTACAGGCGTGAGCCACCATGCCCGGCCCAGTCCTTCATTTTTTAAAGCACCTGGGTAACATCTGGTTCCTTGAATGTATCCCTGTGTTGTTCAGAAGCAGGAAGTGGCTACTCTGCTCTGGAAGATCCAGAACTTGGCAATCTATTCGTTTGTCCCTGCATTTGCTTGTTTTTCCAAGCAGGGATTATCCCCGGGCCCTGCCAGACTGCCAGATGGCATGGCCCCACTGGGGACAAGCCAGACTTCCTGATGACTTTTTGGATCTTAGCTCTCGGGCTGCTCCGCCACCGAGACCAACCTCTGTGATGAGGTTCCGGAACCCTGGGCCTGCCCTAATACTTGCTCACACTCTTCCTTTCTTCTTCCTCTCCTCTGATCAGCATGACCTTGGTCCTGTGTGCCCTGATGTAAACTGCCCTGTTTTAGGATGAGGATTAGCAGACCATGGGGAATGCAAAAGAAGTGAAGACTCGACCAGGAAACAATCGGCAAGAAAGCACACCAAGCCCCCAATTTGGTGGTCTCAATAGGAAGAAAGAAAGGGATATTGGGAAATGTCAGGTAAGTTAGGATAGGATCCTTGGGAAAAGGGCTCTCTTGGAAATCTTAACAATACATACATTACATGCATTTAGTGTCTTATTGAAAGGAAGAGGCTTTCCGTCAATGCACCTAAAACTCTAATTCTTTGACTCTCTCCAGCTGCGTAGTTGAAAGTGCTTGGGTATCTTAAGTTCAGCCCTCTGACAACTTTTTTTTTTTTTTTTTTTTTTTAAGATGGAGTCTTGCACTGTTGCCCAGGCTGGAGTGCAGTGGCGTGATCTTGGCTCACTGCAACCTCTGCCTCCCAGGTTCAAGTGATTTTCCTAACTCAGCCTCTGGAGTAGCTGGGATTATAGGTGCCTGCCACCACGCCCAGCTCATTTTTGTATTTTTAGTAGAGACAGGGTCTCGCTATGTTGGCCAAGCTGGTCTCAAATTCTTTAGTTCAAGTGATCCGCTTGCCTCGGCCTCCCAAAGTGTTAGGGTTATAGGTGTGAACCACCACTTCTGGCTCCTCCTGACATATTTTAAGTTCTGTGTAAAGCAAACTTGCCCACCCTGTGGCCCACAGGTCATATGAGGCCCAGGATGGCTTTGAATGTGGCCCAACACAAATTCATAAACTTTCTTAAAACATTATGAGGTTTTTCTTTGCAATTTTTAATTTTTTTTTTAGCTCATTACCTATTGTTAGTGTTAATGTATTTTATGTGTGGCCCAAGACAATCCTTCTTCCAGTGTGGCGGAGGGAAGCCAAAAGATTGGACACCCCTGACCTAAAGGTTTCTCTGTCCACAGTTAACTAACCTACTTGGATGTGTAAACAGACACTTACTCTTTGTCAATCACTGAGTTTTGGCCAGTCAGAGGCGGCCACCTGTTCAAACCAGGTTCTAATAGGGCAAACCCCGAGTTGTAACCAATCAGCTGTTTCTGCACCTCACTTCTGTTTTGGAGCCCTCACTTTCCTTTTTCTGTCCATAAATCTTTTCTTGCCACGTGGCTGATCAGGGGGAGCTGCTGGATTTGCAATCGTTCTTTGCTTGATTAAACTCTGTTTAGGCCGGGTGTGGTGGCTCAGGCCTGTAATCCCAGCACGTTGGGAGGCCGAGGAGGGCGGATCATGAGGTCAGGAGTTCAAAACCAGCCTGATCAACATGGTGAAACCCCGTCTTTTCGAGACCAGCCTGATCAACATGGTGAAACCCTGTCTCTACTAAAAATACAAAAAAAAAAAAAAAAAAAATTAGCTGGGCGTGTTGGCGTGGACCTGTAATCCCAGTTACTCAGGAGGCTGAGGCAGGAGAATCGCTTGAGCCCGGGAGGCAGAGGTTGCAGTGAGCTGAGATTGCGCCACTGCACTCCAGCCTGGGTGACAGAGCGAGACTCCATCTCAAGAAAACCAAAACCCAAAAAACTCTGTTTAATGTAATTTGTCAAAACTTTTTTTTTTTTCGTAAGTGTCTCTACCCAGACGAGGCAAAATGTCTCCTCCGTGCCAGGCATGAAGCTGCATGTGTGTCATCCTGTTGACTTTAGTTCTCATTGTCACGTTATCCAAAAAGTTCGAACAACCATTAAGTGGCAGAGAGGCGATTTGAACTCAGGTCTTCCTGATTCCAAGGCAAAGATGACATTTTCACAAACACCATGATGGAGGAAGACCTTGAAGGACCCAGGACAAGGAAGGCTTGGGGACATGAGTCATTTACTGAGTATGACAGAAGGAGGAAGCATTTAGGCAAAGGCATGGAGGTCAGTTGAGAGGGGACCCCCATGGAGCTGCCACAGTGGGTAGGTTGAGAAGGGAGGTGAGAGGTAGGCGCTTGGGTCTGGGACTAGGGAGTTTTGATTTGATACAGCGGGCTGGGTTTCAGGGAGCCCGGGAAGGTTCCTGAAAAGAAAGTGCTGGGTCAGAAATGACATTTGAGAAAGACTGTCATTTGCCATTGGGTGCAAGGCAGTGCTTCAGCGAAAGGAAAGGGCAGGGAGATGTGTTAAGAGGAAATTCTGGGCCAGGTGCAATGGCTCATGCCTGTAATCCCAGCACTTTGGGAGGCTGAGGCAGTGGATCATTTGAGATCAGGAATTCAAGACCAGCCTGGCCAACATGGTGAAACCCTGTCTCCACTAAAAATACAAAAATTAGTCAGGCGTGGTGGCGGGCGCCTGTAATCTCGGGAGGCTGAGGCAGGAGAATCGCTTGAACCCGGGAGGTGGAGGTTGCAGTGAGCAGAGATCACACCACTGCACTCCAGCCTGGGCGACAGAGTGAGACTCTGTCTCAAAAAAAAAAAAAGAGAAATTTTGTGTGCTGTGTTGATTCTCAGATGAGTCCTGAGCTTACTGACTTAGAAAAGTGGCTTTGTCCTTAGCCTCCTTGTTGATCTCTGGGAGGGACTTGGAGACCCCAAAGACAGCATGTTCCCTTCTCCCTCTGACTAAGGGGGCTGTGGTAGCTGGGCCACACATTTCTTTGATTTTGCCTGGAAAACGGAGAAAAGTCCTCGCGGGACTGGCTGTGCTTCTGCAGAAGTATTTATGAGCTGTGAGACTGAAGATCGTAAGGCTCATATATTTTGCTTTTTACAAAAGCTAATAACTAAAGAAAATGTTTTCTCCATCAGAGAAACTTCAAAGATCCTAGAGAAGAATGCACTAAAACTTATTGAAAGGCGGCATTGCACACATCTTGAATATAGGCACCAGAGAATGTCCTGAAGCCAGGCAGGCCCCTTCACAGTTTAAGGATTTCTCTGTTTTTCTTCATCGCTCGCAATCAAATGCAGCACTGAAGCTGTTAGGCATTTGGCTGTGGCCATCTGCAGGGCAGGCTTGCCAGCCAGATTCTTTTTCATCCAGAGGAGAAGGCTTACAGAGGCGGGAACAATTGAAAACATCTCCTCATTTAAAAACATAAAAATTTAAAACCTCCCTGCTGCCGTTGAGGGGCAAATTGGCTTCATGATCCTTTGCACTGAGCATAGGGAGTTATTTAGGGCAATTACGCAGAAAGGCGGAGAGTGGTGACATCCCAGGAGCCTGGGCCTGCAGTTACTCGTTGGATTGAGTTGGCTGAGTTAGTTTAGCTTGCCGAGCCTCGCTTTTATCACCTATTAATTGGGATAGTATTTGCCCAGACTGTTTCACAGGGCCATTGAGAAGATCAAAGGAGATTATGTTGGAATATGGGTGTGAGTGTATGTGTGTGTGGGTGTATATGTGTATGTGTGTATTCACATTCTTGCTTTAAAGAGAGGATTGGCTGGGCACAGTGGCTCGTGCCTCTAATCTCAGCACTTTGGGAGTCACTCAAGGCCAGGCGTTTGAGACCTGCCTGGGCAACATAGCAAGACCCCATCTGTTAAAAAAAATTAGCTAGGCATGGTGGTGCTTGTCTGTAATCCCAACACTTTGGGAGTTTGAGGCAGAAGATGACTAGAAGCGAGGAGACTGAGGTTGCATTGAGCTATGACGGTGTCACTGCACTCCAGCCTGGATGACAGAGCAAGACCCTGTCTCTAAAAAATAAATAAAGAGGGAGGATTTCTGTTTTCCCCAGGAATTGACTTCCTCTCAAGGGAGAGGGGAGGCTTGTCTGCTGGGTCAGAGCCTGGCAGCCATGTGTGGAGGTTTCTCAGTGAGTCCGTGAGTGCTCAGTGTGCACTCTCTGCTCCAGCCCCACCAGCTGGATGGATCCTGCCAGCCCTAGTGGACATCATCATCACAGCCGGCTGTGAGACCCCTAGGATGTGGGGTCTGCAGACCGTAGCAAGCCTTTGTGTGATGATCCCAAGGTGGAAGGTGAAAGGCTCCCTGCTCCCCTGTGTCTTGGAGGTGACTGGGCACTTGCCTAGCGTGTGTTCTACAGCTTTTAAAAAATTTTATTATATTTTATCTTCCGGGATCCACATGCAGAAAGTGCAGGTATATTACATAGGTGTGTGCCATGGTGGTTTGCGGTACCTATCACCCCATTACGTAGGTTTTAAGCCCTGCATGCATTAGCTATTGGTCCTGATGCTTTCCTTCCCCTTGTCCCCCACCGACAGGCCCTGGTGTGTGATGTTCCCCTCCCTGTGTCCGTGTGTTCTCATCATTCAGCTCCCACTTATGAGTGAGAACATACTGTGCATGGTTTTCTGTTCCTGTGTTAGTTTGCTGAGGATAATGGCTTGCAGCTTCATCTATGTCCCTGTGAAAGATATGATCTCATTCCTTTTTTATGGCTGCATAGTATTCCATGGTATGTATTTACCACATTTTCTTTATCCAGTCTATCACTGATGGGCATTTGAGTTGGTTCCATGTCTTTGCTATTGTGAATTGTGCCTACAGCTATTTTTGGCTCCCGATTGGATGTGATCTCTGTGTGGGGAAAACCATTGAGTCTTGGGCCCAGAAAATGCTACAAGGACAGAACTTGTTTCTCACCATTTTTTACTGGATTAAAACTGAGGACCAATTTCTGGCAAAATTTGTGAACACTGAAAAGTGTGTCACTGGGCTCCTGGCTGCCTCTCCCTGCAGTCACATTTTCTACTTCCCTCCACTGCATTGAAACTGATTTCCAGAAAGACATCAGTGCTAGTCATCTATACTTTAAAGAGAGTTTGGGTTCATTCATCTCATGTCCCCAGTGGATTTGCATTTAAAGCTGGTTGTTAATTGTGGAAATAAGGCTTCAATTACCCATTAGAAAGATTTTATTGAGAGAGGGCAGCAGGAAGGATTTCCTGACATCTCTGATATTTTGCTCCCTAAATTGCCCTCTCTGCTTCCTTAATGGAAAACCAGCCCCATCCACTGTCCCTAAGAACGCAAGGGCTTGATCCTGACACTCCTCTTGTGACCCGCTCAATACCCTTTTAAAGACTGCTCTTCAAAAAACAAACAACCCCATTAAAAAGTGGGCAAAGGACACGAACAGACACTTTTCAAAAGAAGATATACATGCGGCCAACAAACACAGCAAAAATGCTGAACATCACTAACCAGTAGATAAATGCAAACCAAAACCATAATAAGATACCATCTCACACCAGTCAGAACGACTGTTATTGAAAAGTCAAGGCCAGGTGCCTTGGCTCACACCTGTAATTCCAGTACTTTGAGAGGCCAAGGCAAGAGAATGGTTTGAGCCCAGGAGTTTGAGACCAGCCTGGGCAACATGGTGAAACTTTGTCTCTACCAAAAATATAAAAATTAGCCAGGTGTGGTGGCACATGCTTGTGATTCCAGCTACTTGGGAGGCTGAGGTGGGAGGATTGTTTGAAACTGGGAGGTCAAAGCTGCGGTGAGCTGTGACTGTGTCACTGTACTCCAGTCTGGGCAACAAAGTGAGACCCTGTCTCAAAAAAAACCCCAAAAAACAAAAAAACAAAAAGCAAAACAAGACTGGAAAAATAACATGTTGGACCAGGTGCAGTGGCTCACGCCTGTAATCCCAGCACTTTGGGAGGCCGAGGCAGGCGGATCACCTGAGGTCAGGAGTTTGAGACCAGCCTGCCCAACATGGTGAAACCCTGTCTCTACTAAAAATACAAAAAATTAGCCGGGTGTGGTGGCGGGTGCCTGTAATCCCAGCTACTCGGGAGGCTGAGGCAGGAGAATTGCTTGAACCTGGGAGGCAGAGGTTGTGGTGAGCTGAGATCGCACCACTGCACTCCAGCCTGGGCAACAAGAGCGAAACTCTGTCTCAAAAACAAAAAACAGCTGGGCGCGGTGGCTCACGCCTGTAATCCCAGCACTTTGGGAGGCTGAGGCGGGTGGATCACGAGATCAGGAGATGGAGACCATCCTGGCTAACGTGGTGAAACCCCGTCTCTACTAAAAATACAAAAAAATTGGCCAGGCATGCTGGCGGGCGCCTGTAGTCCCGGCTACTTGGGAGGCTGAGGCAGGAGAACGGCATGAACCTGGGAGGCGGAGGTTGCAGTGAGCCGAGATCGCACCACTGCACTCTAACCTGGGTGACAGAGTGAGACTCCGTCTCAAAATAAAAATAAAAATAAAAATAAAAATAAAAATAAAAAAATAAAACAAAAAACAAAAAACATGTTGGCGAGGCTGTAGAGAGAAGGGAATGTGTATACACTGCTGGTAGGAATGCAAATTAGTTCAGCCATGGTATAAAACAGTTTGATGATTTATTAAATAATTTAAAATAGAACTACTATTCAATTCAGAAATCCCATTACTGGGCATATGCCCAAAGGCATCTAAGTCATTCTACCATAAAGACACATGTGTGTGGATGCTCATCGCAGCACTATTCGCAGAAGCCAAGACACGGAATCAGTGTAAATGCCCATTAATGATAGACTGGATAAAGAACATGTGGTCCATATAAATCATAGAATACTATGCAGCCATAAAAAATAAGGAGATCATGTCGTTTGCAGGAATATGGATGGAGCTGGAGGCCACTATCCTAAGTGAACTAACACAAGAACAAAAAACCAAATACTGCATGTTCTATCTTGTAAGTGGGAGCTAAACATTGAGTACACATAGACAGAAAGAAAAGAACAACAGATACTGGGGCCTACTTGAGGGTGGAGGGTGGGAGAAGGGTGAGGATGAAAAGACTATCCATTGAGTACTATGCGTATTATCTGGGTGACAAAATAATCTCTGTACCAAACTTCCATAACACTCAATTTACCCATATGACAAACCTGCACGTATACTCCCTGAACCTAAAATAAAACTTTAAAAAAGACTGCTGTCAATTTTAAGGATGGGGTAATAGTTGACAATTTCAGTGTCTGTCTAAGTGACTCTTTAGGATTCATTTGTGTGATCTGCTGATCCCGAAACAAGAATATCATGGCAGCACAAAAGCCTCTAAATGGTTGGAAGTAAAAGAAAAGAAAAAGGTATAATTAGTTTATCCAGAATTGTTCTTTTAAGGAAAATGGAGCGTAGACTTTGTTGAAACACCCAGTTTAACAGAAATATCCTACATTTTTTGAGGGCTTCTTCTGTGCCAGTCCCCTGGGCTGAGAGCTTTGCGTTTAAGTCTGATGTCCACTCTTTGCAAGGGATACTATTGTCATATTTGTTTTTCAGATAAAGAAACTAAGGGTTAGAAAGATAAGTAACTTGCCCAAGTCCACCCAGTTTGCAAGAAGTCAGAGGTGGGGATTATCCACCAGCCCTCTGTAAGGTTCTCTTCTTGCATTGCTGATGTGTCAGTTGACAAAATGTTTGTCTGTGAGTAAGAGAAAAATCCACTACAATAGCTTAACCAAGCAAGAGTTTGTTTTCCCCACATAATCAGAAACTCATGAGCAAGCAATCCGTGGCTGGTTCAGGTCCTTCTCTAATTCTGCTCCATCTTCCTTAGCATGTGTCTTCCATCCTCAGGGTCACAAAGTAGCTGCTGCACTGCACTGCTTTGCACCTGCATTCCAGGCAGGAAGAAGGAGGAAGAGACAAAGGAATTTCTCCTTGCTGGGCTTTGCCTTTTCAATCTGAAAGGGTTGGTTTCTCTACTAAATTTCTGTTTATATCTCCTTGTCCAAAACTCTGTCATTCCTAACTGAAAAGGAGACTGGAGATTGCATATTTTAGTTTTCCTAAATAGAAGAAGGGGAGAAACACAGGGCTTGGAATAGTTGGGGAAGGCAATCTGCAGTTTTTCCTTAGGTGTTTTTTTTTTTTTTTTTTTTTTTTTTGAGTCAGAGTCTCACTCTGACACCCAGGCTGGAGTGCAGTGACACGATCTCGGCTCACTAAAATCTCCACCTCCCAGGTTCAAGTGATTCTCCTGCCTCAGCCTCCTGAGTAGCTGGGATTACAGGCACCTGCCACCACGCCTGGTTAATTTTTAGTAGAGTTGGGGTTTCACCATGTTGGCCAGGCTGGTCTCAAACTCCTGACCTCAAGTGATCCACCTGCCTCAGCCTCCCAAATTGATGGGATTACAGGCATGAGCGGCTGCAATGGCCTTTTCTCAGCTTTTGACTTAAATGCTTTGCTCCAAAGGTTACTGGTGGGCGTGGCTAGGGCTGTGCCATAATTTTCCCTAGAGAGAGGATCCCTCCACATAACCATATTGTACTAAATAAAACCCCTGCTTCCTCAGCCCCTCCCAGGTGGCAATCTGCCTGCCTCTACTTGTAGGCTCAGCTCTGCAGTTACCCGAATCAGCCCCAGAGCACCAGAGTGTCCCACCATTGGTCTCGTGGGAGCTTAAGGTTGCATGGATCTTCTCAAGTTTAGTGTTTCTTGACCTCTGATCCATGTCAGTCCAGCTAGGATCACTGACTTGTTTGACTGTGGCAGGCAGAAGTCCTCTTTGGGGCTTGCTAGTTGCTGTGGTCACCTTGCAAAGGTGAGATGGCCATTCCCTGCCCCCAAAATTTGACTTATATATTATCAAGGCTGATGATGCCACACACACACTAAGAGAGTATGAGAGGATTTATTACTCAGGTAATAAGGCTTTCTGGAGGGAACAGGGCGTGCTCTCGAGCTGGTCTGGCAATGGCATGAGAGAGCAGGGAGAGAAGACTGTCTTGGGGTGTTATGGTAGTGTCATAGTCAGCTCAGGCAGCCATAATAGGACATCATAGACTGGGTGGCTTAAACAATAAAAATTTACATAGTTCTGGAGCCCGGGAAGTCCAAGATCAGGGTGTTAGCATGGCCAGATTCTGGTGAGGGCTCTCTTCTTGGCTTGTGGGCAGCCACCTTCCTGCTGTGTCCTCATAAGACAGAGAGAGAGAGAGAGGGAGCAAGCAAGCTCTCTGGTGTCTTCTTATGAAGACACTAATCATGGGGACCCCATCTTTATGACCTCATCTAAATGTAAAAATCTCCCAAACACCACCATCTCCAAATACCATCCCATTGGAAGTTACGCCTTCAACATATGGATTTTGGAGGGCAGAATTTGGTTCATAGCAGGTGGCCTAGAGGTCGGAGCCAGAGTGAGAGTTCCCATGCACATGGGAGTGGAGGCTTGTATGACTTAAACTTCCCACCTATGCCAACGCAGGGAGAGCCCAGGCTTTCTCATCATCTTGCTGAGATGTGGGCAGAAGGGGAAGGAGACTTAGTGAGACTTGAAACCTATCATCAGTCAAACATTAAAAGTGGAGTCAGCCTCGATTACACCAGTCCTCTCCCTTGGGCTTCCCTCACGTGCCCGGTCTGTGTCCTGATGCCTGGGACTGTGAAGTTGCTCCCTGTCAACACCAAGTGTCATCTGCTACTCATCAGTGTTCTGTCCCCTGCATAGGCCTCCTTGGACCTCTGTGTACTCCTGAACTATGCTTTAGTTCACTGTGGTCCTGGGCCCTGTCTACTGAACCCAGGTTAACTCTCCCAGAGCCAGTCATTCTACAACTGATTTGACTCTTCTCCTTATCTTCTAGCTGTGTTGTGAGACCCCAGCATAATGTAGAACCCCATGTGGCCAAAGCTTTTGGGGTGAATACCTATGTAAAGGACTGTGATCATGCGGGGAGGGTAATCTGCTACCTCTGTGACTTTTAGCCCTGGCCCCTCCACGAGACCTACAGCTGTTTATGCCCAGAGAGAAATGGAAATACTTCATTACCCTCATCCTCATCAGAGATTTCCTGGACATCTCTTGGCAACCCTAATCCACAGCATAGCCTGGACACTCAAGGAGATAGGCGGGGTCCCCTCCCTGAAGGGACTTATGGTCAGATTGGGAGGCAAGATTTACATATGCAAAGAAATATGGAAAAAAAGCAGGAAATAGGTGCCAAATAACTGGGACAAAGTAATGATTTCAAGAGATCATTGAGGGTTGGCACAATAAGAGAGGCTTCCTGGGAGAGATGGGCGCTTGAGCCAAGCCGTGGGAGGGTGAGATATTGATAAGTACGTGTGTGACAGCAGCTGTTAGATGCCTTCTTTCCCATGTGTAGACTCCTGTTAGTGATCATGGAGGGGAGTTTGATAGTATGAGCCTGAAATATTCAGAATTCTTGGCCAGGTGCAGTGTGGCTCATGCCTATAATTCCAGCACTTTGGAAGGCCGAGGTGGGAGAATCACATGAGCTCAGGAGTTTGAGACCAGTGTGGGCAACATGGTGAGATTCCATCTCTGCTAAAAAAAAAAAAAATTAGCCTGATGTGGTGGTGCACACCTGTGGCCCCAGCTACTCAGAAGTCTAAAGCAGGAGGATCACTTGAGACTGGGAGATCGAGGGTGCAGTGAGCTATGAAGGCATCATTTCACTCCAGCCTGGGTGACAGAGCGAGACCCTGTACCTAAATAAATAAATAAATAAATAAATCTCTAGAATGATTCTTCTCATGGGAGAGCTTATTAGAACCACTAAGAAGGGTAGAAAATAGGACTAAGACTGCTGATTCCTATTTTGTGAGCTCTTCTCCAAGGTCTTCAAACGTCTTCCTTAGCAGAAGGAGGAGAATGTTTTCTTAGGCCCTTATCCAAAATGCATAAGAGACAAGTAACTGTTTTATAAACCTAACATAAATGTTAAGTTCTTTCTTATAAACCTAACATAAATGTTAAGTTCTTTCTCATGTTTTCCACATGAACTAGTTTTAGACGGCTCATTTCAGTTCTTTGGGGCTTAGTTTACCCATTTGCCTAATGAGTCAGTGGCTATATGAATATCAGCAACTAATCATTGTATATCATTGCAAATTGACAAGACAGTTCTCCTTGTACAAGCTTGTTTTCCTTACTCGTCATAACTCTGTGATGTGTACTTTTTTTTTTTTTTTTTTTTTTTTGAGACAAGGTCTTCCTCTGTCGCCCAGGCTGGAGTGCAGTGGCACAATCTCAGCTCACTACAACCTCCACCTCCTGGGTTCAAGTGATTCTCAAGCCTCAGCCTCCTGAGTCACTAGGATTATAGGCACCTGCCACCACGCCTGGATAATTTTTATATTTTTTAAAGTAGAGATGGGGTTTCACCATGTTGGCCAGGCTGGTCTTGAACTCCTGACCTTAAGTGATCTGCCTGTCTCCACCTCCCAAAGTGGTGGGATTATAGGCGTGAGCCACCGTGCCCCAACCGGTGTGTGCTACTTTTTGTATTTTATGGAAAATATCTTTTAAAATGAGGTTCAGGAAAATTTGCACTTTTTCTAAGATTGTGTGTGTGTGTGTGTGTGTATAAATGTGCATAAATAAGAGTGATAACCTGAGCTCAGCTCTTTTAGATAACTCCTAGAATCTTGTTGCCTCAAACTACCAAACAAAGACTCATACAATGCAAGCAAAGTGCATCACAAACCAAAAGCAAACCAAAACCCTTCAAGCTAAAAATTGGGGAAACACACCGGAAAATTCCTTGATAATGTCAGAGTGCTGTGCAAAGGTGGAGGGTTATTATTACTGTTCTTTGTTTTGCAATAACTCAGCATAAGCAGAGGTCATGGTCAAGTTGACTGTACGGTGGGTGCATGGCTTATATGGTCCTCAACCTTCCCTTGAATACAACATCTCCATCCTCTGGATACTGGGGTCTTCTGTCAGCTGGAGGGGCCTTGACTTGATCTTTGGATGTTGATATGTTTTTGGATAAATACTCTCTCTCTCTCTCTTTCACACACACACACACACACACACACACACACACACTCACACAACTTTCTCTTGTTGTTTGTATTGGCCTTCAAGTTCTTGGTTGCATTATACAGTGAGCTGGAACTCTTGATAAAGGAGTTCTGTACAGTGATGACAAGAATTGATTTCCAATTTCCTGCAGAATGACTCTATCATTGCTAGTGACTCAGGCAATTTAGCTCATATTCCAGGCCTGCCTGGGGGCTATAGATCACACTGACAGCTTCCCAGTTATGCAGGAGGTGGATTTTGACAAGATGAGGAAAGGGACATTTTCAAAGAGTCTTGCACTGGGGATGGCCAGAAGGGAATGGCTGCCCCAGGGCTTTGGGCCATATGAGTGTTGTGTTGAGAGTAGACATGTCTTTGCTGTCATGGGGATGCTGGTTCATGGTCGGGCTTCCATTAGCTGCCCAGGCCAGCCCTTCTCCTCACCCCATAAACTGTCCAGTCCTGCTTAATCACAAGAACATTCTATTCCCCAGCCAAAAGACAGAGGAGATACATTTCCTTTAGTTTCCTCCTACAAAATAACATTTAGACAGCATGAGTAGAGGGCAAAACAAAGTGTGCAATATGCATGTATTTAACAAGCTGCCTGGGGGCAGGTGTGGTGGCTCACGCCTGTAATCCCAGCAATTTGGGAGGCTGAGACGGGTGGATCACGAGGTCAGGAGATCGAGACCATCCTGGCTAACACAGTGAAACCCTGTCTCTACTAAAAATACAAAAAATTAGCCGGGTGTGGTGGCGGGCACCTGTAGTCCCAGCTACTCGAGAGGCTGAGGCAGGAGAATGGCATGAACCTGGGAGGCGGAGCTTGCAGTGAGCCAAGATTGCAGCCACTGCACTCCAGCCTGGGCGACAGAGCGAGACTCCGTCTCAAAAAAAAAAAAAAAAAAAAAGAAAAAAGAAAGAAAGAAAAACAAGCTGCCTGGCCTGGTGGAAGGTGCATGGGAGACTAAGTTGGTTTTGTTTTTAGTTTTCTCATAGGCTTTTCCATGTACTGTTTGTGTGAACATGGGCACATCATGTAGCCTCTCTGAGCTTCAGCTGATTCATCTGTTAATGGAGACAATTATATTACCTATGGGGTTGCTGGGGAGAGGGGGTTAGATGAAATAATTTGTAAGAGCTCAAAATTAGTTGAATCAGAATCTGTTTTCTTGTTGGATTCTTCTCTTCATTTAACAACAAGCCCTGAGCCCTTATTTTGTTTCTGCTTGCATCAGGCCTTGCGGACACAACAGAAGTGTCTTAGTTCATTTGTGCTGCTATGATAAAATATCACAGACTGGGTAATTTACAAAGAATGGAAATTTATTTCTCATGGTTCTGGAGGCTGGGAAGTCCAAGGCCAAGATGCTGGCAGGTTTAGTGTCTGGTGAGGAATTGGTTTCCATTTCCAAGAGAGCACCTGGTGGCTGCATCCCCAGGAGGGGAGAAACGCTGTGTTCCCACGTGGCAGAAGGGCAAGAGAGTGCTCCCTTTAACCTTGAGCCCTTTTATAATAATCCATTCATGAGGGCAGAGCTCTCATGACTTAATCATTCCCCAGTGATTAATCACTTCCTCAATGATTTTGAGAGATCATTGAGAGCTGGCCCAATAAGAGGGGCTTCCTGGGGAAGGTGGGCACTTGAACACCTCTTGGTACCACTGCAATGGAGATTAAGTTTCAACACATGAATATTGGAGGGAACACATTTAAGCCATAGTGAGAAGTGCTGGAGAAACAAGGAATGCACACAAACAATTCAATGGGATGGCTTGTTAAATAATGGAACTGCTGTTCCTTTGTTCCCTGGCTGGGTGGGCACTTTCCTCTAAGATCCCGTAGCTCCTTGTGCTGACCCCATCTCTGCGTGGTCTCATCCTATTGCACTTCTCTGTGCTCTGCTGATTGGGCCCAGACCAAGGACTCTGTGAAAGGAGAGGGGGTCATTTCTCATGGATCTCTGGACGCTTGGTGTCAGGTACATGCTCCAGGACATAGTAGTGCTATCTTTATGTGCTTATTTACCATGAAAGCGTGGTTCGTGGGTTGCACAAAGGGTTGGGTTTGGCCAACCTGATTTTTGAATTCCTTGCTAACTTGGCTGCTCCTGAACTTCTCAGCTTGATGAGATCCTAATTTCCCACCTAGGCAAGGCCTTGGTGTTACACCCACCCTGATGCCACCTATGCTTCTTTCTGCCATGTTCTGGCTTTTACTGTCAGCCCAGTTCTGCTTTGGAAGGAAAAGGCAATATGCCCCAGTGGTCCCCACTGGAGTGGCAGCTGTTTGACACCACATGTGTGCCTATGTCCTATTTATCACTTATACTTAGGTTCACATCACCTTTACTACCAAGGTAGCCCTTGGATCTAAAATACTGGTCAGTGCCTTCCTTCACTGTGCCTGGAAAAGTCTTAATTTCTATAGTTTTTTTTTAATGTCTGTAAAGGAAAGATAACAATCACTGATATATTCATTTGTATCTATATCTATATTCATTTATTTTTAGAGATGGAGTCTTGCCCTGTTGCCCGGGCTGGAGTGCAGTGGCTCAATCATAGCTCACTGTAGCCTCAAACTCCTGGGTTCAAGCAATCCTCCCACCTCAGCCTCCTGAGTAGCTGGGACTACAGGCGCACACCACCACATCTGGTTTGTCAATATTATTAGATGATTGTTTGAAATAATGTAGGGAAAGTGCAAAGTAATAAGTAGGACACAAAAAGGTGGAAGAGTAATTAGTATTATCCCTGTTGAGTGATAGACAAATGTACGTATACTGCTTTGTAGAAGATTTAACACAGAGACTGGGTTTTCCCTTTCTCAGTGGACTCAGCAGGTGCATTTCTTTGCATTTACTCATTCATTCATTTTCATCTGCTGAATCTGCATGGATTGCATGTTGGTTACTAGATAAAGCAGCTCTCCTCAGGGTGCACATTGAAATGAAGGACAGTGATCTGCCTCCCAGAGTCATCCAAGCAATTCAGAACATAGCCATGTTAGGACCAGGAGGCCTGCTGTGTGGGCTGTGATGCTGAGCTAAGCCTAATTCATTTAATCTGCATCACAACTCTATGAGGTGGGTCCATGACTACCTCTGGTTTGCAGATGTGGAAACTAAGGCACAGAGGGTAAGAAACTGGCTCAAAGTCCCATTGAAGCAGCATCGTTGTCTGGGGTAAATACCTGAGATTTGTTGTCTCATGGCTGTGGAAAACTAGGACGTGGACACACAGAGGATGAGGTTCAGAGTGAAAGTTTAATAGGCAAAATAAAGAGAAGAGATCTCTGCGGTAGAGAGGGATCCCTGAGAAGTGCGTTGCTGCTTCCAGGGTGAAATGCAGGAGGTTTTATAGATAAGCTTGAGGAGGTGGCATCTGATTTACATAGGGCACGAGAGATTGGTTGGACCAGTGTGTCATTTGCATAGAGCATGAAAAACTGGATAGTGCTAGGTGTGCCATCTGCATAGGGTGCGAATTTCTCATATGATGTGGTTTGGGTCTATGTCCCTGCCCAAATCTCACGTTCAATTGTAATCCCCAACGTTGGAGGTAGGGCCTGGTGGGAGGTGATTGAATCATGGGGGTGGATTTCCCGCTTGGTACTGTCCCTAATCTTTTTTTATGCAGATGGGTTATCTACCTGGCCGGCACCATGTTGCCCATTTCTTTACTGTACACGTGGTGACAAAGAAAAGGGAAGATGGAGCCTCCATGTTGAACATGCCTGGCCCCCAGGTAGCCCTTTTCTATTGGCACAGCTGCCGGCATTCACCTGTGCAAGCTTCCCCCTTGCTTTTCTATGTCTGCAGCTTGATTTTACAGGCTGCTCTTTGTTAGAAAAGAAATGATTTGGAGGCCGCTTTTTTTTTGTAAAAAGGGAAATTCCTCCAAGGACTCTTACTATCACTATCTGCCTAAATAATTTCTTTCTATGTTCTGAATCACCACGAGAGGGTAGAGCAGACATTTGAACTCAGGCCCTGTGCTCTTAAACATGACATGATATCTTACCTAAGCGGTGGATGTAGACAGATGATTTTCCATGTGATGGGGTCAACACAACACCCAGAAATGGGCTATCGTCACCCTGCTTTTGTTAGGACTCAATACATACCCATTATCAAAACTCTTTTTTTTTTTTTTTGAGATGGAGGCTTGCTCTGTTGCCCAGGCTGGAATGCAGTGGCATGATCTCAATGATCTCAGTTCACTGCAACCTCTGCCTCCTGGGTTCAAGTGATTCTCCTGCCTCAGCCTCCCATGTAGCTGGAATTACAGGCACGTACCACCAAGCCTGACTAATTTTTGTATTTTTAGTAGAGACAGGGTTTCACCATGTTGGTCAGGCTGGTCTCGAACTCCTGACCTCATTATCCGCCTGACTCGGCCTTCAAAGTGCTGGGATTACAGGCGTGAGCCACCGCGCCTGGCCATCAAAAGTCTTTTTTATTGCTCTGTAATAGTTATACATATTTATGGGCTACATGTGACATTTGATATATTGTATAATGTGTAATGATCAAATCAGGGTAATTAGAATATCCATCACCTCAAACATTTATCATGTCTTTGTTTTGGGAACTTTCCGGTTCTTCTCTTCTAGCTATTTTGAAATATACAATGAATTATTGTTAACAGTAGTCACTCTACTGTGCTATCAAACACTAGCACTTATTCCATCTGTAACTGTATTTTTGTACCTATTAACCAACCTCTCATCCCTGTCCTTCCACCCTTCTCAGCCTCTGGGAATCATCACTCTACTTTCTTCCTCCATGAGATTGACTTTTTAAGCATATGAATGAGAACCTGCTATTATTGAAGTCTTTGACAGCACAAGTAATTGCTGGAGACCCAGATATTCAGTACACACATGTATGTGGAACTATGAATGTGAACACATACACACACACATGTACACATGCACCCATATGCAAGCACACAGATATGATAAAAGGACTGATATGGTTTGGGTCTGTGTCCCTGCCCAAATCTCACGTCCAGTTGTAATCCCCAACGTTGGAGGTGGGGCCCGGTGGGAGGTGATTGAATCATGCAGGTGGATTTCCTGCTTGGTACTGTGTCGTGCTAGAGAGTGAACTCTCGTGAGATCTGGTTGTTTAAAAGTGTGTAGCATCTTCCCCCCGCCTCTTCCTTCTGCTCTGGCTATGTACGGTGAGTCTGCTTTTCCTTCTTCACCTTCTGCTGTGATTGTAAGTTTCCTGAGGCTTCCCCAGAAGCCGAGCAGATGCCAGCGCCATGCCTTGTGTACAGCCTGCAGAACTGTGAGCCAATTAAACCCCCTTTCTTTACAAATTACCCTGTCTCAGGTATCTCTTTATAGCAATGCAAGAACTGACTAATACAAGGACAAAACCACAAAGCCACAGAAGCAAGGGCCAATGATGCAGCTCTGCAGAAAAGACACACTGATTTCCCCCTAGTCCTTCAGCCCAAAAGAATTATTTTGTAGAAATCCAGGCTGGATGCAGTGGCTCATGCCTGTAATCCCAGCACTTTGGGAGGCCGAGGAGGGTGGATCACCTGAGGTTAGGAGTTCGAGACCAGCCTGGCCAATATGGTGAAACCCCATCTCTATTAAAAATACAAAAATTAGCCAGGCATGGTGGCACATGCCTGTAATCCCAACTACTTGGGAGGCTGAGGCAGGAGAATCACTTGAACTCAGGAGGTGGAGGTTGCAGTGAGCTGAGATCGCGCCACTGCACTCTAGCCTGGGTGATGGAGTGAGACTCTTGTCTCTAAATAAATAAATAAATAAATAAAAGAAAAAAAAAGGAAATAGAAATCCTTGTTAAACTTCATTCCAAATGATGGAGGCTCAGCTTGACTAAGGCAACATGAAGCTGATTGACTGAATATGTCTTGAGAAGCATTTCTGAGCTGGGCTCTGTGTTGAGTGGGCCCTTTCACAGACGTTATAATATGCAAACATCCGCAATGTCATTTCTCCATGAGAACCATTATTTCCATTTTATAGTTGGAGAGACTGAGGGCTCAGGCCAGTGTCCTTAGGTCATGGAACTGTGAAAGGAGTATAAAATCTTGGGACCCCAAACTCACTATGCCAAAGGGAAAGTTAAGCTTGGGAAACTGAGTCATGCAAACACAGCTTTCCCTTTGTCCACAAACAGAGCTGTAATTTCACACGCTCACTTTATCTTGTATAAAATGTAGATCCACTCAGAGCTAGATGAATGCATAATTGACCCCCTGACCCTGTTGTCTCTTTTCACATGTAATATGTAAATTCAGTGAGGGCTGATCAAAGCCTCACAGGAATATCGCCACCTGTCACCCCCCATCTGCCCTCCCCTTTTCTTCTTTCCTCCTTCCCTTCCTGCCTGCTCTTTCCTCTTTAATTTTTTTTTTTTTTGAGACAGAGTCTTGCTGGGTTGCCCAGGCTGGATTGCAATGGTGCGATCTTGACTCACTACAACCTCTACCTCCCGGGTTCAAGCGATTCTCCTGCCTCAGCCTCCCCAGTAGCTGGGATTGCAGGTGCCTGCCACCACGCCTGGTTAATTTTTGTATTTTTAGTAAAGATGGGGTTTCACCATGTTGGCCAGGGTGGTCTCGAACTCCTGACCTCAGGGGATCCACCCCTCTCAGCCTCCCAAAGTCCTGAGATTACAGGCATGAGCTACTGCACCCAGCCCCCTTTAACTATTAAGGTCCTCAGAATCCTCTTTGAAGAATGCACAGGCCACAGATCCTACTGTAACTTTTGTCTGTTTTTCCTGGGTGTGTCCTCAACTGTGGCAAAATAAACCTCTAAATCGATGGAGACTTGTCTCAGACACTTTTTGGTTTACGGAGCTGGCAAGGGACAGAGACAGGATTTCAACCAACAACTCCTGAATTCCAGTTCACTATTCCTTCCAGAATAATAGACACCACTTCCCACATATGCTCTGAGGATACTGATTGTGACAAATTGGCTTACTAATATTAATCTGCTGTGTTTCACGTGACTGTTGAGAGCTGGCAGATCTCTTTGTCTAATTCCTCTTCTGAGTACAAGATCCCAATTAGCGCCCTGGCCTCAGCCCTCATTCTTCTCCCATCAGGAACTCCAGCTGAGCTCTTCACACACCATTCATAGCCTGCCCCGTGGAATCAGTTTTCTCCTATCTGCTCCTTTCCCCGCCTCTTCCAGAAGCTGCCAGTCATGTGGGCTTTCATTCATTGCTTCCAGGGATGGAAAGAGACAATATAATCGCTCCCTCTACACCTGTCAGGTAGAGGCTGCATTAGGCAGCTTGTTTGAGCTTGTTTTTAGTTCCAATCAAAGTGATTGAAACAGATGTACCTCGTGGGTCTTATTAAACGGCAGGGAAAATTACTCATCAGGCATCTGACTTGTTCCATGAATTCTCTGTATGCAGACAACGCTGCCTTTCTCCCCTTAAATAAACAAGTGTTTAGTTTGCTGATCAATAGTTAAGATTGGGCTGGCTGGAGGAGAATCCGTTTAATCACAGACACAGAATGGCAAACGGCCTATTGCAATGCTCCCCTGCTAAGATTTTAGGAGTAATTTTTCCCTTTGACAGAGAGAAACATTATCTGCTTCTCATTCATTTGCTTATTTATTTGTTTATTCAATAAATATTGACTGGGCACCTACCCCATCACGTGCTGAGTCCGGCGTTAGGTGTTAGGAATGTTTTAGTAATGGATTTGACAGGAGCCCTGCTTCCGGGAAGCCCACAGTCTGGAGGAACATAGAAATAAATTCACAAACAATTGCAGTAGAAGTAAATGGATAACAGACTGCTCATTCAAGCCCTGTTTATGGATATGGGTCATGGAGACAGCTTCTAAAGTGGCTCTCGATGCTGTCTACCTCCTGACATCCATGCCCACGTGTGATCCCCTGCCCTTGAGTCAGGGCTGGACCTATGACTTGCTTCTAATAAACAGAATATGGCAAAAATGATGGGATGTCACTTCCAAGATTTGGTAACTGTTGTGGATTGAATTGTGTCTGCCCGGAAAAGATAGGTTGACGCCCTAACCTCTAGTATCTTAGAATGTGACCTTATTTGCAAATAGCATCTTTGCAGATGTGGTCAAGAGAAAGTCATTAGGGTGGGCCCTAATCCAGCATGACTGGAGTCCTTACAAAAGGGACATCTGGGGCTCAGCATAGTGGTTCATGCCTGTATTCCCAGCACTTTGGGAGGCCAAGGTGAAAGGATCACTTGTGGCCAGGAGTTCAAGACCAGCCTGGGGAACATGTCATGATGTGGTCTCTACAAAAAATAAAAATAAAAATAAAAAATAGCCAAGCATGGTGGTGCATGCCTGTAATCCCAGCTACTTGGGAGGCTGAGGAGGGAGGGTCACTTGAGCACAGGAGTTTGAGGTTGCAATGAGCTATGATGGTGCCTCTGCACTCCAGCCTGGGTGACATAGCGAGACCTCGTCTCTCAAAAAAGGGGGAGATTTGGACACAGAAGTTGATATTGAAACTGAAACATCCTTCCTACCTCAGCGTCCCGAAATGCTGAGATTACAGGTGTGAGCCACATGCTTGGTCAGAATCTGCATTTTTTTTTTTTTTTTTTTTTTAGACAGGATCTCACTCTGCGCACAGGATGAGTGCAGTGGTACAATCACAGCTCATTGCAGCCTCAAACTCCTGGGCTCAAGCAATCCTCCTGCCTCAGCCTCCTGAGTATTAATAGCTGGGACGACAGGCATTTGCCACCACGTGTGGTTAATTTTTTGTATTTTTTGTGGACACTGGGTTTCACCTTGTTGCCCAGGCTGGTCTAGAACTCCTGAGCTCAAGGGATTCTTGTGCCTTGGCCTCCCAAAGCACTGAGATTACAGGCATGAGCCACTGCATCTGGCTGGAATCTACATTTTAACAAGCATTTCAGCCTATTTAGATGTAGGGGCTCTCAGATAGCACTTTGAGAAACTGTGCTGTGCAGGGTGGGTACGAGAATGAGAAGCCAGAGGCATGGAGCCTGGAGAGGTGGGACAAGCCTTTTTTTTTTTTTCTTTTTTTGGGACAGAGGCTTGCTCTTTCGTCCAGGCTGGAGTGCAGTGGCACGACCTTGGCTCAGTGCAACCTCCGCCTCTTGGGTTCAAGTGATTCTCCTGCCTCAGCCTCTTGAGTAGCTGGGATTACAGGTGCCTGCCACCATGCCCAGTTCATTTTTATATTTTTAGTAGAGACGGGTTTCACCATGTTGGCCAGGTTGATCTCGAACTCCTGACCTCAGGTTATCTGCCCGCCTGAGGTTATCTGCCTTGGGCCATTTGAGTATGATTTTCTACCTCTAAGGCCTAGGCAGGAACCTTTGTTGTATCATTCTCATTACATGTAGATATCTGGATTGACCACATGGAGGAACTGGAAGGAGGTGTAGAACTAGAAACCATGTCAAGGGGGAGTGAGTCCTGCTTCAGGTTTGAAAAAGTTAAACATATTCAGAATGGATACGGATGCAACATAAAATGATAGGAATTTACTGTAGGAGGTGATTAAGTCATGAGGGTGAAGGGGGAGTAGTGCCCTTATAAGAGGCACCCCAGAGAGCTCTCTAGCTCTCTTTCTGTTGTGTGAGGATATAAGGAGAAGGCAGCAATTTGCAAACCAGAAACTGGGCCCTCACCAGACACCAGCCTGCTGGCACTGTGATCTTGGACTTCCCAGCCTCTAGAACTGTGAGAAATAAATATTTGTTGTTTAAGCCACCCAGTCTATGGTAATTTGTTATAGCTGCACAAATGGAGTAAGCTACTACCCAATGTCCAATCTCTTCTTCTTTAGTTACAGAGCTATATTTATTTTATTTTATTTTATTTTTGAGATGGAGTCTCACTGCCACCCAGGCTAGAGTGCAGTGGCGTGATCTTGGCTCCCTGCAAATTCCACCAGCCAGGTTCAAGTGATTCCCTGCGTCAGCCTCCTGAGTAGCTGGATTACAGGCATGGGCCACCACACCCAGCTAATTTTTCTATTTTTGGTAGAGACAGGGTTTCACCATGTTGGCCAGGCTGGTCTGTAACTCCTGACCTCAGACGATCTACCCGCCTTGGCCTCCCAAAGTACTGGGATTACAGGCATGAGCCACTGTGTCCAGCCAGAGCCCTATATTTTTGAAGGTAGGTCTTGCTTGGCTAAAAATTCTTATTTCTCAATCTCCCTGGTGATGGGGTTTCCAATGAGATTGAATCAGAAATTATCAGGTGGGAATTTGGAAAAGCTCTTTAAAGGGGGTGTTTTGCTTCCCCACTACCTCATCTTCTTTCTTCCTGCCTGAAGCATGGGCATGATGCCTGGGGCTCCATTTCTGACTATGGGATAATCTCCAGGATAAAAGCCATTCATTAAAGATGCTGGGACAGAAACACTGGAGAAGGCTAGGCGTGGATGGTTTTATGGAATCATCACAACTTCCATAGACTGCCTTCCTTTGGACTTTTTTATAGGAGAAAAAGAAAAATCTCAATTTTGTTTATGAGCCAGTGTTACTTCATGTCTCTGTTGCTGGCATATTAGTCAGAAACAATATTAAATAAATGCAAACACTTTACACAATGCCCAGCCCCTTGTAAGCATTTACTAAATGGTACCTGTCATGATTGTGGTCATAGTGGTAGTGATGGTTATAATAAGCTTGGCATAAACTGCTTTGAGCTCGTAAAGCCCTGGTATTGCTTTTCCTGGCTTAGAGCCTCTGGTTCAATTTCAGATACACAAACTCAAATGATTACCAGCAAGGTTTCCTTAGTTCTTCCATCATGGTGCATTCCACATTCATCTTTAACCTATTCCTAATGTAGTCCTTTATTCTGGAAGTATCATCGGCTCCATTTTGCAGGTGAGAAACGGAAGCTCAGGGAAGCGAATTTACTACTCAGACAACGTCATGCAACAGTGAATGATGCATTGAACCCAGGACCAACCTGTTTTCTTGAAGCTAGAATGATAGCGCGGAGTGTTGTAAAGAAAATAACACTGAGTTTGCAGGTCGACAGATCTGTGTGTTAATCTTGGCACTGGTGCTTCCCAGTTGTGTGACTTTGGATAGTGAGCTCTTTTTTTTTTCTCCTTTTTTTTTGTGATGGAGTTTCACCCTAGTGTGAGTTCATCATTTTTTTAAGCCTCAGTTTCTCACCTGTAAAACGGGGGCAATAAATACAGCACAGATTACTACCTAATATGAGTGAAGTGCCCAGTCCAGGAGCTGACACAGGACAGGCACCTGAGAAAAGGTGGTCTGTGCTACTTTGTCCCCCCCTTCAGGATTTACAGGAACCACAGAAGATCACCCCGTCAGAAGAGTGTGAACCAGAGCAACTCCATCTTGAATAGGGGCTGGGTAAAATGGGGCTGATACCTACTTGGCTGCATTCCCAGATGGTTAAAGCATTTCAGGTCACAGGATGAGATAGGAAGTCAGCACAAGATACAGGTCATAAAGACCTTGCTGATAAAACAGGCTGCAGTAAAGAAGCTGGCCAAAACCCACCAAAACCAAGATGGTAACGAGAGTAACCTCTGGTCGTCCTCACTGCTACACTCCCACCAGCGCCCAGACAGTGTACAAATGCCATGGCAACATCAGGAAGTTACTTTATAGGTCTAAAAAGGGGAGCCATGAATGATCCACTCCTTAATTAGCATATCATCGACAATTAACCATAAAAATGGGCAACTAGCAGCCCTCAGGGCTGCTCGTCTATGGAGTAGCTATTCTTTTATTACTTTACTTTCTTAATAAACTTGCTTTCACTTTACTCTATGGACTTGCCACGAATTCTTTCTTGCATGAGATCCAAGAACCCTCTCTTGGGGTCTGGTTCGGGACCCCTTCCCTGTAACAACCCCACTTGGATATATTAATTATGGGTAGGGGATGACCTTCACATGGTCACAGCCTGTCAATCCAAACTGATCAGTAAAGCCAAAGATGGTTCTAAGGCCCCTTTCTCTATCTAGTGTGGCCAGAAATCCTTCAAGGCAGCTGCCTGAATTTTGTCAGGCTGATGGTTAATCTGTTTCCCTTGGGAAGACGGCCTTAGTGGTCTGCTAAGGTGCCATTTGCAGGAATAATTGGTTTGACAATAGACACACTAAGAGAAGCATCTCTGAATCCTCTGCCTACAGCCTGGGTTCCTATCACTCAGGCTCCTGGGAGCTCCCTCTCATTCCCTAAGCCAAATAGATGACACCAAGGAGAGAGAGAGAAATCTTTGAAGTGGAAGAAGGCACTTGGACTAATGGCATAATTACTCCAGATAATCATTTGCAAAGTAATTATGGACTATTGTTAGGATGCTCTATCATTTTTTTTAAAGTAATAAGGCTTTGGTTTGAGTGAGTGATTATGGGGAAAAAAGGCAATAATATGTGTGTACATTTCAACAGGAGAGAAACACTTTTCATGGCCCTTTTCACAAACCAGCATGCCCACTTTCCTGCCTCCCTAGTGCAACACCAGAAATTAACCCAGAACCCCCTCAATGGGCCCCAGTGGGCATCGCTGCATCCTCTGCCCTGCTTTGAACATCTCTGGTATTCAAATGCAATTTTGAGAAACACTGGCTATAGAACAATTTCCTAAGAAATGCATTTCCCACGAGGACAGGAAGATTTGAGGCCACGTTGTCAATGTAATGAAGCCAGGAGCCTTCAATGTGGGAAAGTTCTGGAGCTGCTCTCATGGGCACTTCAGACCAGAGCTGGGCTTCCCTAACTTCTGGCCCACCTGGTAGGATGTCTGTGGGTTCCCATCTCTCATTGTGGGCCCCACGGCTCCCTTGCACCCAGCCTACTGCCTCTGCTTAGTTGGGCCGTGGGTAGCTAATTGAGATACATATCACAATTTTAACTTTTAAAATATCATATAGTTTTACATTAGGATAAATGGGGTACATAGAAAGGCTGTAACAGAGCGTTATTCTCTGCCTACACTGAGCACACTGGTTATGTCCAGCTGACATCCTAGAGACGACTTCAGGGATGCATGGGAAGCAGGGGCCGAGATTGAGGTTGCTCTTTCTAGATGGAAATTCAGTCTAAAGATGAAGGTGATAGAGGAGCAGGGAGCTGGAAGGACTGAGATTTGGGTGGGTCCATCCAGGCCCTCCCTGAGTTGGGCCCCTCGATCCCAGAGGAAGCAGGGAACCATTCAGGCAGCCTGGCACAGAGCCGGTAACAATTGTCACTAATTATAGCTCCTGTTTCCTGAGTTTCTGGAAAGGCCAAACCCATTCTCATTTATAGCTCCTGTTTCCTGAGTTTCTAGGAAGGCCAAACCCATTCTCATTTGATCTCAGTGACAAAGGAACAGCGAGCCAGAGAGGGAAGGGATTTGCCCAAGGCCTCCCTGCCTCTCAAAAAAGAACTTTCACTTGAGGAGAGACAGCAAAGCCAGGGTTGCACAGAAGTCAGATGTCCTGTACTCTTGCCTCACGGTGTTGCTGAGCTGAGGGACCTGGGTCACGTGGGGCAGCCTGCAGATTCCTAGGAGGGGCTCTGTGGACATCATCTTTTGGTTCTGTCTGGGGCTGGCTTTTGCAGTCAGGTGGCCCACTAGCCACAGAACTGGATTCTTGTAATAGGACTGAACTGGGGCTCACTTACCTGGTGCAGTAAAACTAGATATCCACACTGAGGTTTTTGCAACAATAGCGTAAACTAGCAATACAATTCTGAGTCCCCCAACCAACTGAACGAACCCCCTCCTGGCTGAGGGGATCCTAAGAAAATCTGAAAAACTAGTTCAGCCCATGAGGTGAAGGGGAGGTCCAATATGCACTGTTTTACCCCCTCCCTTTGGAGTTTAGGCACAACTGACCAGCACTAACATTAAAATAGAGATAATGAAACCACAAAACAGACTCTGTGGCAATAAGATACCAAATTCCAACCTGATCTGGTATAGCATCACATGACAAATAGCAGGCCCTAAAGGAAATCAAATATATTTCTTTAACATATTTTGAAATGGTTCTGCAAAGCAGTCTCTAGTGGGGGAAGTCTACATTCTGTAAAGAATCTGCTTCCTGGGCCAGGCACGGTGGCTCATGCCTGTAATCCCAGCACTTTGGGAGGCCAAGGCCAGCACATCATGAGGTCAGGAGATCGAGATCATCCTGGCTAACACGGTGAAACCCCGTCTCTACTAAAAATACAAAAAATTAGCCAGGCGTGGTGGCGGGCGCCTGTAGTCCCAGCTACTCAGGAGGCTGAGGCAGGAGAATGGCGTGAACCCGGGAGGCGGAGCTTGCAGTGAGCCAAGATTGCGCCACTGCACTCCAGGCTGGGTGACAGAGCGAGTCTCCGTCTCAAAAAAAAAAAAAAAAAAAAAAAAAGAATCTGCTTCCTTTTCTAGGTCTTTTTTCTGATCAAGGAGATATTTAGCTAAGAGTCTGACACCATTTAAGATCTGAAAAGAGATATTTACCATCTATTTTCTCTGAAGCCTGTTACTTAGAGGTGTCATCTACGTAACAAGAACCTTGGCTTCCATAACCCCTGTTATCTTAACTCAAGCATTTCTTTATGCTGACTTCAACTCTTAGGCAAAGCTTAACTCTTTCAACCAATTGCCAATTAGGAAATCTTTGAATCCACTTATGACCTGGAAGCCCTGCTCCACACCCTCAAGATATCCTGCTTTTTCAGCCCACACCAATATATACTTTCCATGTATTGATTTATGTCTTTGCCTGTAGCTTCTCTCTCCCTAAAATGTATAAAACCAAGTTGTAACCCCACCATCTTGAGCACATGTTCTCAGTACCTCTTGAGACTGTGTTCCAGGCCATAATCACTCATATTTGGCTCAGAGTAAACCTCTTCAAATATTTTACAGAGTTTGGCTTTTTTCATCAACAATTGAAAAGAAAGCATGTATTGCAAGACACCAAGCAAGGAGAATTGGGTAGCTCATACTTAAGACCTGACCTCCCCAATGGCTTGCAGGCAAGAGTTTTTAAAGGCAGAGATAAATTTTAGGAAAGTAGAAGCTACAGGCAAAATCATAAATCAATACATGGAGGTTACACATTGGTTTAAGCTTAAAAGTGTGGGATATCTTGAAGCGGGGGCTTACAGGTTGTAGATAGACTCAAAGATTTTCTGATTTGCAATTGGTTAAGATAGAGAAGCTTTGTTTAAAAATTTAAAGTCGACAGAAAAAAGAAAGTTAGCTTTCAAGGGGGATTGACTTTCCTCAAGCCCCTCAGGAAGAAACTTATAATAAAGAGTGATAGTTAAGGTTTGGTCTTCACTTTCCCCTTATCTGGGGTCTAGTGCCAGCTGATCTGTTCCACAGGGTTCTCTAGTGGGGGTCCAAGCCACTGAAAATCAACTCAGGGACATACATTAAGATGTTATTGTCAGAGGTGTGTAAACCAGAGTAACTCCATCTTTTTTTTTTTTTTTTGAGATGGAGTCTCACTCTGTCACCCAGCCTGGAGTGCAGTGGCGCAATCTCGGCTCACTGCAAGCTCCGCCTCCTGGGTTCACACCATTCTTCTGCCTCAGCCTCCCAAGTAGCTGGGACCACAGGTGCCTGCTACCATGCCCAGCTAATTTTCTGTATTTTTAGTAGAGACGGGGTTTCATCTTCTTAGCCAGGATGGTCTCGATCTCCTGACCTTGTGATCCACCTGCCTTGGCCTCCCAAAGTGCTGGGATTACAGGTGTGAGCCACCTCGCCCGGCCAGCAACTCCATCTTGAATGGGGCTGGATAAAATGAAGCTGAGAACTACTGGGTTGCATTCCCAGACAGTTAAGGCATTCTAAGTCACAGGATGAGATAGAAGTTCACCACAAGATACAGGTCATAAAGACCTTGCTGATAAAACAGGCTGCAGTAAAGAAGCTGGCTAAAACCCACCGAAATCAAGATGGCCATTAGGGTGACCTCTGGCCATCCTCACAGCTACACTCCCAACAGCACCATGACAGTTTACAAATGCCATGGAAATGTCAGGAAGTTCCCTTATATGGTCTAAAAAAGGGAGGCACAAATAATCCATCCTTTGTTTAGCATATAATCAAGAAATAACTATAAAAATGGGCAACCAGCAGCCCTCAGGGCTGCTCTGTCTATGGAGTAACCGTTCTTTTATTCCTTTACTTTCCTGATAAACTTGCTTTCACTTTACTCTATGGACACGCCCTGAATTCTTTCTTGTGTGAGATCCAAGAACCCTCTTTTGGGGTCTGGATGGAGACCCCTTTCCTGTAACATTATCTTTACTTTTTTAAATCAAAAATAAAATTCTAAGCACCACCAACTATCTGAATGAACCCCTCCTTTCAGCCAAGGGCATTCCAAAGTTAACCTGAAAAACTAGTTCAGGCTATTATGGGAATGGGGAGCTTAACATGACTCATTATATCTTCCTCTTTTTTAGAATTTACACATGGCTGACCAGCGTTAACATCAACACAAAGGCCTTAGGACTGATAGAACAGACTCTTTAAGTTGGATAAGGAACATTTACAATCTGTTCTCTCTGAAGCCTGCTACCTGGTGGCTTCATCTACGTGATGAAACCTTGGTCTCCACAACTCCTTACTGTAACTCAGACATTCCTTTCTATTGATTCCAGGTCTTTGGATATGAACTCAACTCATTGCCAATCAGAAAATCTTTGAATCTGCCTATGACCTGAAAGCTCCTGCTTCCAGTTGTCCTGCCTTTCTGGACCAAACCAAGGTACATGTTACATGTGTTGATTGGGGTCTTATGTCTCCCTAAATGTATTAAACCAAGCTGTAACCCAGCCACCTTGGGACATGTCATCAGGACCTCCTGAGGCTGTGTTATGGGCATGTCCTTAACCTTGGCAAAATTAACTTCCAAATTGATTGAGACTCATGTCAGATACTTTTTGGTTTACAGTTTCCATAGGGAATGCAAATGTCTGTAGAACTTCAGCTTCCTTGGTTATATTCGTTTAGGCTACTCTTACCTTCTTATTTAACAAATTACTTATTTACTTCTGGGGCTAGCAAGGTGCCTGGAATTTCCCTTGAGAGAACTTCCTCAAGCATGGAGATTTTCCTTAATCTCCATGCTTGAGGTCTGCAGGCTCCTAAAAGAAAAGGGGATCCCTGCTGTTTCACTCTCATCAGAGAAAGATGGTCACTTTCTGTGAAAACAGAAGAAGGGCGTGAACCAGGGTGGTAGTTGATCAGGATCTCACGCTGGGTCACAGATGACTCTGTTAAAAGAGGCAGCTATGCCATTGTCTGGATTCCGGATAGCTGAGATGAAGGCATCATTGCAAGTGAATTAAACAGTTGTTTCTGGCCTTAGGCTGCCTGGGATTTTACTCTACTTAGCTGTGACATCTTGAGCAAGTTAACCTCTTCAAGATGTGGAGTCCTAATTAGGAAGGGGGAGTTGGGCTGGCAGGACCAAGGGAAAGCAAAAAGAGAAAGACCATAAGCTATAAGTCCGCCTTTCTTCATGGTCCAGAACACATAGGCCTGCTGTGCAAATAACCCACAATCTTCCTGCACCCAGCTATCACCAGACCCTTGGCTGATGAAAAATGCAAGTTAATTCACTGCAGCCTTGGCATTATCAGACTGTACAAAGCCCTCTTCACCACACAGCACAAGCACCATTCCATAAAATCGTCAGCAAGCCTTTGTCATCTCTTTGCAGTCAGCCCCCATCTTGCTGACCTGCCCATTGCTTCCTTGCAATGTATTTTCATACTTTCTCTAATAAATCTGCTTTTGTTTACCTGTGACTGTCTTGGGAGATTCTCTTACTGCCCACACGACACTGGCCTCAGATAGTCACTATCTGCAACACAAGAGTTTATTTCTCATCTGTAAAGTGGCTCCAGTAACTTGATTTGGGGGGATTAATGAGCTAATCCAGGTAATATACTTGGCACAGTGCCTATATATTAAGCTCAGAAACATTGGCTGCTATTCTGAAGATAATTATTGTTATTGAGAGCTGGGGCTCTGGAATGAGACCCACTTGAGTTCCACTCTTGGCTATTGTATTTATTAGTTGTGTGATCTTGGACTAGTCATTACCTCCACAAGCATAAAATGTGGGTAATAATAGGTGTAGCTACTTCATAGAGTTAAGAAGATTAAGTGTGTTAATCCACTTAATGTGCTCAGCACATACTATATTATTATTTATCTCTACGTTCAGCTGTGAGTTTATCCATAGGTAGAGGAGGTGCCTGCTTTTTGGTACTAAACTGGGAAGGGGTGCAGACTTGTTTAAGGCTTGTTAGAGAGTAGTTGTAAGCTAACAGGTGGAAGGGCATGTGTCCCGGATCTGCTGGCTCCAAAACTGAAGCTTCCCACTGCCCAGTGCTTCCTCCTTGGGCTGGGTGCTAGGGGACTCTTCAGAAGATAGCAACCGCCTGTTTCATTGCACAGCTGTGGTGGGTGCGGCTCCAGCCTCAGCTCCTTCAGGACAGGGCAGATGCTTGGTTCATCTTTGCATCTATTCAGCTCAGACTGTGGAATGTAGTAATACCTCAGTGAATTGCTCTGAGTTGATTATAAGCCAAGAGACAAAGGTGAACATCCGAGATGGCATATTGTTACCAGAAAGGGGTCTCAATGCAGACCCCGAGAGAGGGTTCTGGAATCTTTTGTTTTGTTTTTTGGATTCTCAAATCTTGCCCAAGAAAGAATTTGGGGCAAGTCCACAGAGTACAGTGAAGGCAAGTTTATTAGGAAAGTAAAGGAATAAAAGAATGGCTACTCCATAAACAGAGCAGCCCCAAGTGCTGCTGGTTGCCCACTTTTACAGTTATTTCTTGATTATATGCTAAATGGGGGTGGATTACTCATGAGTTTTTTGGGAAAGTGGTGGATAATTCCTGGAACTAAGGGTTTCTCCCCTTTTTAGAGCTTATGGGTAACTTTTGGACGTTGCCATGGCATGTGTAAACTGTCATGGCACTGGTGGGCATATTTTTTAGCATGCTAATGTATTATAATTAGTGTATGGTGAGCAGTGAGGATGACCAGAGGTTACTTTGGTCGCCATCTTGGTTTTGGTGGGTTTTGGCCGGCTTCTTTACCACAGACTGTTTTATCAGCAAGGTCTTTATAACCTGTATCTCATCCTGTGACTTAGAAGGCCTAACCTCCTGGGAATGCAGCCCAGTGGGTCTCGGCCTTCTTTTACCGAGCCCCTATTCGAGATGGACTCTTGTTCAAACACCTCTGACAATATGATCAAGTTCCACGTTGTATGGGACAGATAATTTGAATAGAAATAGTCCAAAGGATAGGGCTGGAATCATCAGCAGAGCTCTCTGGAGGAGTTGAACTGAGCTGTTCCTTGAATGATGGACCTGCTTTAAAAAGGACATGGGGAAATGGGGACAATTTCTGGGTTGGGAGGCAACGTGGTCAGTGTGACTGCAATGTGCTGGAGGGAGCAGAAAGGGGCCAGTTTTGTTGGAGCAGGATGTGTGTGTTAGAGGTGAGGGTAAGGGAGGAGACCACCCCTCATATTGTCTTATGCCCAATGTCTGCCTCCAAAGAAAGAAGAAGTAAAAACTAAAAGGCAGAAATGAAATCCACAGGCAGACAGCCCAGTGCCACACTGTGGGCCTGGTAGTTAAAGATCGACCCCTGACCTAATCGGTTATGTTATCTATAGACAGATCTGTTCAAAAGTCACATTGTATAGAAAAGCACTGTGAAAATCCCTGTCCTGTTCTGTTCCGTTCTAATTACCGGTGCATGCAGCCCCCAGTCACGTACCCCCTGCTTGCTCAATCGCTCACTACCCTCTCACGCAGACCCCCTTAGAGTTGTAAGCCCTTAAGAAGGACAGAAATTGCTCACTCGGGGAACTCAGTTGTTGGAGACATGAGTCTTGCTGAAGCTCCTGGCCGAATAAAGCCCTTCCTTCTTTAACTCGGTGTCTGAGGGGTTTTGTCTGCAGCTTGTCCTGCTACAAAGGGGCGATGACAGGCCTTGAGAAGGGGATAGGAGTTTGAGCTCAATGTGGTAGCCTACCAAGAGATGCAGAAAGTTTCGGAGGTGGAATGACCTCTGATGAGTATCTTGAAGGTTGACTTGGTGGCTGTTGTGCAGGTTGCAGGTGTGGGCAGGGGAGCAATGCCTGGAAGCAGCCACATTTGCTGGTGCACCCCAGCACTAAGCGTGCAATCTGGTGCCTTGCAGAGCTGCCCTCAGCCTCTTGTCTGACTTGAGCATCCCGGGAGATTATGCAGTCTGCGTTGTGTTGCAAAGTGGTGCAGTCACTTAACCATGACCCACAGATTAAGTCACCTATTGTGTCGAGTAATGAGGCATTCTCAGAGGCCTTTATGCAAGCAAATAGAATATTTACCCAGGTCCCAGGGAGCCTGGGGATACCTTGGGAGCATGAGATGGCTTTGAAGTGGAATCAAATGAAACCCTTAAGCCTCTGAGTAGGACAGATCTGTTCAAAATCACAGCCTGTCAATTTCAAGGACAGACCATTTTCAGTGCAAATAAACTTTCAGCAAGAAGCCTTGGATAGTGAGCCTGCCTGGAGACACAGGGCTGTTTCTCAGTCATTATTTTTTAGGGCAGTGTGGAAAGGACAGGGAAACAGAGAGAGGCAAAGTGGATGGAAAACAGGGCACCTGGGTTCAACGACCTGCACGTTCCCAGTATCAATGTGTGACCTTGAGGAGGCCAGAATCTAATGATAATAAGGCCATGTTAGACTTTGATGTGCTAACTGATTTAATCCTTGAACCACTTTCAGAAATAATTTATTAATGAGTAAGTCAAGATGGGAGGTAAGGGCAACTCGGGGCAATTCTGAAAGGTGGTTCTAGCTTCAGATGGTTGACTGAGGCTGTCAGAGGCATTTGAACCAGAGTGACTCCATCTTGAATAGGAGCTAGGTAAAATAAGGCTGAGACCTACTGGGCCACATTCCCAGGAGGTTAGGTATTCCGTCACAGGATGAGATAGGAGGTCAGCACAAGACACAGGTCATAAAGACCTTCCTGATAAAACAGGTTGCAGTGAAGCAGCGGCCAAAACCCACCAAAACCAAGATGTCAACAAAAGTGACCTCTGGTCGTCCTTACTGCTCATTATGTGCAAATTATAATGCATTAGCATGCTAAAAGACACTCCCACCAGTGCCATGACAGCTTACAAATGCCATGGCAATGCCCGTATGTTACCCTAGATCATCTAAAAAGGGGAAGAACCCTCAGTTCCAGGAATCGCCCACTCCTTTCCTGAAAAATTCATGAATAATCCACCCATTGTTTAGCATATAATCAAGAAATAACTGTAAGTATTATCAGTCGAGAACCCAAGCTACTGCTCTGCCTATGGAATAGCCATTCTTTATTTCTTAATAAACTTGCTTTCACTTTTTAGACTTTCTCTGAATTCTTTCTTGTGTGAGGTCCAAGAGCCCTCTCTTGGAGTCTGGATCAGGGCTCCTTTCAGGTAACAAGGCTGTCATTGGGACAGTGGAAGTAGCCACTGTTGCTTACATCCTAGCTCTTCACAGGTATAGAAAGGAGAACTTCCTCTTCCCCCTACCCTTAACAATTTCCTGTACATCAACTCCATCTCAGAGTCAGCTTGCTGGGGAATCCAACCTGTGACAACGCAGTGAGACAATGTTGAAGCCAGGAGTCATTTATTCCCTCTCTGGGCCCCAGTTTCTCCATATACAAAATGAAAATGGTACATTAGATGAGCAGTTCTCAAAGTGTGTGGCCCATGGACTCCTGACGGTGCCAGAGACACTATCAGGACATGTATGAAGTCCAAATCATTTTTTGCCCAGGCTGATCTCGAACTCCTGAGCTCAAGCAATTCACCTGCCTTGGTCTCCCAAAGTGCTAGGATTACAGGCATGCCCAGCTTAACAGTACTTTGGGAGACTGAGGCTGGTGGATTATGAGGTCAGGAGTTCGAGACCAGCCTGGCCAATATGGTGAAATCCCATCTCTACAAGAATATTAAGGTGTGGTTTGCTGTGTTCACTGAGTTGACATTTGCACTGAATGTGCAAACAATCGTGCCTTAGTGGTGACCTCAAACTGTGCTAGTCTCATGACATTCTTTACCATCATGCATGCACAGTTATAAAAAAAAAAAAGCAAAGCAAAAAAAAAAAAGAGCGAGTTTCACTTGAGAATGTCCTTGACGAAGCAGTAAAAGTTATTGATTTTATTAAATCTCCACCCTTGAGTACACCTCCTTCTACTATTCTGATTGTCCAAATGCATAATAAGGTACAGTGGTTGCCTTGAGAAGAACCTCAGGTGGGATAGTTGGAGATGTAAGTTGAACTAGTCGGCTTTTTCATGGAACACATTTTTAATCGAAGTAACAATTGACAGACAAGCTATGACACACATTTTCTTGGAAATTAACAAAGTGAGCCTGTCACTTCAAGTCAAACAAATCACAGTATTTATTACCAAGGATAAAACTCTAGCTTTTAAGTGAATATTAGATTTTTGGAAAACTTGTATCTGTCACCATGAGCTTGACAGCTTCCCAATACTTAATGACTTTTCTGAGATTGGTGAAGATATTGACAAATATGCTATTTGTTTTGATATTGTATCTTATAGTGTGTCCACATCTTGAAGACCCATGTAACTCAGTGAAGTAGCATATTTCTAATGACCAAAGCATGATGTGACAAACTCATGTTCCAATAAGAGAGCCAAAGGGCAGGTAGATCAATGGGTTTTAATGAAATAGATTATAAAAACTTCATTCATATGTTTCAGATTCTACATTGTATTCAACCTTTTAAAAACTACCTCATGTGGCCAGGCGCAGTGGCTCACACCTGTAATTTCAGTACTTCGGGGGGCCAAGTGGTAGGATTCCTTGAGGTCAAGAATTTGAGACCAGCCTGAGGAACATGGCAAAACCTCATCGCTACAAAAAATAAAAAAATTAGCTGTATTAGTCTGTTTTCATGCTGCTGATAAAGACGTATCCAAGACTGAGAAGAAAAAGAGGTTTAATTGGACTTACAGTTCCACATGGCAGGGGAAGCCTCAGAATCACAGTGGGAGGTAAAAGGCACTTCTGAAATGGCAGTGCCAAGACAGAATGAGGAAGAAGCAAAAGTGGAAACCCCTGATAAACCCATCAGACCTCATGAGACTTACTCACTATCACAAGAATAGCATGGGTAAGACCGGCCTCCTTGATTCAATTACCTCCCACTGCATCCCTCCCACAACACGTGGGAATTCTAGAAGATACAATTCAAGTTGAGATTTGGTGGGGACACAGCCAAACCATATCATTCCACCCCCGGCGCCTCCAAATCTCATGTTTTCACATTTCAAAACCAATCATGTCTTCCCAACAGTCCCCCAAAGTCTTAACTCATTTCAGCATTAACCCGAAAGTCCACAGTCCAAAGTCTCATCTGAGACAAGGCAAGTCCCTTCTGCCTATGAGCCTGTAAAATCAAAAGCAAGCTAGTTACTTCCTAGATACAAGGTGGAGGGAGTTGGGGGGTACAGACATTGGGTAAATACAGCCTTTCCCAATGGGAGAAATTAGCCAAAACAAAGGGGTTACAGGGCCCGTGCAAGTCCAAAATTCAGTAGGGCAGTTAAATTTTAAAACTCCAAAATGGTCTCCTTTGATTCCAGTTCTCACTTCCAGGTCACGCTGAGGCAAGAGGTGGGTTCCCATGGTCTTGGGCAGCTCTGCCCCTGTGGCTTTGCAGGGAATAGCCTCCCTCCCAGCTGCTTTCATGGGCTGGCATTGAGTGTCTGTGGCTTTTCCGGGTGCACGGTGCAAGCTGTTGGTGGATCTACCATTCTGGGGTCTGGAGAACGGGTGCCCTCTTCTCACAGCTCCACTAGGCAGTGCCCCAGTAGAGACTCTGTGTGGGGGCTCCGACCCCACATTTCCCTTCCGCACTGCCCTAGCAGAAGTTCTTCACGAGGGCACCACCCCTGTAGCAAACTTCTGCCTGGGCATCCAGGCGTTTCTATACATCTTCTGAAATCTGGACAGAGGTTCCCAAACCTCAATTCTTGACTTCTGTGCACCTTCAGGTTCAACACCATGTGGAAGCTGCCAAGGCTTGGGGCTTCCACCCTCTGAAGCCACAGCCCGAGCTGTATGTTGGCCCCTTTCAGCCATGGCTGGAGCAGCTGGGACACAGGGAACCAAGTCCCTAGGCTGCACACAGCACGGGGACCCTGGGCCTGACCCACGAAACCATCTTTTTCTCCTGGGCTTCTGGGCCTATGATGGGAAGGGCTGCTGTGAAGGTCTCTGGCGTGGCCTGGAGACATTTTCCCTATGGTCTTGGGGATTAACATTAGGCTGCTTGCTATTTATGCTAATTTCTATAGCTGGCTTGAATTTCTCCCCAGAAAATGGGTTTTTCTTTCCTGTCGCATAGTCAAGCTGCAAATTTTTCCAAACTTTTATGCTCTGCTTCCCTTGTAAAGGTGAATGCCTTTAACAGTACCCAAGCCACCTCTTGCATGCTTTGCTGCTTAGAAATTTCTTCCACTAGATACCCTAAATCATCTTTCTTGAGTTCAAAGTTTTACAGATCTCTAGGGCAGGGGCAAAATGCCACCAGTCTCTTTGATAAAACATAAGAAGAGTCACCTTTACTCCAGTTCCCAACAAGTTCCTTATTTCCCTCTGAGACTATCTCAGCCTGGACCTTATTTTCCATATCGCTGTCAGCATTTTGGGCAAAGCCATTCAACAAGTCTCTAGGAAGTTCCAAACTTTCCCACATTTTTCCTTTCTTCTTCTGAGCCCTCCAAACCTCCAATTTCTGCTTGTTACCCAGTTCCAGAGTCGCTTCCACATTTTCGGATATCTTTTCAGCAATGCCCCACTCCCAGTACCAATTTACTGTATTAGTCCATTTTCATGCTGCTGACAAAGACATACCTGAGATTTGGAAGGAAAAAGAGGTTTAATTGGACTTACAGTTCCGCATGGCTGAGGAGGCTTCAGAATCATGGCAGAAGGTGAAAGACACTTCTTACATGGCAGTGGTAAGAGAGAATGAGGAAGAAGAAAAAGCAGAAACCCCTGATAAACCCATCAGATCTCATGAGACTTATTCACTATCACAAGAATGGCACAGGAAAGACTGGCCCCCATGATTCAATTACCACCCTCTGGGTCCCTCCTACAACACATGGGAATTCTGAAAGATACAATTCAAGTTGAGATTTGCTGGGGACACAGCCAAACCATATCATTAGCTTAGTGTAGTGGCACATGCCTGTAGTGCCTGTGGTGGCACATGCTACTCAGGAGGCTGAGACAGGAGGATCACTTGAACCTGGAAGGTCGAAGCTGCAGTGAGCCATGATTGCCCCACTGTACTCCAGCCTGGGTGGCAGAGTAAGACCCTGTCCCCCCCAAAAAACCAAAAGACCCACCTAATGTTGCATTTTGATTGTAGTATCAAATAATATTCACAATTATCTGTTATTAAATGTTCCCTTTCCTTTTCAACTACATTTTTGTATGAGGCTGGATTTTCTTCATGTACTTTGACCAAAACAACATATCTTAATTCTTCCGAATGCAGAAGCAGGTCTGAGAATCTAGCTATCTTATATTAAGCCTGATAATACAGAGATTTATAAAAATGTAAGACAATGCCACACTTTATTATGATTGTTTAGAAAATACTTGTATTTTAAATAAAAATATGTTATCCATGAGAATACATAATTGATTTGTTATTCTGATTTTAAATAAGTAAACATTTGAAGATATTTTTAGTATAATTTCCAACATAATAAATATCAATAGATAAATAGATATAAGACTTCCTTGAAGTTTGTATTAGTTTTCTATTGCCGCTGTAACAAATGATCACAAATCTAGTAACTTAAAACAACACAAACTTATTATTTTATAATTCTGTAGGTTAGATTTCTGACATAGGTCTCCCTGAGCTGAAATCAAGATAGGGGCAGAGCTGCATTCCTTCTGGAGGTTTTTGGGGAGAATCTGTTTCCTTGCTTTTTCTGGCTTAAAGAGGCCACCTCCATTCTCTAGTTTGTGGCCCCTTCCTCCATTTCCAAAGTGAGCAATGATGCATTTCTTTCTCCCCATAATCACAGCTCCCAATCTGATCCCAGATGGATAAGATTTGTGTGATTAGATTGGGCCCACCTGGATAATCTAGGATAATCTCCCCATTTTCTTACCTTTAAACTCATGTGCAAATTCCCTTTGGCCATGAAAAGTCACATAATCATAGGTTTGGGGGATAAGGATGTTAACTTCTTTGAGGTTTAATTATTCTGCCAACTACAGTCTACCCACTGTCCCTTAAAGATTGATTTCTATCCCACAAAGCAAATTACATTAATTTCATCCCAATATTCCTCAACGTCTCAAACCATTACAACATCGATTCAAAGTCTAAAAATGTCATCTAAATCTCATCAACTCCAAAGTTCCAAATTTCTCCCTCTAAATCAAGTGTGGGTGAAATCCTGAGTACGGTTCTTCCTGGAGCATCACTCCTCTCCATCTGTGGACCTGGGAAATTAGAAAACAAGTTATCTGCTTCCAAAATACAATGGTGGAATGGGCATGGGACAACAGTTATAGACATTCTCATTCCAAAGGGAGAAAGTGGAAGGAAAAATGGAATCACTGATCCTAAGCAATTTTGAAATCCAGCCAGGCAATCACCATTAATTTTCAAGGTTTGGAAACAATTCTTTGTGGTTTGTGGCTCTGTCCTCTGGGTTTATGGCCACCTTTATTCTGCCAACCGTAGGGTCCTTAATTTTTAAGAATGCAAAGGAATCCTGGACACAAGTTTGAGAACTGCTACATTAGATCAGATCCATTAGAGACTGGGTGCCAGGAGAGCTGTTGAGAAGGATCCTGAGGTTGTCTGGATTCAGCTGGAAGGGTGCTTCAATGACTTAGTAATGTCTGCTGTGGTCTTAGCAGGGAGAGTGCTTTGATCAGTTAGTAATGTCTGCTGTGGCCCTGAAGGGACGCAGGCATGGTTACCATTCCTGTATCATCCATAAAGACCCCTCCAGCTTTGTGGGTCTCTGACTCCACAAATACTCTCAGCATATGCTGAATGTTCTCAGAACATTCTGGAAGGACTAATTAATATCACAAGAAAAAGCTGTGCAGTTTCAACTAGGACCAGTGGCCCTTTTAGGCAGAGCTGATCCTGAAAAAAATGATGAGAGAGTTCTATTTTTTGCTATTATTCAAATTTCGGCAGTGTCTCTTCCACCCACAATTTTAGGACCCTGGCATGTTTTGTCACCCCCACTGAAATCTCATTTCATAAAAGTATATGAGAAACTCATTTTTTATTCTATTTTATTTTTTGAGACAGTGCCTAACTCTGTCACCCAGGCTGAAGTGCAGTGGTGTGATCTTGGCTCACTGCAACCTCCACTTCATGGGCTCAAGTGATTCTCCCACCTCAGCCTCCTGAGTAGCTGGGATTATAGGTGCATGCCATCACACCTGGCTAATTTTTGTATTTTTTTTAGAGACAGGGTTTTGCCATGTTGCCCAGGCTGGTCTCAAACTCCTGAGCTCAAGTGATCTACATGCTTTGGCCTCCCAAAGTGCTGGGATTACAGGTGTGAGCCACTGTGCCCCACTTGGATGAACTCAAAGTCAGGCAAATGTACCAGCCTTTCTGGAAGGTTCCACTTTTATTGCAAGACAGTCTTCAGCCAGCAAATTTCAAACCTTTCAAACACATGGCCTCTCTTTTCTGAACATAAAAGTCTTGATCTTCCATTCTGACATGGTTCCTTCAATGGGAGCCATAATATTATCTGAATATGCCTACTAGTCAAGAAAAGCCTGTTAAGCTTTATTTTCTGAAGTCTTTGTTGTGAAAATATTACAAATATGAATAATATTATACATTTTTTACTATGCTTTTTCAAACTCAGCCCCTACAACCTCAAAGTAGCCTAAAAAAGGGTTAGGCTTCTCCTTCCACCCAATCCTAAGTTAAGAATCCCTGTCTAAGTTGTGGCAGAATATATTTTCCAAGATGGTGTCAATAATCTCTCCCATTCCAAATGTTCTTTTAACAGTCGTTTAACATCAATATGATTCACTGAGAGGTGAGGTCTACACTCCTGTCAATGGAATCTGTGTCACATGTGATTATGGAAAAAGTGACACTATGTGACTTCTGGTGCTAGGTCATAAAAGGCAATAAAGTTCCAGCCTTGTCCTGTTGTGATATTCATTCTTGGAGCCCAACCACCATGGAGCAAGGAAGGCCAGGCCACAAGGAGAGACCATGTGTGGGTGCTCCAGTCAACAGCCCTAGCTGAGGTCCCAGTGACAGCCAGCATCAACCACTGATGTTAGTAAACAAGCCTTCAGATCCCCCAGTGGTTGAGGCTTATTTGCTGTGCCCTAGATATCATGGAATAGAGATGAGTTGTCCCCATTGAGTCCTGCCCAAGTTGCAGATCCATGAGCAAAAGAAATGACTGCTGTTTTAAGTCTCTACATTTTGGGGTGGGTTGTTATATGGCAAGAATAATTGGAACAAAAATCAAAAGAGAGTAAGAGAGTATGTCACTGGCAGATTATGGGGAAAGATATGTGATATGGTTTGACTGTGTCCCCATTGAAATCTCATCTTTAATATAGCTCCCATAATTCCCATAATTCCCATGTGTTGTGGGAAGGATCCAGTGGGAGATAATTGAATCACTGGGCTTGTTTCCCCCATACTGTTCTTGTGGTAGTAGATAAGTTTCATGAGATCTGATAATTTTATAAGGAGTTTTCCCCTTTGGTTGGCTCTCGTTCTCTCTTTGCCTGCTGCCACCCATGTAAGATGTGTCTTTGTTCTTTCCCCACCTTCTGCCATGATTGTGAGGCCTCCCCAGCCACGTGGAACTGTGAGTCCATTAAACCTCTTTTCTTTCTAAATTATCCAGTCTTGGGTATGTCTTTATCAGCAGCGTGAAAATGGACTAATACAATATGTTTGGAATCAACCTTCTCTCCCCTCTGTTTCACCCCTAACTACTGATCTACTGATCACATCTGATTTAATGAAGCAATTCTCAAACTTGGCTTCACCTTTGCATTTTTTTTTGTTTCTTTTTTTTTTTTATGTTGAGATGGAGTCTTGCTCTGTCACTCAGGCTGGAGTGCAGTGGCTCAATATTGGCTCACTGCAATCTCTGCCTCCCGAGTTCCAGTGATTCTCCTGTCTCAGCCTCCCGAGTAGCTGGGATTACAGGTGCCCACCACCACACCCAGCTAATTTTAGTAGAGACGGGGTTTCACCTGTTGGCCAGGCTGGTCTTGAACTCCTGAGCTCAGGTGATCTGCCCATGTTGGCCTCTCAAAGTGCTGGGATTACAGGTGTGAGCCACTGTGTCCGGCACCTTTGCAGTCTTCAAAATTATCAAGGACCCTATGGTAGGCCGAATAATGGTGGATCCATAAGCTGAGAGGCTGGAGCCATAAAGCACAAAGAATTTTTTCAAAGCCTTGAAACTTAATGCAGTTGGGGAGAGATAACTTGTGAGATTTGACTTTGGACAATTTCCCCATTTCCCTTTCCCAATGTCTGTGACTAATCATATCCATGTACCCTTTAAAACCTTTTTTTAAGGACTTTGGGGTGAGTCACGTTACTTATTTAGGCATTAGTTTCTTCCCTTCTTAAAGGGGGACTTTGACCTACTCTCGAAGCTGCTTTTCTGCTTCCCACCTCCTAGTTTGCTCTCTTCATTTTCTTTTCCCCATGTTTCTCCTTTTTTTTTTTTCAAACTTAACAACGAAAATTGTAAATGCCACAAAATCTCCACCTCTCTACTAGATTGAATCCACTTGGGGTAGATAAACTGCAGGAATCGCTTTTTCTGGCTCTGTGAATTTGACAAGTGTGTTTGCACTCTGCCTGGTGTTTTGTCGGCATTTTCTCACTTCTTGATGCCAGGCTTCTCGCTAACAATTCAGGATTCCAAGGACAGCCGCTGGTGGTCCTCCTCATTCTTTTATTTTTTTTCAAACCTCCAAATTGAAATATTTATGAATGTTTCTTTTCTTACCAAGTTCAACTTAAACGAGTTATAGTCCGCACCCCTCTAGCCCAGAACCTGTGACTGTTTTTTTGAGAAAAATGTTCTTTTATTTTACAATATGCATTTTTAAAAATACTGGAATACCGGAAGAATATATACATAGACATATATATATATTTGTTCCTATTTAAAAATAATAATAATAAAAATAAAATAAATTAAATAATAAAAATAAAAATAAAAGAGGGCTAGCTTGTACACAATATATATAAATAACATTTATTTAAAATATTTAATAATTTAGGCAGAGTGCAGTGGCTCATATATATATATATTCCTCAACAGTGGCCATCTTGGGATGAGAATAGAAATTTTAGGTAGGGAAATTTTTATGTTAAATATTTTTATAATTTTTATTTTACTTTATTTATTTTACTGTATTTACTTTACTTTCAGTTCTGGGATATATGTGCAGAACGTGCAGGTTTGTTACACAGGTATACATGTGTCATGGTGGTTTGCTGCACCTATCAACCCGTCCTCTAGGTTTTAAGCCCCACACGCATTAGGTATTTGTCCTAATGCTCTCCCTCCGCTTTCCCCTAACACCCTGACAGGCCCTGGTGTGTGATGTTCCCCTCCCTGTGTCCATGTGTTCTGATTGTTCAACTCCCACTTATGAGTGAGAACATGTGCTGTTTGGTTTTCTGTTTCTGTGTTAGTTTGCTGAGGATGATGGTTTCCAGCTTCATCCATGTCCCTGTAAAGGACATGAACTCATTCTTTTTTAATGGCTGCATAGTATTCCATGGTGTATATGTGCTGATTTTAATAGATGCATGCAGATGGGTAAACACAGAGCTTAAGGACTGTGTGCTAGATTTGCACACTGGGAGGCAGGCAGCTGATACACCAACAGGGGACAGTTCAGGTGCATACTTTTTTTTTTTTTTTGAGACAGAGTCTTGTTCTGTTGCCCAGGCTGGAGTGCAATGGCGCAATCTCTGCTCACTGCAACCACCACCTCCTGGGTTCAAGCAATTCTCCTGCCTCAGTCTCCCAGGAAGCTGGGACTACAGGCGACTGCCACCGCGCCCAGCTAATTTTTGTATTTTTCTAAAGATGGAGTTTCCCCGTGTTGGCCAGGCTAGTCTCAACCTCCTGACCTCAAGTGGTCTGCCTGCCTTGGCCTCTCAAAGTGCTGGGATTATGGTGTCAGCCACTGCACTAGGCCTAAATTATTAAGTATTTAAAATAAATGTTATTTATGTATATTGTGTACAAGCTAGCCCTCTTTTATTTATGATATCTAGGTACAAAACATTTATTAATAAGTGTCTGGCTAATGCACACATTCTTGAGAACTTGGGGACCTTCAGCGCAATGCTAATTAAACTGGACCTGTACTTTTTTGTATTAGAAATTTAACCCATTTTTATTTATTATCATAATATAATTACTTTTAATTATATTATTTCATGCATTCTGTCATTCATATTTCATTATTTTGCCTTATAGACCATGCTTTCTTTGATTTTCCCTTGTGAGTCAATAAAGGGTAGCCAATATTTAATTTTAATAAATGTTAGTTTTACATTTTTCAAAAATATCTTTGCTTGGGCAATATCTATAACTATTAAATACAAAATTAATATGAAAACTTTTGACTTTTCTTTTTGAAATGGGGAATTCAAGATGTGTCTTAACTCTTTTTGTTCAACTTTTCTTGGCCATGCAAGTAGAATCTGCAGCATACATTGTAGGATGCATGTTTTTATTAATATTGACATTTTTTACAATAACTCATCTCAGGAATCTCTGTTGACTTGGGCATTCCTTTAATTACCAGTTTATGCCAATTATTTAGACAATCTCTGGTTAATAGTGTCCATGCTTGATTTTATAATTTCTCTGATCTTGAGCACTTATTTTTGGTGCATCTGCTAGGCTTTGATGAAAACTTTGGTTAAGATTTTCAGGAGTGCCTCAGTCATAGGATTTTCTGTGGCATAACCTATCTCAGACTATCTTTCCTTCACCTTGGCTCATGAACAGCATCTGGGTTAGGCAAAGAATTCTTGGGTCACAGATGTCTCCCTTAAACACTACAGACATTACTTCATTTTCTTCTGTGTTTGCAGTGATAGAATAGAATCTAGGGTTAGCTGAATTTTAGTTCTTCTGTCACAACTTGTCATTATAGTTTAATTTTTCTTAGCTTAGTGGCAGTTTCTCCAGCCTTGATATTGAAAATGTCACTAAAATATATCTACTGTGTCTGTCTCTTTTTATAAATTTACTTAAAACAGTGAGTCTAGGCGGGGTGCAGTGGCTCATGCCTATAATCTCAGCACTTTGGGAGGCCGAGGCAGGTGGATCACCTGAGGTCAAGAGTTCGAGACCAGCCTGGCCAACATGGTGAAACCCCATCTTTACTAAAAATACAAAATTAGCCAGGGGTGGTGGCAGGCGCCTGTAATCCCAGCTACTTGGGAGGCTGAGGCAGGAGAATCACTTGAACCCTGGAAGCGGAGTTTGCGGTGAGCCAAGATCACTCCACTGCACTCCAGCCTGGGCAACAAGAGCAAAACTCCGTCTCAACAAAAGAAAACAAAAAAACAAAACAAAACAAAAAAACATTGAGTATTTTTGATTTGCACACTCATGTGCTTTTTTTTTTCCAGCCCAGGAAAATTGTCTTCTATTAAACTATTGTTTTTTTCTTTTCCTCCACTTATTCTGGTTTCTTCTTTAGAAATATTGCTAATCTAGAGATTAGGTATACTGGACTGTTAGCCTGGACTTGGGAGACAAAACAATATGTCCATTATACAGAGCAAAGGAGCTATGTTTTTTTAAATGGGGATACATTATAGGTAGCTAATACGGTTTGGATTTGTATCCCCACCCATATTTCATGTCGAATTGTAATCCCCAATGTTGGAGGTGGGGCCTGGTGGGAGGTAAGTGGATCATGGGGGTGAATTTCCCCCTTGCTGTTCTTGTGATAGTGAGTGAGCTCTCATGAGATCTGGTTGTTTAAAAGTGTGTGGCACTGCCACCCCCACTTTCTTCCTCCTGCTCAGGCCACGTAAGATGTGCCTGCTTCCCCTTCGCCATTCGTCATGATTGAAAGTTTCCTGAGGCCTCCTCAGCCATGCTTCCGGGGTACAGCCTGCGAAACTGTGAGCCAATTAAACTTCTTTTCTTTATAAATTTCCCAGTTTGTTTACAGTTTTCTTTTTTTTTTTTTTTGAGACAGAGTCTCGCTCTGTCACCCAGGCTAGAGTGCAGTGGTGCCATCTCAGCTCACTGCAAGCTCCACCTCCCTGGTTCGTGCCATTCTCCTGCCTCAGTCTCCTGAGTAGCTGGGACGACAGGTGCCCGTCACCACACCTGGCTAATTTTTTGTATGTTTAGTAGAGACGGGGTTTCACCACGTTAGCCAGGATGGTCTCGATCTCCTGACCTCGTAATCCGCCCGCCTCGGCCTCCCAAAGTGCTGGGATTACAAGTGTAAGCCAAGGTGCCCGGCCTGTTTACAGTTTCTTTAAGGAAATTCCCATTTCCTTAGCAGGACTCTTCCATTTAAAGACAAGATTGCAGGACTTTCCTTTGTACACATCTGGCTGCATCTCTTGGCTCTGAAACACATCTTTCTCATTGGTCCAATAAATAGTAGAAACAATCTGTAATCATCAGGTTTATCATGTAGATATATGACTGCCATTTGTTAATGGTGAGATTTATTGCAATAAAATTTATCTGCTCCAGTGTCCTTTTTAACAAGGCAAAGGAGATAGCACAACTCTAGTTTTATGTGTTTTGCGTGACTTAAGTCAGGACTTCGACTCAACTGCGGTTGAGCACTGGTATCTGTGCTCAGCTCACAAAAAAGCAGAATTTCTTCTACTTTCAGCAAAGTGCTTACTGGTAAAATTGACCGTCTGAAAGAGTAAAGACAGTTCACTGAGGGGAGATGACTGGGAAAGCCATAGATCAGGGGTTTTCAAGGTTCTTTTCAGTTGTACTTTCTCCAGCTGAAATCTTCCCTGGACACTTAAAAAGCTGATACGTTCTAGTTAAAGAAGGCATCGTACCATTCAACTAACTCTCCAATATGTGTACCTCTGCCCCATCAAGTTAACCCTGGGGAGGGTTCCAAGAAGCCCCAGGATTTGGCCAATCACAGTTTGAAAGCCAGTGCTGATTATAAAAGGCCTCGGGGTGGGGCCTGGCTTACTCTTTGCTCAGTAGCTACTCATCAGGCTTGAGCCTCCTAATTCCTTGCACTGATACCAACTCCCTCTTCAGAACCATCACAGCATTTTAATATGTTTCTCCTTGGAACTCTTATTACTCCTTACCTTTTTCGTCTTATAATTTATAATTCAGATATATGACTTATCTTCTTATATCTGCATATTAGTCTACAGTGTACTCAGAGAATTTATTAGTTCATCAAATATCCAGTTAGCGAGCATCCCCATTTCCCAGATTATTTCTTTTACTTTTTATTTTTTTTTTGGGGACAAAGTTTTGCTCTGGTTGCCCAGGCTGGAGTGCAGTGGCACGATTTTGACTCACCGCAACCTCTGCCTCCCAGGTTCAAGCGATCCTCCTGCCTCAGCCTCCTGAGTAACTTAGATTACAGGCTTGCACCACCACGCACGGCTAATTTTTTGTATTTTTAGTAAAGACGGGGTTTCTCCATGTTGGCCAGGCTAGTCTTGAACCCCTGACCTCAGATGACATGCCTACCTCGACCTCCCAAAGTGTTGGGATTACAGATGTGAGCCACCACGCCTGGCCTTTCCCAGATTATTTCTTCAGTGTGTGTGTTTGTGTGTGTGTGTATGTGTGTATGTGTGTGTGTGCATGTGTTTTAGTTTGTTTGAATCAAGATATCCGTGCATTACAAAAATCAAAGTCCACACATAACATTTGGTATTTTTTCTACAATTTCTCCACCTTCTTTTTGTTGTTCTTGTAACTTATTTGTTGAAGAAAATGGATCCTGCATGCTCTATAGTCTTTCATATTGTGGCTTTGCAGTTTGCATCATTTCAGACAACACACTTAAACAGGATTCATAAGGGTTTTCAACGGAGATACACATTTGTTTCTTTACTGTGTACCATACGGGCTCCTTGTGTGCTAGCACTGGGGCCCTGCATGCGTGAGTCCCCTCTATTCTAGCCAGGCCAGCCTGCATGTTGTCCTGGTACAGCAACATCTCCTTAACATAATCATAGGCTTTTCAGGCACAAAGGACCTAGAGTCAGTCACCTTCTCACATCTATAACTCCCAGCCACGTGGTGTCTTCTCTCTTTCACCACCTGTCATCCATATTCATTACTTCCTTTAAGATCATACTCAGGCCAGGCTTGGTGGCTTACGCCTGTAATCCCAGCAGTTTGGGAGGCCGAGGTGGGTGGATCACGTGAGGTCAGGGGTTTGAGACCAGCCTGACTAACATGGTGAAACCCCGTCTCTACTAAAAATACAAAAATTAGCTAAGCATGGTGGCTGATGCCTGTAATCCCAGCTACTTGGGAGGCTGAGGCAGGAGAATTGCTTGGACCTGGGAGGTGGAGGTTTTAGTGAGCCGAGATCGCACCATTGCACTCCAGCCTGGGCAACAAGAGCAAAAATGTGTCTCAAAAAAAAAAAAAAAAAAAAGATCATACTCAAATTCTTCTGGGGGCTCAATGCAAGAGAGAGGGAAGAAAGTACAAATGTGGGAATTAGACTCTTGAGTTGGCCGTTTCCCTGGATCTCCTGATCTTGGGCAGACGATTGAACTTCTCTGAGCCTCAGTTTTTAAAATCCGTATAATGGGGATGTTGCAAGGATTAAACAACAAGAGAAAATACAGTAGAATAAAACATTCTTGCAGTTGCTTAGACCCAAAACATTATTTTTTCCTTCTCTCTCACACCCCATATTAGAAAAAAGACCCCGAGGGAAAGCTCAGTGCTACATGATTTCATCCAACCTCCTCTTTGGGCCTTTTATAAATACCGCAGATCCTTAAATAACATGAATAGTAACATCTATTCATCGCGTACTCTGTATCACGCAGTGTATTAAAAGCCTTCTGTCTAATAACTCATTTAAACCTTTAAGAATCCTACAAGGTCGGTATTATTATCGCCAGTCCCAGTTTTACAGATGAGGAAACGGAGGCCCAGAAAAATTAAGTAATGTACCCAAGGTTACCCGGGCAGTAAATGATGGTGTCTGGATTGGGACCTATGCTGTCACACACCAGGGACTTTTTTTTTTTTTTTTGAGACAGGGTCTCACTCTGTCGCCCAGGCTGGAGTGCAGTGGCACAATCACGGTTCACTGCCAGCTTCAACCTCCCTGGGCTCAGGCAATCCTCCCACCTCAGCCTCCTGAGTGGCTGGGACTACAGGTGTGTGCCACCGCACCTGGCTAATTTTTTTTTTTTTTTTGTAGAGATGGGGTTTCACCATGTTGCCCAGGCTGCTCTCAAACTCCTGGGCTCAAGTGATTCACCTGCCTTGGGCTCCAAAAGTGCTGGGATTATAAGACTGAGCCACTGCATTTGGCCTACAGGGACTTCTTAATCCTGCCCATACTACTTAATTCACTAGGAGCTATTAAAACAATATTGGATTCCACACCCCACCCCAGACCAACAGAATCAGCATCTCCAGATGATGAACCCAGGCTTGGAAACTTCTTAAAAGCTCCCAGGGGGTTCTTGTGCGTGGCCAGAGTCAAGAATGACCAATGTTGATGTGATGCAACTGAAAATGATAATGATTATGAAATGAAACAATAATCCAGGGCTGGGCGTGGTGGCTCACGCCTGTAATCCCAGCACTTTGGGAAGCCAAGGCGGGTGGATCACTTGAGGCCCGGAGTTCGAGACCAGCCTGGCCAACACGGTGAAACCCCATCTCTACTAAAAATACAAAAATTAGCCAAGCATGGTGGTGTGTGCCTGTAATCCCAGCTACAGGCAGAGGTTGCAGTGAGCCGAGATCCCACCACTGTACTCCAGCCTGGGTGACAGCGAGACTCCGTCTCAAAAAATAAAAAAAAAAATAAAATAATTTGGGATTATTGTTAATTGTGTCTTTCACCCTGTAGTCTCTACTCTTGAATATTCTTGAGTGTTACTTTTCCTTTCTGGAGTTGGGTTAAAGGGTATCTAAGGGCCATCTTAGATATATCATCCAATGTGTCTGTGGCTCAGGGCAGGTCACGGATTTCCTCAAGCCACCGGGGAGCCCGAAGCAAGCTTCAGTGGTGATACCTCTGGCCACCTCATCAGTGGCAGCAGGAAGACTCTTCAAAAGCCTATGCTGGGCCTGTCACATCTGAGTGAAATACATATGCGTGTCAGTTACCTTCCCATATTTCTCAGGCCACTTGAGGTGGAAAATGCGTAGGCTTTGAACCATCCGAGGAGAGCTTTCGCAGCTGTCAGCAGCTGAACACAGTCACGATCAGATTCATAGTGACCCTTAGATTGTGTCAGTCACTGTAGTTCCTCACCCGTCTGAGAGACTGACAGCCCTGTCTTGTCAGTTTGTCAAACTGAATGACAGTCTCTCCAGATTTGGTTATGCGTGGACAAGAGAAGTTGTCATGGAAACCTTGTGGATGCCGATGAGCCAGGGGCATCTTCACCATACTCAGATGGTGTGGATAAGGAGAACAGGGCAATTAGATGCTCTGCATCATTAATACAAGAAGGTTTACAAATTAAATCTTGTCAGCAACCTGAAGGCCACTCAATGACCCAAAAAATTTAAGCTCTGACATGCAAAGGCAGAATTCTGCAGCAGGAGTTACAGCTCCTATTTTCTCCTCCTTTCCTTCTTTTTCTTTTTCTTTCTTTCTTTTTTTTTTTTTTTGAGACAAAGTCTCACTCTGTCACCCAGGCTGCAGTGCAGTGGCATGATGTCAGCTCACTGCAACCTCTGCCTCCCAGGTTCAAGTGATTCTCCTGCCTCAGCCTCCCAAGTAGCTGGGATTACAAGCGCACGCCACCATGCCTGGCTAATTTTTTTGTATTTTTAGTAGAGACAGGGTTTTACCTTGTTGGCTAGGCTGGTCTTGGACTCCCAACCTCAGATAATGCGCCCACCTTGGCCTCCCAAAATGTCTCCTCCTTTCCTTCTTTCAGTTGATCACACTCACCTCAGTGAAACAGGGCCGACTGGATAAATTGCAAGCTCTCTGCTGTCTGGCATAATGTTTGCCGATTGTTGGTTGCATCAAGTAGAAAAAAAAAGAAAAGAGGTTGAATTTGGATGTCAGGGTTTAAGTTTTAACTCAGCCACCATTGGCTTATTTCATTGAGTTAAAAAATTGAAATAGAGGGCTGGGTGTGGTGGTTCACGCCTGTAATACCAGCACTTTGGGAGGCTGAGGCAGGTGAATCATCTGAGGTCAGGAGTTTGAGACCAGCCTGGCCAACATGGTGAAACCCCATCTCTACTAAAAATACAAAAATTAGCCAGGTGTGGTGGCGGGCACGTGTAATCCCAGGTACTTGGGAGGCTGAGGCAGGAGAATTGCCTGAACTGGGAGGCGGAGGTTGCTGTGAGCCAAGATCGCACTACTGCACTCAAGCCTGGGCAACAGAGCAAGACTCCATTTCAAAAAAAAGAAAAAGAGAAAGAAATAGAATAAAAAGAAATATATCAAAATGCATTAAACAGAGTGGAGTTAAGTTTTGCTTGTGCAACATTTATTTTAGTTATGTAAATGTATAAATCATTGGGTGTACTGGATTATGCTGTCTGTGTGTGTGTGTGTGTGTGTGTGTGTGTGTGTTTTAGATGGAGTCCCGCTCTGTCACCCAGGCTGGCATGCAATGGCGCCATCTCGGCTCAGTGCAACCTCCGCCTCCCTGGTTCAAGCGATTCTCCTGCCTCAGCCTCCTGAATAGTTGGGATTACAGGCACTGGCCACCATGCCCAAGTAATTTTTGTATTTTTAGTAGAGACAGGGGTCTATGTTGGCCAGGCTTGTCTCAAACTCCCGACCCCAAGTGATCTGCCCGCCTTGGCCTCCCAAAGTGCTAGGATTACAAGCATGAGCCACCACACCTTGCCTCGAGTGTGTTTTTATTGTGACTTACTACTAGGAATATTGGAAAACCACTATCCCAAGAAATCCAGGGGTGGAGGAAGGAATTCTTCCAGTCTTTTTAGATGGGTGCATAGAAGTAGCCACAATTATGAGATTTACCATGTGCCAGGCACTATTCTAAGCACTTGAGAAGTACTAGGTCATTTTATCCTCATGACAACCCTATGAAGTAGATACCGTATTACCAAATCCATGCGACAGATGAAGAAATGGAGACATGGTTGATTATGATTTGTGGTAACAGCCTAAGCAACATAGTGAGATGCCCCTGTCTCTAAAAAAATTTAAAAAGCCAGGCAGGGTGGTGTGCACCTGTAGTCCCAGCTACTCAGAAGGCTGAGATAGTAGGATCTCTTGAGCCTAGGAGTTGGAGGCTGCAGTGAGCTGTGATCACACCACTGCACTCCAGCCTAGGTAAGAGAGCCAGTCTAGGCACTCAGTCTAGGTGACAGAGCCAGACTCCTTCTCTTAAAAAAAATAATGTGGTAGCAGAACAATGACTTCCAAAGACGCCTATGTCCTAATGCCTCGAACCTGTGAGTGTTACCTTCAGTGGAAAAGAGGCTTCACAGATGTGATTAGCTCTGGATTGTACATATGGGCCCAGTGTGAACATAAGGGTCCTTCAGTGGTGGAAGAGGGAGGCAGAAAGTCTGAGTCAGATGGAGATGCAAAGCTGCTGTACCACTGACTTTGAAGTTGGAGGGAGGGGAATCGAGCAGTCTCTTTTTGCTAAAGGCCTCTACCTCCCTCCATTTTGACCTTGGTCCTCCCTCTCTCCTTCAAGAGAAAGCGGTACAGCAGCTTCACATCTCCATCTGACTCAGACTTTCTGCCTCCCTTTTCCATCATTGAAGGACCCTGATGTTCACACTGGGCCCATCTGTACAATCGAAAGCTAATCACATTCGTGAAGCCTCTTTTCCACTGAAGGTAACACTTACAGGTTCGAGGCATTAGGACATGGGCATCTTTGGAAGTCATTGTTCTGCTACCACATTCTTTTTTTTAAGAGAAGGAGTCTGGCTCTGTCACCTAGACTGAGTGCCTAGACTGGCTCTCTTACCTAGGCTGGAGTGCAGTGGTGTGATCACAGCTCACTGCAGCCTCCAACTCCTAGGCTCAAGAGATCCTACTATCTCAGCCTTCTGAGTAGCTGGGACTAGAGTTGCATCTCCTTCATCTTCTTTCGGTCATGGATTCAAGTCCACCTCTTCCAACAGGTCTTCCTTGATGGAGCCTACTCCAGTAATAGTATATTGTTGTAGGCTTGCCAACGTACATTTCTTTTTAAAATTTATTTTTATTTTATTATTATTATTTTTCAGATAGGATCTTGCTATATTTCCCAGCCTGTTCTTGAATTCCTGGGCTTAAGTGATCCTCCTGCTCCAGTCTCCTGAGTAGCTGGGACTACAGGTGTGCACCACCACACCCAGCTAAAATTTTTAATGTTTTTGTAGAGATAGGATCTTGCTATGTTGCCCAGCCTGGTCTTGAACTCCTGGGCTTAAGCAATCCTCCTGCCTCAGCCTCCTGAGTAGCTGGGATTACAGGCATGTGCCACCACACCCAGTTACATTTTTAAATTTTTTGTAGAGATAGGGTCTTGCCATATTGCTCAGCCTGGTCTTAAACTCCTAGGCTCAAGCAATCCTCCTGCCTCAGCCTCCTGAGTAGCTGGGACTACAGGTGCTTACCACCACATCCAACTCCCAACTTTTACCTTCATTAGCAGAATATGAGCATGTCCATTTGACCACACTCTGAATAACACAGTGTATTACTATTTGAAAAAACATGTTTTGGCACCTTTTAAGGCAGAGCTGATGCACATCTGCTGAAATAAATCAGTGTTCTTGCCTTGATCGATTTAATTAAGTCTACAGGTCTATTTCTGAACATAATGTACGACCTTATCCCAGGAAAATTTTGTGTGTTTATGAGCTAAGAATCATTGATAAATGATGAGCCTTCTTTTTCCTCTTCTTCTTCTTTTTAAAATTCTTTTTCAGATGGAGTCTCATTCTGTCACCCAGGTTGTAGTGTAGTGGCTTGATCATAGATAGCTCACTATGGCCTCAGCCTCCTGGGCTCAAGAGATCCTCGTCTCAGCCTCCCGAATAGCTCGGACTACAGATGCATGCCACCATGGTAGGCTAATTTTTTTAATTTCTAATTTTTGTAGAGATAGGGTCTCATCTTGTTGCCCAGTCTTGTCTTGAACTCCTGGCTTCATGTGATCCTGCCTTCTCAGCCTCCCAAAATGCTGGGATTATAGGCATGAACCATTGTACTTGGCTGTCCTGTTCTTCTTTGTCATGGTTATATCTACTGAATTTCAACCAGCATCCTCCCCAACGCATGTGAGCCAGATGTCATGAGAACAGAAATATAGAGAAATGGAAAGGAATAATTTATTGTGATATGAAGACATAAGTTTCTGTGAAACATAAAGGCATATGAACTGTTTACATTTTGTTACATATTCCAGGTAGCTAAAATTTTGTAAAAATTAAGCATTCTGTGGTTCCATGGTTATAGACGTCATCCTTGGGGTATTTTATAAATCCTGAAGTATAGAATCATGGCTGCGTAACTCATGGTGTGGACATCTATGTGGCAAATCTATGTTTGCATTCAATTATAAGATGATTGCGTAAGGTCAAACAGTGACCCTGCAGCAGAGAGTCAGCTCTCCAAGCTCTGTTCTTTAAAATTATACAGTGCCAGGAATTAGAAGCACTCCATTCTCTCCCTTAGGAAAAGAAGAGAACCTCTCTTCTGGGCTTCCATTTCCTTGCCTGTAAAAATCAAGGGGTTGAATGACATGGCCTCTAAAGTCCCCGATTCCAAAATTTCATGTTGCTGTGATTCTGATTACAGTCCTGATCCAGTCATGCATGCAAAGTGCTGACTATTTAAGTAATTGCTTGCAGGTTGGACATTTCATCACTGTCAAGGGCCCAGAATCACATGGAAGGGCAGCGCTTCCTTCTCCCTGGTTACATGCTGAATGTAATTACACTTTAAATGACTTAATAAAGGAGGTGGGTGCCTGCCTTCGCCAGGGCTTGTCCTTGGGCTGTGCATGCAGCGCATATAAAGGCTGCTTATGTATCTCATCCAAGGAAGCTCAGACCTTGCTTGGCCATGACCTTGTGCCAGGCATCTGGTCTACCTGGTCTGAACCAGCACCATTTGTGCTCCAGATTGGTCTCACTAATGTCTCCTTACGTTGCCTCAGGAAGCGTTTACCCCAAGATTCTAAAGAGGCAACGAGAAGGGCCATTTTGTGAAGAACTGTGAGATATAAACCCTGATATGATCTGGCTGTGTCCCCACCCAAGTCTTATCTTTTTTTCTTTTAAGATAGTCTCACTCTGTTGCCCAGGTTGGAGTGCAGTGGCATGATCTTGGCTGACTGCAACCTCTTCCTCCTGGGTTCAAGTGATTCTCCTGCTTCAGCCTCCCAAGTAGCTGGGATTACAGGCACCCGCCACCATGCCCAGCTAATTTTTGTATTTTTAGTAGAGATGGGGCTTCACGATGTTGGCCAGGCTGGTCTCGAACTCCTGACCTCAAGTGATCCAACCTCCTTGGCTTCTCAAAGTGCTGGGATTACAGGTGTGAGCTACCTGCCCAGCCCCAAATCTTATCTTGAATTGTGTAGCTCCCATAATTCCCATGTATTGTGGGAAGGACCCGGTGGGAGGTAATTGAGTCATGGGGATGGGTCTTTTCCATGCTGTTCTTGTGAAAGTGAATAAGTCTCACGAGATCTGATGGTTTTATAAATGGGAGTTCCCCTGCACAAGCCCTCTTGCCTGCTGCCATGTATGGTGTATCTTTGCTCCTTCTTTGCCTTCCACCATAATTGTGAGGCCTCCCCAGCCACGTGGAACTGTGACTCCATCAAACATCTTTTTGTTTATAAATTACCCAGTCTTGGATATGTCTTTATCAGCAGCATGAGAACAGTCTAATATAAACCCCCTCCCACCTATATACACACTCACTCACTCGCTCAAAGTTTTTTGTTTTTTTTTTTTAAAGCGAGACATGAGAGTTGCAGGTTTAGTGTCAGATACACTTTGGTTCAAATTTTGTTTTCAACATTTTCTTTTTTTTTCTTGGCGGGGACAAGGTCTCGCTCCGTTGCCCGGGTTGGAGTGTGATGGTGCAGTCACTGCTCACTGCAGCCTCTGCCTCCTGGGATCAAGCAACCCTCCCACTTCAGTCTCCCAAGTAGCTGGGACTACAGGCATGTGCCACCATGCCTGGCTAATTTTTGTATCTATCTATCTATCTATCTATCTACATACATATTTTTTTTTTTTTTTGGTAGAGGCTGGGTTTCACCATGTTGCTCAGGCTCGTCTTGAACTCCTGGGCTCAAGTAATCCTCCCACCTTGGCCTCCCAAAGTGCTGAGATTACAGGCATGAGCCACCAAGCCTGGCCACATGTACTATTTCTTTAATGACAAAAAAGATAGGGGCTTATGGAGATGGTTATGTAAAGCAGGAGACAACACAGCAAGCTTCCAGATGGAGGTCTGAGCTTCCTAAGCCTTCAGCCCTCATGGACATGTGCAGCTGCTGCTGATTTCATCTGTGTGGCATGAAGACTCTTCGAGGCACAAGAAACTTGCTTCTGCCAGAGGGGCTTAGAGAGTTCTTAGTATCATTCCCTCTCTGCTCCGCTCAAATTTTGGTGACTCTGGCCAAATGCCTGCCTGCTCAGCTGGTACAAAAAAAAAAAAAAAAGGATACAAAGCAATGACCGCTCATGCATATTCCTGAATAATTCCATGAGATTGGCTGACTTGAAGGTCAACTTCTCTGACCCAGCATGCCTCAGTTGGTCCACTCCTATCCTCCACTGTCTATAGTGTCTACTGGCATCCTGGCAGAACCACTCATCTTAGTCTTTTGAGTTGTTATAACAAAAGACCTTAAGTATTTACTATTTCTATTTACTTACACTAGGTCATTTCTAACCATATTTATTGCTCATGGTTCTGGAGGCTGGAAAGTCCAAGGTCAAGGTGCCAGCAGATTTGGTGTCTGGTGAAGGCCTGTTCCTCACAGATGCTACTTTCTATGTGTCCTCACATGGTGAAAGGGGTGGAAGGGGCAAGCAGGCTCCCTCTGGTACTTTTATAAGGGCACTGATCCCATTCCTGAGGGTGGAGCCCCCATGACCTAATTGCCTCCTAAAGTTCCCACCTCCTAACGCCATCACCTTGGAGTTAGGTTACAACACATTAATTTGGTGGGACATGAACATTCAGACCATGGCACCATTCATTAGACTACTACTCAGCAAGAAAGAGGAAGGAAGTGTTGGAAGTTTCTGCACCAACACAGATAAATCTCAAGATAATCATGCTAAGTGAAAGAAGCCATACAAAAAGGAATACACATTGTATAATTCTGCTTATGTGAAGCTTAGAAGATGCAAAACTAACTGGTAGGGACAGAAAGCACATCCATGGTTTCCCGGGTAAAGAAGGGAATATGAGGGAGGAATTAACATAGAAGCACTAAGAAGCTTTTGAGGTCATGGACGTGTCCTCCCTTCCCCTCCTCTCTCCTCCCCTCCCCTCTCCTTCCTCCCTCTCTTCCTTGCTTCCTCCCCCTCCCCTCCCTCCCTCCCTCTCTTCCTTCCTTCCTTCCTCCCTTCCCCTCCCTAGCCTAGGTCTTATGGAAATAATGATTCAAATAGAACTCCTGGCCAGGCACAGTGGCTCATGCGTGTAATCCCAGCACTCTGGGAGGCTGAGGTGGGCAGATCACCTGAGGTCAGGAGTTCAAGACCAGCCTGGCCAACATAGTAAAAACCTGTCTCTACTAAAAAATACAAAAATTAGTCAGGTGTGGTGACAGGTGCCTGTGGTCCCAACTACTCAGGAGGCTGAGGCATGAGAATCACTTGAACCCAGGAGGTGGAGGTTGCAGTGAACTGATATCATGCCACTGCACTCCAGCTTGGGTGATAGAGTGAGACTCCATCTCAAAAAAAAAAAGTTATAGAAAATAAAAATGCCTGGCAAGCAGTAGATCTCTGGCCAATGTCAGCTTTTTCTACCATCAATGAGAATCTCAGCCCTAGGATATTTGGATCAGACACCCCCCTGTTTTCCAAGAGACCTGCTAATCCCTAAACCAAAGCATTTCAGGGCAGCTTCCAAATGTCCTTGTGGCAGGGTGGTTATTTTTCTTCCCTAACTAGTAGCAGGTGTTTGGCTGTGTCCATTAAAAGCCATTTTGTGTTCCCCTGACAAACGAGTTTTTTATTTAGTGGCATAGGATCAATAATGTATCTCATGCGAACTATTAAAATGGAACATGTCTGCTGGGCTGACAATTGTATTATCAATATGTACTGAGCAATAAATTATGTGAAACAAAAATGGAGCAACAGGCCTTATAAAAGGCTTATCTGGGGGCACGGCTGGCTTTGTTACAGCCGCAGCCGTGGCTTCCCGTGGCTGCACTTGGAAAAAGCACTCGACGCTGCCCGGGCAGCTTTCCATCTCAAGTGGGAACGCGGCTGCCGGCTGTCTCCGCTCTTCAAAGTTAGTGGAGGCTCATTTGGAATAAACTCTTCTCTTCTGCTTCCCAGTCAGGCCCTGGTGGAATACAGAGTCTGTCCTGATCCCTGCCCTTTGACAAGGGTGAACATCCCCTTGTTCCATGCTCAGTGCCACAGGGGAGGACATTTCAGATGCCCTAGTCCCGTCCACATCAGGAGTGATCACCTAGTGTCAACTCCCACCTTTGCTCCTCACCTCCCATCAGTCTGGCATTTACCTGGCTTCTAACTTACAGGTTTTGTCTTCTATTTGCGGCCTCTGACAATTGATATAACTTCTCTAGCATTCTCCTTTGGATCCAGTCACACTCCCTGTCTGTCAATTACTGATCTCTTTGGGTAATCACTTTACTCCCCACCCATAATCTGCCTTCCCCTCTGATGGGAGTTGAGAAGTCTCAGTTGCACTAATAACTCTTTTCAGGATTTCTATTGTTTTTTTTTTTTGAGACAGAGTTTTGCTTTGTTGCCCAGGCAGTGGCACGATCTTGGCTCACTGCAACCCCTGCCTCCTGGGTTTAAGTGATTCTTGTGCCTCAGCCTCGCTTCCTGAGTAGCTGGGACTACAAGCGTACGCCACCATACCCGGTTAATTTCTGTATTTTTAGTAGAGACGGGGTTTCACCATTTTGGCCAGGCTGGTCTTGAACTCCTGACCTCAGGTGATCCACCTGCCTAGGCCTCCCAGAGTGTTGGGATTACAGGCGTGGGCCACTGTGCCTGGCCAGGATTTCTATTTCAATCATTATTTTCATAAAACCTAGCCCTTAGGGACCATTCCTCCTGAGTGCTGCATTGCAAGGCATGTTGGGAACTTAGCTTCTTAGGAGGAAATGAAGAGGAAGAAGCTTGGAAATCGGGCAGGGTATGGACTGGGAATCTGGGAACCTGACTTGGCTGTGGGGCTGACCCCAAAGGAACTGGTCAGAAGTTGAATGCACAATACCAATAGGACTTGGTACACTTGGGTTGATATGGGACAGGGAGGAACAGTTGTGAAGTAGAATGTTATAGCCCCAGCCCCATTAATGACTGTTCGTCATAGACATTCTCTTTTAGTGGGAGGAACTGGATGTCACCCAGGAACCCAAAGGCCTTCTTTGAGTCCAGATGCAGTAGTCTCACCATCCAGGCAGCCACTTCCCATCTGAGTTGGCAGTCAGATGGAAATCTGTTGCTATATTTGGCCTAAAGAAATGCCTTTCAATCAGGACTGTGTGTGTATTGGAAGCAGTGGCCAGGTTCATAAGAATATCTGAGAGGGAAGAAACAGTTGAAAGGCACATTAAATATTACAATATAATTTTATAGTTGGTAACGCAAAATATCTATTACTTTCTTAAAAGAAACTATGGGTAGTTAAATTCGACCAAAACGTCTTGGATAGGGATACGGAAGGGGCAGAGATTCTCAAGGAAGTGGGAGGAGCTCCCTCCAGGAACTGTATCAGAATATTAGGGGAAATATCAAATGTGTGATTTTCATGATTACTGAGAAAGAGGTGGATTTATCCAAAGAGAGCGAATGGACCCGTTACAGTCAATATTTCTTGCTTCCTTTAGAACACAAGCCCCTGAACTTTCACCTGGAACATGGCGGCTCAGAATAAAGGTTACTTTTCCCAGCTTCCCTTGCAACTGGGTCTGACCATGTGACTAGGTTCTGGCCAATGGGATGCGAGCACAAGTGTTGCATGACAGGTTATAGGAACTTGCTGTAACAGAAGCTGGCATTAGACCTTGACTCCTTTTCTTTACCTCCTTCTCCATCTTTCTGCTTGGCATGCAGGTGCTGCTCTCTATGACCTTGAGGATGAGGGTCGTGCCCTAGAGATGGCTGAGGGTTGAACTATTAGGTTGGTGCAAAAGTAACTGAAGTTTTTTTGCTGTTACTTTTAATGGCAAAAACAGCAATTACTTTTGCACCAATTTAATAAAAGGATCCAAGATCCTTGGGGACTTTGTGAAGCAGGGCTCATAAAAATCTGCCCAGCGCTTTCTCCCACTGGACAAATTTTACATGAGAAATCAACTTCCATTGTGTTAAAGGCACTATGATTTTGGATTTTGCTATGGCTGAAGATTGCCACCACCAAGTCTTTCCTTCTCTATATACAGATGGTGCTCCTTACAGCAAGAGCTAGAGTGTAATTATCCTCCTCTTGAATCTGGGCTGGCTTTAAGTGGTTTGTTGGACCAATAGAATGTGGCAAAAGCAATGTTTTGGAATTTCTGTGGCTAGGTCAAATGGTGTGGCTTCGGCCTGGGCCTCTTGGAATGTTTATTTTGGAACATTGCCTCTCAGAACCTAGCTGCGAGGCTGGGATAAGCCCAAGCTAATGGAGAGGTCACATATAGGTACCCTGGTCCACAGTCCAGGCTGAGCTCCCAATCAATAGCCACATGAACAGATCACCTTAGATACGATGTTCAGGACAGCTTATGGATGACGGCACTCCCAGCTGATGTTCGACTGCAATTACATAGACACTCTGAGAGAGACACAACCAGCTCTGCTCCCAGTCAATCCTCAGAACCATGACATAAACTAAAGAGTTGCTGTTAGAAGCCCCTAAGTTTTGGGATGGTTTGTTACACAGCAATAGATAACCACATCAACCAATGTGATCACAGAAGATATAATTTAGATTAAAAGCAGTCTGTTAATTAGATGAAAAAGAACAAGAGGGAATTGAAGAAGTGAGGGTGATGTCTTGGATACCGGTTTGCTCACAGCAGCTGATAAAGTCCTGCTTGATAAAGAGCGACCTCATGTGTGGCATCAGCAGATGTGAATGAATGCTTGTGAAGCTGGCACACAGATGGCCTCAACTCCCTGACTCTTATTGTCTCTTTAAGTTATCTCCAAGCTCCTGTATCATGCTCTGGCCCAAGCGGAATGCCAGCATTCCCTGGATGGGCTTAGTTCTTTTTTTATTTTTATCTTTTTTAGACAGAGTCTTGCTCTGTTAGCCACGCTGGAGTGCAGTGGTGCGATCTTGGTTCACTGCAACCTCTGCCTCCTGGGTTCATGCAATTCTCCTGCCTCAGCCTCCTGAGCAGCTGGGATTATAGGCATGCGCCACCACACCTGGCCAATTTTTGTATTTTTACTAGAGACGGGGTTTCATCGTGTTTTTCAGGCTGGTCTCGAACTCCTGACCTTGTGATCCACCAGCCTTGGCCTCCAAAAGTGCTGGGATTACAGGCATGAGCCACCGCGCCTGGCTTAGATAGGCTTAGTTCTAAGTGCTTTCCCCATCTGTCTTTGCACTGCAGTCTTTCCTCTGGGCTTCAAAATTAGTCTGCTTTGATTAAACACCTTTTTCCAGTCTCTCTTGTTTTGCAGAACCCTCTGCAAATGGGTGGGATAAATAGGGTGCCTATCCTGTCCAGGTTTTGTAGGATAGCACCCCATGTGTCGCAGCCAAAAGTTAACGACTGGCCCAATGTTTGCTGACCTGCTTGTCTGAAAAGTCTTTGCTAACCCCAGATATGTATTTCTGTGTGTGTGTGGGGGCAATGCACCCCTTTATACAGAGAATTCTGCAGAAAGCCATTGCTGAGTAGAAGGTCTTAATCAAATAGACATGGGATACTCACTAATCCAGCCCACCTTCTGCAGAGTACAGCAATCAGAATTGGAAAGAAATTCCGATATCAACAGGAGTAATTCCGGTAAGGAGTCATCAGCCTTCCCTGGCATTCTCTACCCAAAGCAGCCTTACTTATTTTTCTGCCTCTCCCTACCTCCACCGCGCCTCCAATAACCAGGGACTCTACTGCACGTTTGGGCGTAATGTCTCCTATTCATTCCCTAAGCGTTGAAAGGGATAATTGAGAGGTAATTGCATTACTGCACAGTTTGTAGTTAACCTTCTATTTTGGCTCTTAACATGCATATCTTTGCTCCAGGAGTACATTAAGGGTAATTATAGGCAATTCCCTGCCAGATCCAGAAAAAGCGGTTTGCAATGAGTGCAGGAGCCCACCAGGAAGGAAGGATTAATGTAGCTGAGCTTGAAGCATATCCAAGAAGGTGAATGAATTAAGGTCAACTTGACATGAACTTTGGCCAAGCAGAGCTGGAAAAATTAGAGTCAGATTAAAGTCCTTTCTTGAGAATTACTGCCTCATAACAAAGCCCAGAGAAACTGTCATGCAGTCATTTATTCAACCAAAAATCTGAGTGCCTTCTCTCTGCCGAGCTTTGAGTTGAAGACAGGCAGTGTTTGAAAAGGTTCTCTGGTGCTTGGCATAGAGTGACATTTGTCATAATCTGTCCATAAAAGAGAGCCTACAAGATCGATCTTTGGGTTCCAGCATGATGTGCTTTAACCCTCAGCAGCATTTAAAGAAATAAAACGTTGTCATTTCCACTGTGGGCATTTAGGGAAAGTCAATTATTTTCTGTAATTGGGCATGAGCTCCTAGAAAAATGAAATTTATGTGCAATACTACTTCCTTCCATCTCAAATGCACAATAATCCAAAGAAAACCTTGAGGATAGAGCCTGAATCCAAATAACAGCACTGCAGTGGGCTTCTCTTCACCAATCCCAGTTCTAACTCAATTGCTCCATGCCTCAGTTTCCTCACTTGTATAATGAGTGAGCTGTAACAGGTTCACTTTTGTCAGCCAAAAGTGCAACAGGCACTGTTGTCACTCATGCTTTCTGGTCTGATAAGTCCAAATTTATCTTCTTCCTGCTTAATATTAGGTCCAAATATCTTTAAAGGATGCTATCCAGATGAGAATATTGTTGAAATTTAATGAATATTTTCCTTCTTTCCTTCCTTCCTTCCTTCCTCCCTCCCTTTCTCCTTCCTTCCTTCCTCTCTCTCTCCTTTCCTTCCTTCCTTCCTTCCTTCCTTTCTTTCTTTTCTTTCTCTCTTCTTCTTTCTTTTTCTTTCTTTCTCTCTCTTTCTTTCTCTTTCTTTTCTTTCTCTCTGTTTCTTTCCTTTTTCTCTCTTTTCTTCTGTCTTTCAACAGGATCTCACTCTGTTTCCCAGGCTGGAGTGCAGTGGCACAATCATAGTTTGTTGTAACCTTGAACTGTTGGGCTCAGGCAATCCTGCTGTGTGAGCCTCCTACGTAGCTGGGACCCCAGGCGCACACTACCATGTGTGGCTAATATTTGTATTTTTTGTAGAGATGGGGTTCTGCTATGTTTCCCAGGCTATGAATATTTTCTAAACAGTGTCTTACTGTTCTGTCTACCTGTGGCTGTTCAAAGAAGAGAATCTGGAATTTTTTTTTTTTTTTTGAGATGGAGTCTCGCTCTGTTGCCCAGGCTGGAGTGCAGTGGCGTGATCTCCGCTCCCTGCAAGCTTCACCTCCCGGGTTCACAACATTCTCCTGCCTCAGCCTCCCAAGTAGCTGGGACTATAGGCACCTGCCACCTCGCCTGGCTAATTTTTTTGTATTTTTAGTAGAGTTGGGGTTTCACCATGTTAGTCAGGATGGTCTCGATCTCCTGACCTCGTGATCCGCCCGCCTCGGACTCCCAGAGTGCTGGGATTATGGGCGTGAGCCACTGCTCCTGGAAAATTTTAATTATCTGGCTGGCCAGAGGCAAATGAATAATGTATATTTCTCTATTGGCCAACAAGATTCACTTCTATTGCTTTCCATTGGCTATCGTCAGGGTTTTTCTCTTTGCCCCTCATCTCCCAGAAGAAAGGCTAGGGAGTAGGGCAGAGAGTTTAGGGCTGAGTTTCACTGACTGTGTGGTTTTCTTTCACAGAAACAGCTGTGGTAGCTGCTTGAGGGTTCCAGATAATATTAATGAGGATTAATGATCCTGTAAATAGGTGTTTAAAATAAATAAAAAGATGAAAACAAGGATTAGGAAGAAACTACAGTGGGTTAATAAATGAGATGTTCAATGGCAAGTTCCTACAAGATTATTTTAGCAATTAGTGGGAAACATTTTGTCACAAACAAAATAAATTCGCAATCAGAAAATAATTTGCAATCAGCTTTGCAAGTAAAATAGCACACTTTCCCATCAGTCAAAGGCGTTTTGAGAATTAAATGATCAAGTCAAGAGTGATGCTTTCAGACGGTAAACGGTTAGAACCGATTATCCTGGCAATTAGTCAACTGTGAAGCATCAACTGGGGAGGCATTTCACAGAAAGTATTTCCCTTGAAGAAGCTGTCCAACCACACGGACAGCAGAAATACCTTGGTGCGGGAGGCTGATGGTGTCTTCCTGGAATTCAGCAAATGCACTCATATAAAATGCTCTACAAGCCACTAAGGCGGATGTCACTCTCATAATGGAATCGACCCCCTGCCACACCACATGGGTCGCTTTGTGTGGACAGGTAATGAGTGCCTCAGATATTTTCAAGGAACTCTATCCTCGTGCATTCTTAGAGATTTCTTTGGAGGTCAAAACGGAGATTGAAAGTAGTTTCTGCAGATGATTAGCCACTCAAGCAATCAGGGGCCCACCCTGGAGAGACCATTAATAGTCAAGTTATCAATATTTTACCTAATTTTTACTGCTGACCATAAAGACTCAATTTGGAGGGAACTTAATGAGCATATTTCAGGCAGTGACTTTCTCTCCTTAACCTGGCAATAAAATGGAAAATGCATATCAAAAAGAACATAGAGGTTCTCAGTGCACTTACAAGTTTGCTAATCCTCCTGCAAAAGATGTGCAGAATTTGTGTACTAAAGGCAGGAAGATTCTAAAGCTGGTTCTCAATGTAGCTCTATATCAGTCAACTGATTGCTATTCATGCATTATCCAGTATTTTTCCTCCTAATTTTTCTCTTAAATATTTATAAAACTGGCTTAGGCTGCAAAGATCCAAGAAATAAAATAGAATTATCTTAATAGAGAAAAGGTTGGGATATGTCATTCTGATTTAGAAAGCCCATTTCATGGTGTGTGTTGGAACAAGAAATAATTAATTTGAAAAGTCCTTGATCTCTGACTACAGTTGCATTAATGATATTATAGTATTAAATATAATAGTATTTCACATTCATTATCCTTGTGTTCATTCTGAGCCCTTGTCTTCATGGTAAGAACTGTGTCCACGGCTGAGAATGATTAAAGCACAAAAGATTAAAACTGAAAGGGCTAATTTTGTGAAGCTGACTATTTACTCTAGATCTTAGCCACTTTGCAACTCAAATATCTTTTTCTCTCTCCTTTCAGTTTGAAAGAGTTTGGCTAATTCATTCTCATCATTCGCTAACCTTATTTCTTTTACAGTTCCAAGTTTATGTTCTACCCAAAGTCAATAAAAGTGAGTTTGTTGATATTCATTCATTTCCACTGAGTTGTTGTGGGCTGCATTTCTCTATCCCCCCTGTTTTTGGTGCTACAGGGGAGGATGAACAGACCAGTGCCCGTTGGAACAGCCCACATCCCTGTTGCTCTGGACCAAAGACAGTCGTTGACCAAGGGAAGGCGCTGACCTCTCTCTGTGGCTCTGTGCACCTCACAACTTGTGAGTGAGCTCTTCCTTCTTATGGATGGGGCCATCCTCCAGATACTGCTGCCACCTTTCTGATTTTCTTCTGCTACAGGGGATACTCCTACTACCACTAGGGACACTACTCCAGGCCTCTGGCCCATTTCTGGGCACTTCCTTTTCAACCCTCACACTCGGTTCCTGTATTGAACCTCCTCCTTGTCTCCTGGGATTGCCATGGGTATGATATTCCTATAGCACATTCTGCATGTTTAGAAAATTCCTCATTGAAGACACTGACAGAGGCTTACTAATAGGAGGGAGAATGAGGAGAAATTGATTAATGGGTACAAATATATGGATTGATAGAGAAAAATAAGATCTAGTGTTTGATAGATCAGTAGGGTGACTGTAGTTTACAATAATGTGTTGTACATTTCAAAATAGCCAGAAAAGAATAATTTGAATGTTTCTACCATAAAGAAAGGACAAATATTTAAGGTGATTGATATAGTTTGGCTGTGTCCCCACCCAAATCTCATCTTGAATTGTAGCTCACATAATTCCCATGTGCTGTGAGAGGGACCTGGTGGGAGATAATTGAATCATGGGGGTGGGTCTTTCCTCTGCACTGTTCTCATGATAGTGAATAAATCTCACAAGATTCATGGTTTTATAAACGGGAGTTCCCATGTACAAGCTCTCTTGCTTGCCACCATGTAAGATGTGACTTTGCTCCTTCTTGTCTTCCACCATAATTGTGAGGCTTCCCCAACCACATGGGACTGTGAGTCAATTAAATTTCTTTCCTTTATAAATTACCCAGTCTCGGGTATGCCTTTATTAGCAGCATAAAAACAGACTAACACAATGATGGATATCACAATGTACTGATTTGATCTTTGCAAATTATATGAATGCATTAAGTTATCCTGTGCACCCTGAAACTGTGTACATCTATCAAGCATCAATTAAATTTTAAAAAAGAAGGAAAGAGAACTCAATAGGGTGAGAGTACCATACAGAAGCCCTTGCTCAGAGTGGCGGAAGACTTTGCTATCCAGGAAGGATGCAGAAGTCCAGCCTCTCATCAACCCTCCCTTTATGCTCTGGAAATAAAATGCTCCATTTGATCTGGGGCACTTTCTCATGGAAACCTCTGTCTGCTACTTGATTCTAGTCTGGGACATTCTGTTTTCTCTCTGTGTGCTTGTCAGAAACACCCAAGGTAAGTGGTTGGGGTCTCCTTGCATTTCCATTCATGTAAATCTCTGCATTTCCATTCATGCAACTCTGCATTTCCATTCATGCCACCTCTGTCTTCCTAAAGCCCAGCTCTGATCACTATGTCTTCTTACTGGGATGTTCAATGCCTTCCCATTGCCATCAAGTGAGTTCAGACTCCTTTTCCAACCAAGCCCAGTCTGTCTTTTAGGGCTTTATCCCATGTCATTTTAGCCACATTTTAGCTTCTCTAGGCAACATTTTGGTAATGTGTTCAAATTTACCTTCCAATGTGCTGATTATTTCTTTAGCTGTTTCTTTTCTTTTCTTTTCTTTTTTTTTTTGAGATGGGGTCTCACTCTCTTACCCAGGCTGGAGTGCAGTGGTGTGATCTCAGCTCACTGCAACCTTTGCCTCCTGGGTTCAAGCGATTCTCCTGTCTCAGCTTCCTGAGTAGCTAGGATTACAGGCATGCGCCACCATGCCTGGCTAATTTTTTTTTCTTTTTTTGAGACAGCATCTTGCTCTATTGCCCAGGCTGGAGTGCAATGGTGTGATCTTGGCTCACTGCATCCTCTGCTTCTTGGGTTCAAGCAATTCATGTCTCAACGAATGACTCATTCATTGAGATGTGGGTTGATGTCTCAATTTCCCAAGTAGCTGGGACTACAGGTATGTGCCACCATACCCAGCTAAATTTCTGTATGTTTAGTAGAGATGGGATTTTGCCATGTTGGCCAGGCTGGTCTCGAACTCCTCAAACTCGAGTGATCTGCTTGCCTTGGCCTCCCAAAGTGCTGGGGTTACAAGCGTGAGCTACTGCACCTGGCCTCATTGTCTGGTTTTGAGAGATTTTGTTTACTTTCTGGACTACTAGACTATGCATTGAAGATTTTTCTTCTTTTATCCAACATTTTAGGCATTTTACAGTGGTTAGGTTTTGCTCAGTCTAGTCCATACCATTGCCAGAAGTCCGCTAATAGCACCTTTGTCTCTCCCTTAGGGCAGTTATTCTACTTTGTTGTCTATTGTAGATATTTGCTTATCTTTTCCCTTTTGTTGTACTGTAACATTTTCTTTTGTGAACCATGTGCCCATTACTATGACTTGTGAAATAACTGATTCAATATCAATGTTCAGGGAATGGAGTACCTAGAAAGTGGAATTGAGCTGAATTTGTGGGTCCGTTTTTGCTGTGATTGGGAGCTGCCTTGTACAAGATAGGCTATGTCATGCTGCAGTAACAAACAAGCCCTGCAATCTCAGTGGCTCAACAGAATTAATGTTTATTTCTGCTCTTGATGTCATCTGATGCAGGTCTTGCACTTCTCCAGGGCATGTCTCTGCCTTGTTGGGGATCCAGGTAGCTATGCCATCTGGGATTCATGGTCTTCATAATCACAGTGACAGGTGGAGAATGCTGAGTAAGGTTTTCAACTGCCAAGACTGGACATGGTGGCTATCACTTCCATCACTTCTGACATCCTGTTGTCCAGACATGGTCACATGGCTGCACCTATATTCTGAGGCTGGGAAATGACTCTGTAGGCAGAGACATCTATCAATCAATCAATCTGTCTATTGTCTATCTCTTTATGTATCTATCATCTCTCTCTCTTTATCTCTTTATCTATCTCTCGTCTTTCCTATCTCTTTATCTATCATCTTTCTCTCTTTATCTCTTTATGTATCTATCTATCTATGATCTATGTATTATCTCTCTTTATCTCTTTATCTATGATCTATCTATCTGTCTATCATCTCTCTCTTTATCTCTCTCTCTCTCTATCTATCTACCTATCTATGAATATGTTAGAGATATTCGAACCAGAGTGACTCCATCTTGAGTGAGGGCTAGGAAAATGAGGCTGGGACCTGCTGGGCTCCATTCCCAGAAAGTCAGGCATTCCTAGCCTCTAGATGTTTATGGTTAAGAGAACAGATTGGTAATGTTGACTAAACAGACCCAGACTTAGGAGTGTCCTGATATCCCGATATCTTGAGGACAGACGCATTCCTAATTTTGCTTTAAAGATAATATCGATTCTTGCAAAATATAGTCATTAAGAAAATTAATCCTTTATCACAAACCCTTGTAGCAGAGCACATCTACCCATCATCTATTTTTATCCTATATATAAACAAGTATTGTACCTAGGGTGGACGCGTTCCTCCTCTTACTTTTGGGAATGCCCTACTCTGTCTATAGAGTAGCTCTTTGTTCTTTCACCACTTTTGCTTTGCTTTGCACTGTGGACTCGCCCTGAATTATTTCTTGTGGGAGATCCAAGAACCCTCTCTTGGAGTCTGGATCAGGACCCCTTTCTGGTAACACATCCATCTAACTATCTGTTGATCTATTCACAAACATAAATATTTAACAGGATGAGAGCAAAGATTGTTCACTGGTGTGCTTAAAATTGGGTCCAGGTGATTCTGATGGATACCGCTTTTTGGGAATCCCTGCACAGACTAGTGACAGGAGCAGACCTGGAAGTAAGTGGTATGCACAGAGCGAGGCAAGAAATATCGTGTACAAAGAGGTGACTGCTTCTGTCCCAGCATTTCTGGAAAGGCTTCCTGGAGTATGAGGAAAAGGAAATAAACAGTTATTATTATGATTGCTTCTTAAATTGAGACAGAGTCTTGCTCTATAGCCCAGGCTGGAGTGCGATGGTGCGATCTCGGCTCACTGCAACCTCCGCCTCCCGGGTTCAAGCAATTCTCCTGCATCAGTCTCCCGAATAGCTGGAATTACAGGCATGGGCCACCACGTCCGGCTAATTTTCACATTTTTAGTAGAGACAGTGTTTTGCCATGTTGGCCAAGCTGGTCTGAAACTCCTGATCTCAAGTGATCCACCTGCCTCAGCCTCCCGAAGTGCTGGGATTACAGACCTGAGCCACTGAGCCCGGCCGGAAATAAACAGTTATTGAATATCTACCATGGTCATCTTCCCTAAGTCTCAGAACAATAACTATGGTGTTATTATCTCCATTCTGGAGAGAAGTAAACTGAGGCTAATTCACTTGCCCAAAGCAACATAGCTAGGAAGTGGGAGAGCTTGGATTTTAACCCAAATGAAGTGGTACTTTAGTTGTATCTTGAAGAATGAGTGATGTGTACCAGCTGGTTTTTGACACAGAATTGCTGAGTAACAGGCCACCCAGAGCCTCTCATTAAATCAAAATTTATTCTCATAGACCTGTGGATCTGCTTGGGGTTGGCTGACATGGACTGATCTTGGTTGGGCTCAGTTAGGCTCCCTGGGGGTGGCTGGGGACTGGCTGATCGAGGCTGGATTCAAGTAAGGTGTGTCTTTTTTATGGACCAGCAGGTTGGTCCACAGTGTGCTCTTATGGTGATGACAAAGACACAAGAGGGCACATGGGAATTTCTGAGACCTCTTAAAGCCTAGGCTTGGACCTGGGACCCTACCACTTCCACCTCATTCTGTTGAGCCAAAGCAAGTCATGTGGTCGAACCCAAAGTCAAGGGATAGGGAAGTGTGCTCTGCCATTTTCCTGAGGGGACGTGCAAAATTACATGGCAAAGACAGTGGATATAAATAAGGAAGTGTGAAGAACTGGGTCCCGTAATATAGCCTAACACTGGTGGATTTCCAAGAAACTTGGAGGCAAAAAAGGAAAGTGAATAAAGAAGAGGACAGAGAAAAAGGAAGAAAAAAGAAATATTTCTTGAGCTTCTATCCTATTTGCAGGCTACGGGCACTAGGATATTTTTCTTTATTTTTAATTTTAGAGGCAGGGTCTAACTCTGTTGTCCAGGCTGAAGTATAGTGGCACGATCCTAGCTCACTGCAGCCTCAAAATCCTGAGCTCAAGCGATTCACCCCCCTCAGCCTTTTAAATAGCTGGGGCTATAGGTAGACACCATCACACCTGGGTAAATTAAAAAAAAATTTTAAGAGAAAGGGCTTGGCTATGCTGTCCAGATTGCTCTCAAACTCCTGGGCTCAAATGCTTTTCCTGCCTTGATCTCCCAAAGCACTGGTATTGCGAGCATCAACCAGCACACCTGGCCTCTAGGATATTTTTTGTATATTTGATTCTGCCTTTACAATCACCTTGTCTAAAATAGGTTTTAGTATCTCCTTTTTGGAGAGGAAAACCCCCTCAGCAATTCAGAGGAGTAAAGAAACTTTCCCATGGCTACTTAATGATCATTGTACAGCCAGAATTCAGCATGGATGGAACTGGAGGTCATTATGTTAAGTGAAATAAGCCAGGCACAGAAAGACAAATACTGCGTGTTCTCATTCATATGTGGGAGCTAAAAAATTTGATCTCAGGACAATAGAGAGTAGAATGACAGTTACCAGAGGCTGGGAAGGGTGGGAGGTAGTGGATGAGAGCCTCATTAATGGGGACAAAAATACAGTTAGGTAGAAGGAATGTGTTTTTTTTTTTTTTTTTGAGAGTCTTGCTCTGTTGCCCAGGCTGGAGTGCAGTGGTGCTATGTCAGCTCACTGTAACCTCTGCCTCCCAGGTTCAAGCGATTCTCCTGCCTCAGCCTCCCGAGTAGCTGGGACTACAGGCACCCGCCATCACGCCTGGCTAATTTTTGTATTTTTTAGTAGAGACGGGGTTTCACCATATTGGCCAGGGTGGTCTCAAACTCCTGACCTTATGATCCGCCCGCCTCGGCCTCCCAAAGTGCTGAGATTACAGCACAGTGGCGTGAGCCACTGCACCTGGCCAGGAATAAGTTTTAATGTTCAATAGCAGAGTAGGGTGGTTATCGTTAACCACAATGCACCATATATTTCAAAATAGCTAGAAGAGAGGACTGGAAATATTCCCAGCACATAGAAATGATAAATACTTGAGGTTATAGATATCATAAATACCCTGACTTGATCATCACACATTCTATGCATGTGAAAAAATACTACACATGCCCCATAAATATGTCCAAATATTATGTATCAATAAAAAATAAAAATAAAAACAAAACAAAAGCCAAAAAACAACGCGAATTCAAGTCTGTCTCACTCTTCAGGCTGTGCTTTTGCCTTTAAAACAGAGGTTAGTAACTTTTTTTGCAAAGGGCCAGGAAGAGAATGTTTTATGCTTGGCAGGCTATCAAATCTTTGCAGTAACTCCTCAACCCTGTCATAATAGTGCTGAAGCCGCCATTGCAATGCATAAACAAATGGACATCGATGTATTCCAGTAAAATGTTATTTACAAAAGCAGGCAGTGGGCCGTTGTCACAGGCTAGAGTTTTGACAGCCCCTGCTCTAAATCGCCTCCTTTTATGGGGTCTGGTGCAATCCTGGAGAGGACTCTAGATGGAAAGAAAAACATGTAAGAGGATGTGGATGTGTGGGAGCCTATGATGGCTTCAAGAGATGGAGAGGAATTTGAGGAGATGGGAGCAGATGGTGCTAATCTGAGGTCTGGGAATTGAGGGAACAGAAGATGCTGAGCATGTATTTGGGGCCTGAGTCATCATGGGTCTGCTTGTTGAGCAAAGCTCTACCATGGATCAAGGTCTTTGCTAGGCTTTGAGAGCACCCAATAGAAGGTGAAGATCAGTTCTTGTCTTTGAAAGAGGTGACAATTTGGAAGGAAGAGAGAGACCTGGAAAGAAATGGTAAAAGGGTAAGAGTGCGCAAAGTGTGGAGGCAGTGAAGTTCTGAGTCTGTTACGAGAACACTTTAAGTGAAGTCCCATCATAGGGTATCATTTATGGTGCTTTATTATTATTATTTTTTATGAGACAGGGCCTCACTCTGTCACCCAGGCTGGAGTGCAGTGGAGTGATCTTGGCTCACTGCAGTGTCAACCTTGCTGGCTCAAGCGATCCTCCCACCTCAGCCTCCTGAGTAGCTGAGACTACAGCTGTGTGCCACCACACCCAGCTAATTTTTGTATTTTTTGTAGAGACGGGGTCTCACCGTGTTGCCCAGGCTGGTCTCACACTCCTGGGTTCAAGTGATCCTCCTGCCTCAGCCTCCCAAAGTGCTGGGATTACAGGCATGAGCCATCATGCCTGGCCTCATCCATGGTTCTTGCTGGCCCAGAGACACAATGACCAGATAGAACAAAGCACTGCTATTGGGCAGAGAATCAGAGTCAATGAAACAAATGCCTCAATATCTTTCTCAAGAATTTCTTAAATGTAGACATGCATTTTTGGAGACTGAAGCTGGTACTACTATTTGAAAGAGTTAACACATTCCACTTGGAAGGGAAAAACAACCATGTGGTGACAAAGAATTCGTTCCCTTCTTTGGGTGGCAGCCACAGGATTCCTCGCCAATTAGTAGCATCTGGTCCTCATAGAAGATTCATCCCTGGGTGAGCTGGCAGGTACCTCTGGATGTGACACTCTGTGAAGTTCCTGATGGCCCATCTGTGATGTCTTCCCTTCCCAGATACCGCAGTCTTCCCTCCCCCTTTCCAACCCGTCTGCCTTTCATTTGAAATATTTTTAAACACTTAGAACTGAAAGCAGGACTATCTCCAGCTTTTTTTTTTTTTTTTTAGAGACTAGGGTGAGATTCTGAATTGGTTTTTCCAAATTTCATAAAAGAAGATAGCTAAGACAATAATAGCTATGATTTATTGAGCATATATATATATATAATATATATATATATATATGTATATATACTAGGACCTATGTTCAACATTTTACATTCACCATCTCATTTAATTATCAAAACAACAGTGTGAGGGTGGAGATGCCGTTATTATTGCAATTAACAAAGGAGGAACTCATGTCTCAGAAAGGTGCTTCCCCTGGCCAAGGTCATGCAGTTCCTAAGTGTTGCAGCCAGGGTTCCAGCCCGGTGTTGCATGAATCTACAGTTCAGACTCCAACATCTTACATATGGGGAGATCCGAAATTCAGGTTGTATAGAAGTAGAAGTTTAAATGGTGACATTTCAGAGAGGGGAGTCCCGTTTTGTTCAGCTTTTGGGCAAAATTCAGGCCCCATCATTCTAGGGGTCCCTTCCTAAATTTTCATAATAGTACAGCATGCCTTATAATACTGTATACGGTTTGACAGCTTCTAAGATGCTTTTACAGATATTAAAGGACATTAAGAGGCAGTCCTTGGCTCAAGGAGCTCCAAGAGTCCAGTGCTTTCTTAATGTGAGAAACAAACTCACCCATCCGAACCCAAAGAATGGACTCAAGAGACCTGGAGAACAGCAAACGTGAGACTTTTAATGACAGTCTTGCAAGATTGGGTATCTGATAGGCAGGCACACCCAGCACACTTTCAACAAGCAATTTATCCCCTAGTGTGCAGGTCCCTCTCCTGGTTCCTCATAGGCTGAGTACTATGGGGTTACAATCTTCCCGGACGTCACCTGTTGGTTGTTGGGTAGGGGCTTCAGGTGTTTTCTCTAGGGTTATCTTGCTGCATTTTGTTGCAGCCCACAATGCATTGCAATCCTAGTTAGCTCAGGGGCTCTTTAAGTCTTTGACTTATGACCTTTGTAGCTGGGCAGACTGGTAAGAACAGACAAAGTGAGCTATTTTGCGGGCTAGTAAACTTTCATCTTAGACTGAACAATTTTGGTTTGGGTGAGGGCAGCTAAGCCGAGGGAGGCGACAAGCAGGCCTTGCCTATCCAAGCAGGGGCCTAGTATATCCTGTTTCTTCTGTAGTTTGGTGACCTAAGCTGGTTTAAGACACTTTGTCTTGGAAATGAACTACTGTATACATTATTTCCTTCATTTAGATTCCCAGATATTTTATTTTCCTTTTTTAGGAAGATCAGGGGTGTCTCCTAGAACTCTTCTATACCTGCTGTTCTCAGAAATTCTGGTCCATCACAGGTCTCCCCTCCTTCCCCAACCCGTCTAAACCTAATTAACCAGGCTGTTTTCCCAATAGACTCCACTGAGAGGGTAGGAAAGAATGAGGTCCAGCATGTGATTCAGACACATCATCTTCATTCACTGGGAAAGAAAAGGCCTGGGTCTTAATGAGAAATAAAGAATTCTATGGATGAATCCTTCAGTTTCCTGTCAAAAGCCCAGATTGAGAAATTTAGAGTTGCCCAGCTCGTGGTCTTTTATTTTAAGTAACAGTGGGATAAATGGGCTCTGGTAGCAATCGAATACACTAGTTATCTTCCTAAATTGATGATACATCTGGCTACTTCACCCCTTTTCAATTTCAAATGCAATTTGTCTGAAGCCTCCAATTTAAACCACAGAGATCTTCTCTAAACTAAATAATAGGCTACACAACTCGCTGGCTTCCCATGAAAAGACAAAGGCGTGTGTGTGTGTGTGTGTGCGCGCGCGCGCACATGTGCACTTGCACTCACTCGCATGGTGGGGAAAATGGATTGAGGTTGATGAGAAGAGATGCATTCCAACTGATGATTGAATTTAAAGCTCTTTCATTTCTACTGGGGATCTGAGATCTGATGAAATTTTCATTTCTACTAGGCCCAACATGCCATGATTTCCAATATAGATAGAGACTTGGGGCCTTGGATAGCTGAGCAATCCTGGGCAAACCTATACTGCCCTCTCTCAATTCCACCCCGTGCTGGCCGCAGGGTTCATCACAGGTCTCCGAGCCATTTCTGGGCTTCCTAACTGGTTCTCACCTCTAGTGTCGCCATCTCCACCCCACTTCCAAGCACCTGTCAACAAGTATTTTTTTTAACATGCAAATCTGCTCGGTCACTTCTCTTCTCAGACACACACCCTTGTGTCTTACCTGAAAGGGTCCCAGACCCGGACCCCAAGAGAGGGTTCTTGGATCTCGTGCAAGAAAGAATTCAGGGCGAGTCCATAGAGTAAAGGGAAAACAAGTTAATTCAGAAAGTAAAGGAATGAAGACTGGCTATTCCATAGACAGAGCAGACCCGAGGGGTGCTGGTTGCCCATTTTTATGGTTATTTCTTGATAATATGCTAAACAAGGGGTGGATTATTCATGCCTACCCCTTTTAGACCATATAGGGTAACTTCTTGATGTTGCCATGGCATTTGTAAACTGTCATGGCGCTGGTGGGAGTGTAGCAGTGAGGACAACCAGAGGTCACTCTCGTCACCATCTTGGTTTTGGTGGGTTTTAGCCAGCTTCTTTACTGCAATCTGTTTTATCAGCAAGGTATTTATGACCTGTATCTTGTGCTGACCTCCTATATCATCCTGTGACTTAGACGGCCTAAACAGTCTGGGAATGCAGCCGAGTAGGTTTCAGCCTTATTTTACCCAACTCCTATTCAAGATGAAGTTGCTCTGGTTCACACGCCTCTGACACTTGTGGGCTTCTTATTGCTACTGAATTCAGAAGAGACTCCAGGTGAACAAAACCCTCTTCCAAGTGCATCCACAACCAAGGCATGTCATCTTTGTCATCCACTGCAGATACCTCCCATTTCCAGGACATGTCCTCTCTCTGCTCCCTGAGGGCCCCATTGCTCTCCCACCTTGACCCTTGTCCATCATGTTCCCAGTGCCAGAATCATCTTACTCCCTCCTCCTCCCACCCACTCATGCTTAACAGAAGTACTTTTTTGTTTCTGGAATGGCACAGCATAAAATTTGTAAGAGTTGGAAGGATTCTTTGAAGTTGGGAAATTCAATTTCTATGGAAATGCTATTTTCTCATTTCCAAGTCCTCTGCAAGATCCTGCTCAAATGTTGCTTCCTCTGGAAGCAGGCTGTCACTCTCCTGGCAAGTTATAGGTGCTTAAGAAATGTGTGATACATTAATGCATGAATAAATATATGGGTGGAAGAGCAAAAGGTCTTTTTAGTTTATTTTGTCCAATGCTATGGAGTCACAAACTCAGTTTTTTTTTTTTTTTTCAGAACTAAAGATGAACTGGTCAAACCTCAGACTGAGAGAGAGATTAGGTGACTTAATCAATGTCACGTGGTGAATCAGCACCAGAAGTAAGTAGGACTAGAACACAGGATTCCTAATTCTGAGCCCAGACCTTTTTCTTTGCTTCTGCATCAGTTGTTCTGTTTGTCACATCTATGGGGCGTCTTCAGGCAGTAGAGACTGGTTGGCCACTTGGCGGATTCCTCTTTCTCACTCCATGACTCTTTTGTAAGATATCGCGTTAATTCCCTCATTTTGCAGACCTTTCTTGAGTGACTGTTATGTGTGGGACTTCAAAGCTGAGAAAGACACAGTTTGGACCCCCAAGGACCTCCGGCTAGATTGGAGGTAACAGGAGAATGTGAGGGGAACACAGAACAAGAATTCTAGTGTGGGGAGGGCTGAGAGGTTTGGGGAGATTATTTCTGAGGATGAGACATTTAAGTTGAGACTGGAAGGTGAACAGGACCTTCCAAGAGGACTACGAGGGTGAAGAGAGTGATCCCTATGGAGAGAAGGTCACGTACTGAGGTCCTGTGGTATGAAAGCTCATGGTGTGTTTGGGGTCACATGTCTGGACGAGGGGATTGACAGTGGGAAGGGGGCCTGAGAATGTAGGTGGGGTCAGCTGTCCAAGGGCGATGTGTACCATGCTAAGGAGATGGTACCTTGTCCTATGAGCAGGGGGATGTATTAGTGTGTTCTGGCTGCCATAACAAAATATGGCAGACTGGGCTGCTTAAACAACAGACACTGGCTTTCTCATACTTCTGGAGGGTTCAATGTCAAGGTCAATGTCAAGGTGTCAGCAGGGTTGGTTTCCCCTAAGTCCTCTCCTTGGTTTATCGATGGCCGTCTTCTCTCTGTGTCCTCCCATGGTCACCCGCTATGTGTGTCTCTGTCCTAATCTCTTCTCATAAGGACACCAGCCAGATTAGATTCGTGCCCACCCCATGACCTCCTTCTACCTTCATCATCTCTTTAAAGACCCGATCTTCACATACAGTCACATTTTTTTTCTTTTATTTTAATTTCAATAGTTTTTGGAAAAGAAGTGGTTTTTGGCTACATGGATAAGTTCTTCAGTGGTCATTTCTGAGATTTTGGTGAATCCATCACCTGAGAGCAGTATACACTGTACCCGATATGTGGTCTCTCATCCCTCTGAAGGATTGGGCGTTTATTTTTGGCATGGGGTCAGGCGGGGGGCGTCGAAATGAAGCCCATAACGGGGCAAATGGAGGTGCTTTTTAAAAATTTTTTATTTTTGGGAGTCATTTGAAACACTCGATTCTCATTTTCTTGGCTTGCGGTGTGTTCTTAATGGCATTAATCCTTCCTCAGAAGGGCCTCTAAATATAGATGCCATCTGCTGCCAGGCAATATGTTATCACTGATCACCCACTTAACAATTACCTCCTTCTATGCAAGGAGGAGAGGTTGCCGAGACTCGAGGGGGAGGCACACCCTCCATACAGCCTTCAGCCAGTGAGAAGCCAGGGAAAAATCCTACAGTCAGGTGGGACTCCAGGACCTCAAGATGATGGAAGTTTGCCAGAATTCCAAGACTCTGTGATTCTTGACTAGCTGGGCACTTGCGTCATGCTCATTGATTCAGAAGGAGGGTCTCCTCCCCCTTCCTGTAAGTCCCGAGCACCCGTACAAAACAGTGATGGAAATTTCTGCCTATTAAAAAAAAAATGTTCCTTCTTACAGAGCAAAGTGGCACCTGCCAGCCCTGGTTGATGGCATCTCCGCCTTGATTAAGGGGAACACTCATCGTCCAGATGTGTGTGCCCTGCCCTCTGATGTGATGTGGTTTTCTCAGATGACACCTTCCTCCAGCCCTGCTGCAGAACCACTGCTGGCTGGCTTATTCCAGCACTCTTGCTGTGAAGGACAATTTGGCCTTCCATTAATTACTTTCTAAGTTCTAGATTTCAATTAGAGAGTTAATTACTTTTTGCCATATTGCCCCCATTAAAGACATTTTCACTATTAAGTCAATTTGTTAGCATTGAAGAGCTTTGCCAAGACAGAAAAGTTATTGTCCAAAGAGCCTCCTGCGGTCACTGTTGACTCCTCCTGCTTTGAGTTGATAAAGTTGAAAGGTCTATTTTAGATGTGTTTTTTCATTCATTTAGCAAATATTTGTGAACCACTTACTTTGTGCTCAGTGCTGAGGGTATGGAGGATGTGAAGATAAGTCAGATGTGGTCCTTGCCTTCAAGGGGGTCAAGAACTGATAGAAAAGGGATAAAATGAAAGGAATAAATCAGAGATGTAAGTACTGGAGTCTGGGCATGAACAAAATATCCAAACACAGAAGATGAGGGAGTGGTTAATTTGGGAAGCATATTAGCCTATTCTCACACTGCTATAAAGCCATACCCGAGACTGGGTAATTTATGAAGGAAAGAGAGTTAATTGACTTACAGTTCAACATGGTTGGTGAGCCGTCAATCATGGCAGAAGATGAAGGGACAGTAAGGTATTTCTTACATGGTGGCAGGAGAGAGAGAACTTTTAAACCACCAGATCTTGTGAGAACTCACTCACTATTATGAGAACAGCATGGGGGAAACCACCCCCATGATCTAATCGCCTCCCACCAGTCCTTCCCTCAACAACTAAGGATTACAATTCGAGATGAGATTTGGGTGCGGACACAGCACCAAACCATATCAGGAAGTCTTTGCGAGGTTATGAAATTTTACATAGGTCTTGTAGGATGCATAGGTGTTTGCCAGCCAGATAAGAAGGAAAGGGTATTTGTTTCATAGGGATGTAATAAAGTATCACAAACTAGTGGCTTAAACAACAGAAATGTATTGTCTCATGGTTGGGCACGGTGCCTGATGCCTGTAAGCCTAGCAGTTTGGGAAGTTGAGGTGCGAGGATCCCTTGAGTCTAGGAGTTTGAGACCAGCCTGGGCAACATTGTGAGATACCACCTCTACAAAAAAGTTTTTAAAATTAGTTGGGCATGAGGCCGGGCATGTTGGCTTGTGCCTGTAATGCTAGCACTTTGGGAGGCTAAGGCAGGTGGATCACCTAAGGTCAGGAGTTTGAGGCCAGCCTGATCAACAAGGTGAAACCCTGTCTCTACTAAAAACAGAAAAATTAGCCAGATGTAGTGACACATGCCCATAATCTTAGCTACTGGAGAGGCTGAGGCAGGAGAATTGCTTGAACCTGGGAGGTGGAGGTTGTGGTGAGCTGAGATTGCACCACTGCACTCAAGCCCGGGTGACAGAGTGAGGCTCTGTCTCAAAAAAAAAAAAAAAAAAAAAAAAAAAAAAAAAAAAAAAATTAGCTGGGCATGATGGTGTGTGCCTGTAGTCCTAGCTACTCAGGAAGCTGAGATGGGAGGATCACTTGAGTCCAGGAGTTCGAGGCTGCAGTGAGCTGTGATTGCACTACTGCACTCCAGCCTGGGCAACAGAGGGAGACTTTGGAAAAAAAAAGAGAGTAATTGATCATTTCACAGTTCTGGCATCTAGAAGTCTAAGATTAAGTATGGTGGCAGGGCTATGCTCCCTCTGAAGGCACCAGGCTGGAGGGATATGGTAGTCCAGGGATCTCTCCTGGCTGCAGTTAATTCCTTCCTGGGCTTGTGGTAGCAGAACTTCAATCTTCACTAGGGATCCTCCCTCTGTCTTCGCATCATTTTCCCTGAATTTGCACCTATCTCTGTGTCCAGATTTTGCCTTTCTATAAAAGCACATTAGTTGTATTGGACTGGGACACATTCTACTGACTTCATTTTATCTTGATTACCTCTACAAAGACCCTTTCTCCAAATTAAGTCATTCGTAGGTCTTTCACATATGCATTTTGCAGGACACAATTCAACCATCACAGCCTCCGAGGCAAGGAAACAGGGTGCATAAAGGCATGGAATTCTGGAAAGAATAGACTATTCAAGAGTAGGCTATTTAGGAAAGAGTAGACTAAGAAAGTGTGCCTCTGACCTAACTCATCCAGAAGCTCCTCTCAGGTTTGTTTTCTGTAAAATAAACGTGTCTTAACTGGTGAGCCACCTTTTGTGTTTCTTTCCTCTTTCTTTTCAGAGAGATAAAGATATAGCTGGACCATAGGTAACTTCAAGTTAGCTACATGTGCAATTTTTCTAAAGAATGCTCAAGGCTACAATGAGAACACGTGGACACAAGGAGGGGAACATCACACACCAGGGCCAGTCGGGGGGGTGGGAGCAAGGGGAGGGAGAGCATTAGAACAAATACCTAATGCATGTGGGGCATAAAACCTAGATGATGGGTTGATAGGTGCAGCAAATCACCATGGCACATGTATATCTATGTAACAAACCTCACATTCTGCACATGTATCCCAGAACTTAAAGGAAAATAAAAAAAAAATGTAGCGTCATGCATTTCAAGGAAATCACTTCTCTTCTAACTACAAGCAGCCAGATAAAGCAGACAGTAAAACACAGATAAGACAGCTCAGGCACAGAGTCTCCTCCTACCCAGGAGGAAGTCTCTTGGGTAACTGCCAAACTTCACCCTCATACAATGGGCCCCAGTGAAATAGTGGGTCTTAAGAAGCCCATTCCTTTCCCTTCAGGTGCACTAATATAGGGAAGCTAAAAGCAGACTTGGGGCATATGCCTGCAGCTGCAGGAAAATGTATGGAAACAGACACACAACTGTCCCTCCCAAAATAAGCACAAAAAGAGACACAGAAGCAGTCCAAGCCACTAATAAATTCTCCTGCCTTGAATCCTTAAAAACTCTTAGTCTGTAAGAAAGTGTGCCTCTGACCTAACTTGGCCAGAAGCTCGTGTCAGGTTTGTTTTCTCTAAAATAAACCTGTCTTGACTGGTGAGCCACCTTTCATGTTTCTTTTCTCTTTAATTCTTACAACCCTGACATTACTAACCCACATGTGGTCTCCCAAGGGTCTCTGTATTTATCTAATTTTATACAGATGATTTACACACAAATTTCTACAGGTTTTTCAAATCACTATTTTACAAATAATGACATTTATTTATTTATTTTTGAGATGGAGTTTCGCTCAGTCACCCAGGCTGGAGTGCAGTGGTGCGATCTTGGCTCACTGCAACCTCTGCCTCCTGGGTTCAAGAGATTCTCCTGCCTGAGCCCCCCGAGGAGCTGGAACTACAGGCACGCACCACCATGCCCAGCTAATTTTTGTATTTTTAGTAGAGACGGGGTTTCACTGTGTTGGTCAGTCTGTTCTCAAACTCCTGGCCTTGTGATCTGCCTGCCTTGGCCTCCCCAAGTGCTGGGATTACAGGCATGAGCCACTGCGCCTGGCCAATGATATCTTTTTGTAAGTGATTTTCAGTCTTACTCTACAGAGCCTTGTGGAAATCCTCTAAACCATGCTTTCTCAATGGGGGCAACACTGATCCCAAGGTTATGATCATTGATTCTTGGGAGGTGAAAGAAGTTTTACAATGGCCTGTGGTCTTCCAAGGCTCGATTCCATTTGAGGAAATAAACAGATGTGCAGTGTTTCTGTGGGATTAAAATTTCATGGAGGGGATGACTATGAAGAAAAGATTCAGGAAAACTGCTTGAAGTCATCTGCTATGACTCTGATCTTTTCTCTCTTTATTATTTTCAGAGGCAGTTCTTTCACTCTTGCCCAGGCTGGAGTGCAGTGGGATGATCATGGCTCACTGCAGCTTTGACCTCCTGGACTCAAGCAATCCTCCTACCTCAGCCTTCTGAGTAGATGAGACTACAGGCATGCACCACTGAGCCTGGCTAATTTTTAACTTTTTTTCTTTTTTTGATAGAAATGGAGCTTTGCTATGTTGCCCAAGCTGGTCTCAAACTCCTGGCCTCAAGTGATCCTCCTGCCTCAACCTCACAAAGTGTTGAGACTGTAGGCATAAACCCCCATGCCTGGTCTGATCTTCTCTTTTTAATGGTTGCATACTATTCTGTGGTGTAGATGGACCATCATTTATTCAGCTGTCCTTGCATTTCTGGGCATCCATTCTATGTCCAGCTTTTTGTCATATGAAGAACGCTGCAGTTGACTGATTGTTGCTTCCATTTATCTGGCATAGATTTTCAGAGTAGAAATCTTGATCACCAGTTATCTGATTTTATATTTTGCAATAGGATGGTTGCAGTGGCTCATGCCTGTAACCCTCACACTTTTGGAGGCTGAGGCAGGCAGATTATTTGAAGCCAGGACTTTGCAACCAGCCTGGCCAACATGGTGAAACCCCATCTCTACTAAAAATACAAAAAATTAGCCAGGCGTGGTGGCACACACCTGTAATCCCAGTTACTTGGGAGGCTGAGGCAGGGGAAGTGCTTGAACCCGGGAGGTGGAGGTTGCAGTGAGCCAAGATTGCACCACTGCACTCCAGCCTGGGTGACAGAGTGACACTCCATCTCAAAATAAATAAATAAACAAATAAACTAATTAATTTTGCAATAAGTATTACCAGGTTGCTTTTCTCATGTTAAAGGTGATGCCTTCTCTCAGTAGTAGGTGCTGTCACCCTTTCTGGGGATTTCCACTCTGAGGGGTATAAAGTGATATCTCACTGTGACTTTAATTTGCATATCTCTGACTAGCAGCCAATGTGAGCATCTTTTCATACATTTACGGCCATGTAGATTTGCTCTTATATGAATTGTCTATACATGTATGGTTGGCTCCATTTTTATACTACGGTGTTTATCTTTTCTTGTAAATTCCCAAGAGTTCTTTGTATGTTACAGATATTAATCCTTTGTGTCACATCAGGAAAGTGCTTCTCCAGATCTATCATCTCTTAATTTATGGTTCTTTGACTTAATTTATGGTTCTTCTTGCACATTTAAGTTCTAAGTTTTACATAGTTAAATAAACATGTCTTTATTTTACAGCTTTTGCATTTCCAGTCTAGGTTAACTCCCAAATTATACATTGGGTCTTATAGATTTTCTTGCAAGGTTTTTGGCTTTATTTATTTTTTGAGACAAGGTCTTGCTGTATTGCCCAGACCAGAGTGCAGTGGTGAGATCATAACTCACCGCAGACTTGATCTTCTGGGCTCAAGTGATCCCGTTGCCTCAGCCTCCTGAGTAGCTGGGACTACAGTCTCATGCCACCATGCCCAACTAATTTTTATTTTATTTTTAGTAGAGATGACGTCTCACTATGTTGCCCAGGCGGATCTTGAACTCTTGGCCTCAAGTGATCCTCCTGCCTTGGCCTCCCAAGGTGTTTGGATTACAGGTAGGACCCACTGTGCCCAGACAAATTTAAGTTTCTTTAATACACATACTCAAGGCCACTCTAGCCAGAAGACCCAGAGACACTCTGATATGGGAGTGGAGTGGGGCAGGGTACTGGCCTCCTGCAGAGCCTCTGGCTTCCCAACACTGTGAAGGCCCCAGCCACTGCCATGAGGATGGAATCTTTTGGTAGAACAGAAAGTTTTGGGGGAAGGAGCAGTCACTTTCCCATGGGCTTGCCCTTTATCTCCTTTGCTGTGTGATTTTGGTGTATGAACTATACCTCCCACCATTCAGACAGAACCTAGAACCTATCTCTTACCTGCCCACCTGCTGACTGGTAGAGCCTCCTGGTGTGGTGGGACAAGGAGAGAGAGGAAGTCAAGAAAGCAGAAGAGCAGGGAGCACCCGGAGGAAGGGTGTGGAGGGCGGTGGCAGTCTTGCCATTTGGCCTGGCAGGGATGAGATTCCTCCATAGTCAAGGGTAAGATATCATGGTGATACCAATATCCTCTGGGGCCACCTAAGGACAAGAAAACCCCAGCAGGAAGAGGCTAGATTGTGGCCCATCTGAGAGAACAGAACCCCTGCCACCCCAAAACTCTTAAGTCTCCAGTCCAGCTGGCACCAAGAGGGGAGAGAAAGAGTTTAGCATCAAATACAAGGTTAAAATTGTAGAACAAATAGGACCACCTGAAAACATGAACAAGGTTGTTTTATTAGATGAAGCCGAATCAAAAATTATAAAATTAAATGACATTATATGAAAAGAGCAGCCTACAACCCAGGGAAAGAAGGGGTCTTGACAGAGGAGTTGTAATACCAATGAAAAAAAAAGATGTTTATAATGTATAAACATATTTTACAGCAGTTCAGACTGCCATAAAATATACCATAAATGGAGTGGCTTATACAATAGGAAGTCATCTTTTTTTTTTTTTTTTTCAATTCTGGAGGCTGGAAGACAGATGAGGTTTCTCAGTATGGTTAGGTTCTTGTGAGGGCTCTTTTCCTGGCTTGCAGACAGCTGCCTTCTTGCTATGTCTTTACCTAGTGGAGAGAGAGAGAGAGAGAGAGAGAGAGAGAAGAGATAACAAGCTCTCTCTTTTTCTTTTAATAAAATCACTAACCCTATAGGATTAGGATTGTGCCCTTATGACCTCACTTAATCTTAATTACCCCCTAAAAGCCTCATCTCTATATACAGTCACGTTAGGGGTTTGAGCTTCAGCATAGGAATTTTTTGGGGGTGGTGGGGAGATAATTCAGTCCATAGCAATATGCTAATGAGTTGAGAGGCCCTCACTTAACTGGGTATATTTGGCATTAACTGAGAAAAGGTCAGATTATGACACCTATTGGGGATTTTCGTATTGTAGTCTAGGATTCAAGAGGACCAAAAGTTTGTAAGACAAGAAGAAATAAGACTACAATGATAGATGGCAGCTGAAATATTTTGAGGCAGGGTTCATGCTGTATTTAATAGGGAAGATAAGGTAGTGGTCTCTGTCTTTCTCTGTCTCTCTCTCTCTCTCACACACACACACATGCCCCTGAAAGATCCACAGTGATCACCTAGCCCAGGAATAACAGTTGCTTGGTATGGGAGACATTATTCCCCTATTTCTTCTCTCATGGCAGACATAAGTAACGATTATGGCACTGTTTCATGCTATGACTACTGATATGGTTTGGATTTGTGTCCCTGCCCAAATCTCATGCCCAGTCATAATCCCCAGTGTTGGAGGAGGGGCCTGGTGGGGGCTGATTGGATCATGGGAGCGAATTTCCCCCTTGCTGTTCTTGTGATAGCAAGTGAGTTCTCATGAAATGTGGTTGTTTAAAAGTGTGTAACACCCCCCCCCCACCAACTTTTGCTCTCTCTTCCTCCTGCTCCAGCCATGTAAGACATGTGTGCTTCCTCTTTGCCTTATGCCATGATTAAAAGTTTCCTGAGGCCTCCTCAGCCATGCTTCCTGTACGTCCTGTGGAACTGTGAGTCAATTACATCTCTTTTCTTTATAAATTACCCAGTTTTGGCCGGGCATGATGGCTCACTCCTGTAATCTCAGCACTTTAGGAGGCTGAGGCAGGCGGATCGTGAGGTCAAGAGATCGAAAGCATCCTGGCCAAAATGGTGAAACCCCGTCTCTACTAAAAATACAAAAATTGAGCTGGGTGTGGTGGTGCACGCCTGTAGTCTCAGCTACTTGGGAGGCTGAGGCAGGAGAATTGCTTGAACCCGGGAGGCAGAGGTTTTAGTGAGCCGAGATCGTGCCATTGCTCCCCAGCCTTTGGGCGACAGAGACAGACTCTGTCTCAAAAAAAAAAAAAAATTACCCAGTTTCAGGTAGTTTTTTATAGCAATGTGAGAATAGACTAATACAACTACCTGTTCTCTGATGCAAAAAAGAGACAGCCCACTGCAATCAGGGAGGGCTTCCTGAAAGAGGTGAGACTTCAACTGGTTCTTGAAAGATAGGCTGGGTTTTTAAATGTGGCCCCTAAACTTTGGTAGGCTAAGGAGGACTTCTTGAGACTAGATCCTGGAGTCCATCTAATGAGACTCTGATTCAGTTCATATTAGGGATATTCTTCATTTTTTATGTTCCTCAGGTGAATTAGATCCCTGGAGAATGGGGATACTGGAAGCAGAGGAGAGACTGGCATAAGCAAAGAAGGGCAATCAATAGAAGGTCCCCAAGGAAGGAAGAATCAGAACTGTGAGTTGTGGTTATTGGTTGCACTAGAGAGAAGTCCAAGGCAGGGATGAGCTGGAAATTGGTGGTTGTCAAATCTGGAGGTCATGACTACAGACCTGGAAGGACTGAGTACAGCTGCAATGCCAGCAACTTATACCTGTACTTTCAGGCATTGAATTTCAGAAAGTGAGCAGTGGGAACAGCTCAATCTATTTACAAATCCTAACTGACCAGTAAGCCACCCCCTCCTGCTTCTGCCTGCTTGTGAAAAATGCTATTTTAACAAGGGGCAGCCGATCAGTGCAGGATATTTTGGTAATGGCTTGATATCCATCTTAGTCTGTTTTCTGTTGCTATAACTGAACACCTGAGACTAGCTAATTTATGAAGAAAATAAATTTCTTTCTTCCTTTTTTTTTTTTTTTTTGAGATGCAGTCTTTCTCTGTAGCCCAGGCTAGAGTGCAGTGGTGTGATCATAGCTCTCTCCACCCTTGAACTTCTGGGCTCAAGCGATCCTCCTGCCTCAGCCTGCCAAGTAGCTGGGAGTACAGATTTATGCCACCATATCTGGCTAGTTTTTTCGTTTTTAACTTTTTTGTAGTGATGAGGTCTCACCATGTTTCCCAGGCTGGTCTGGAACTCCTGACCTCAAGTGATGCTCCTAACTCAGACTCCCAAAGCACTGGGATTACAGCGAGCCTCTGTGATTTGCACCTGAGAATAGCTGGAATTGGAATTCAAATACCTGTCTGATTTACTTCAACCTCCCCTGCCCACCACCCAAGTCTCCCAGATTTGGAAGATTGTCCAGAGGTCCATGTTGGCCTGTAGAATGATGGCACCATGTTTAAATGATGAGCCATCACACCCAGCCAGAAATTTATTTCTTACAGTTCTTGGGGCTGGGAAGTCCAAGGATGAGTGACTTCATCTTGTGAGAAATTTCTTGCTGGTGTGGACTCTCTGCCGAGTTCCAAAGCAGCACAAGGCATCACAAGATTAGGGGGCTCACAAAAGAGGACTAAAGTGACTTTTATAATAGACCCACTCTTGTGACAAGTAACTCACTCTTTTGATAACCCATTAACCTATTAATTTCTTAATTCATGAATGCATTAATCTATTCATGAGAGTTCTGCCCTTATGCATGTCCTATTCACCTGCTAAAGGTTTTACCTCTTAGCACTGCTGTGGGATCCCAACCAAGTTTCCAACACATGAATTTTGGAGGAATGCACTCAATCCATAGCCATATCCAAAGCATTGTCACATCTGGGCCGATTACTTTATATATTAAAAACAGCCTTAGTACCTCTGCCTGTTTTCCTGTAATTTAATAGAAGCAATGAAGGTAATAATAATTAAAATAAGGGTTCTTATTTACTTAGTCTGTACCATATTCTAGGCACAATACTAGTCTTTTGTAAACTAGAAGGAGGTTCTATTATTGCTCCCACACCCAACTGTTACAGGAAAGGAGTCCCAATCCAGACCTCAAGAGAGGGTTCTTGGATCTCACACAAGAAAGAATTCAGAGTGAGTTTGCAGTGCAAAGTAAAAGCAAGTTTATTAAGAAAGTAAAGTGATGAAAATACAGCTACTCCATAGACAGAGTAGGGTGTTCCTGAAAGTAAGAGGAGGAATGCGTCCACCCTAGGTACAATACTCGTATGTATGGGGAGATGTTCTCTGCTATAAGGGTTTGTGATAAAGGATAAATTTTCTTAATTACTATATTTTTCCAGAATTAATATTATTATCTTTAAAGCAAAATTAGGAATGCCTTTGTCCAGATATCAGGATATCTGGACACTCCCAAGTCTGGGTCTGTTTAGTAAACATTATGAATTTGTTCTCTTAACCATAAATATCTAGAAGCTAGGAATGCCTGACTTTCTGGGAATGCAGCCCAGCAGGTCCCAGCCTCATTTTCCTAGCCCTCACTCAAGATGGAGTCACTCTGGTTAGAACACCTCTGCCACAACCATTGTGTAGAAGAGGAAGATAAGGCCCAATGAGCCTCTGTGATTTGCACCTGAGAACAGCTGGAATTGGAATTCAAATACCTTCTGGCTTATTTCAACCTCCCCTGCCCACCACTCAAGCCTCCCAGATTTGGAGGATTGTCCAGAGGTCCACGTTTGCCTGTAGGATGATGGCACCATGTTTAAACAGTTGGATGTGGCAGTATCATGCATTTGGATGTTGGTGGTAATCTGCTTATGACACCCCCCAATCCCGTGGGAAACTTCAGACTTATTTTGGAAAGATTGTTAGGAGGTCAGCTCTGGGATACCATGAATGCCAGTGGAGATTAAGAGAAGTAGTGTTTTGGCATTCATATTAAAGTGACTGGGCCAGGCACGGTGGCTCACGCCTGTAATCCCAGAACTTTGGGAGGCCGATGTGGGCGGATCACGAGGTCAGGAGTTCGAGACCAGCCTGGTCAACATGGTGAAACCCAATCTGTACTAAAAATACAAAAATTAGCTGGGCTTGTTGGCAGGCACCTATAACGCGCTGCTCGGGAGGCTGAGGCAGGAGAATTGCTTGAAACCAAAAGGCAGAGGTCGCAGCGAGCCAAGATCGCACCACTACACTCCAGCCTGGGTGAAAGAACAAAACTCCGTCTCAAAAAAAAAAAAAAAATTTAAGTGACTTCAGTGAAATCAGAGGTTGAAAAGGCCTGAGATGGTTCAGTTACATGAAGTATGACTTAGGAGGTGAAATGGAGAGTGTAGGCTTGAGAAGTAGATTAACTTGGGCTCTTGGGCCTGGCCTGCCACCCCGTAACCTTATGACTTTGGACAAGATAACACAATCTGTCCGAAACTCAGCTCAACTCTCAAATGGGCCTAAGGATCCCTGCTTCTTAAGAATCCTGTGGAGACAACTGAGGCAGTAGGATTTGTTTAAGGCTAGGAGTTTGAGACCATCCTGAGCAACATAGCAAGACTCCATATCTAAAAAGATAAATTAACCCAGCATGGTAGTGCATGCCTGTAGTCCCAACTACCTGGGAGGCTGAGGTGGGAGGGTCCCTTAAGACCAGGAGTTGGAGGCTGCAATGAATTATGATCATTCCACTGCACTCTAGCCTGGGTGACAAAGTGAGACCCTGTCTTACAAAAAAAAAGTATCCTGTGAAGAGAAATGACTCAGGGTACAGACATGCCTATTTGGGTGCCTGTTCATGGAAGTGCAAGATAAATATAGGCTTCCTGCCTCTAATAGGGCCAGGGATAGACCAGAAGGGAATTCTTGGTTCCCATTTAGAGTAGAGAGGAGGAAAAAGAGAAAGAGTGAGAGAGATTGAAAGGGAGAGAGATGCTTTTGTTTAGAGCATCTCTGGGAAGAAGGACTTGTATTTATCTGCCTCTTGGGCTTCCTTTCAGGGCTACTGCCCCTAGATATGCTGAACTAGGGCAAACAGCTCAAATTGGGAGTGACAATGCCATTTTGCAGCAAATGTCTCCAGAGGAGAGGAGTGACTGACACTTTCTGCTATGTTTTCCTCTCCATCCCTTCCCAGCCCGTAATAGTGGCCAGGAGAATTAACAATGAGACAAGAGCTAAAAACAAGGGAGAATCTTCACAAGGTTACTGGAATTGGAGGAGGCATTGGCAACTTTACCTCTACATGTAACTGTCTGCTGGGTTCTTCCTGCCTGCTGCACAAATAAAGACCATGACATTGCTGTAAAGAAAGAGTTTAATTGACAGAAGGCCAGCCACACCACATGAGAGACTGGTTACTACTCAAATCAATCTCCCTGAAGGCTCATAATTAGGGGTTTTTCAAAGGCAGTTTGGGGGAAGGAGCAGGGGTAGCTAGGAAATAGGTGCTTTCTGCTGATTGGTTGGGGTGGAGATGAAATCACAGGGGGTTGAAACTGTCTTTTTGAGTTGAGTTGCTCCCATGTGAGCCACAGGAGTCATTGATTCCAAGTGGAGCCATAGTGTCAGACATGCAAAAAACCTCAAAAGGTATCTCAAAAGGCCAATCTACAACAGTGGTGTTATCTGCAGGAAAAGTCTGGCAACCTATGTCTACATCTTAGCAGAATTCGGGCTCCTCTCCTCCCCCTAGCCTGGTGGATTTTCATTAGCTTTACAGAGGTAGTTGAGTTTGGGGGAAGGCCTATTACCATTTAAACTTCAACCTCAATATCTTTCAAAGTCAGCTAGGCCTAAAAGCCCAAAAATAATAAAGGAAAAGCCAAGATGGGGGTGTGTTAAATCAGATCTCTTTCACTGCTGTAATTTTCTCACTGTTTTAATGTTGGCTAAGGCAGTTTAATACAGGTTGCTGAGTCTTCATGGCAAGGTCCCTTTTGCATTGCAGGATTGCATGTGATTTATTGTGCTCCTGTATCCCTTCATTCATACTTCTGACCCTCACTGAACATCTGTGAGTGCAATACTATGCAATGGGTAGTTTCTGCTCTCAGGGACTCAGTCTCCTTTGGGAGATGCATACCTAAGCAGATGGTCACTCAGCACAACTGAGCCTGGACAGAGGAAATGCAGACAGCCTGCAAGCATTTCTGGAGGAGCTACTCTTTTTGTTACAATCTGAGAAAATTATTAACAGTAAAGCAGGTGGAGGCAAGGGGAGAGGAGTTGGAGGAGACAGAAGAAGACATTTCTGGCAAAAGCCACTGCAGATAAAGGTGGGGTGGACACACTGAGCAATTAGTGAGGGGATCAGGAGGCTGGAGAGACATTCAAGGTTCAGGTCATGGAGATTTTGGAATTTTTCCTTAAACCTGTCATGCGGCTGTCAGAAGCATTTGAACCAGAGCAACTCCATCTTGAATGGGAGGTAAAATGAGGCTGAGACCTACTGGGCTGCATTCCCAGACAGTTAAAGCATTCTAAGTCACAGGGTGAGATAGGAGGTCAGCACAAGATACAGGTCATAAAGACCTTGCTGATAAAACAGATTGCAATAAAGAAGTCAGGCAAAACCCACCAAAACCAAGATGGTGACGAGAGTGACCTCTGGTCATCCTCACTGCTACATTCCCACCAGCACCATGACAGTTTACAAGTGGTATGGCAACATGAGGAAGTTACCCTATATGGTCTAAAAAGGGGAGACATGAATAATCCACCCTTTGTTTAGCATATCATTAAGAAATAACCATGAAAATGGGCAACCAGCAGCCCTTGGGTCTGCTCTATCTGTGGAGTAGCTGTTCTTTTATTCCTTTACTTTCCTAATAAACTTCCTTTCACTTTACTCTATGGACTCACCCTGAATTCTTTCTTGCATCAGATCCAAGAACCCTCTCTTGCGGTCTGGATTGGGACTCTTTCCTCTAACAGAGCTGTTGATGGATTTAAGTTGGGAGTGGGATGATCATATTGGCCTTTTTAGCAAGAGGTCCCTGGCAATGGTGGAGAGGGAACCATGTGAGTTTTTATAGGAACTTGGCTCCAAAGATGACAAGACTTGAGAACAAAGGTAGTGGCCATGGAGATGGAATCTGGAGGTCTGATTCTGAAACCGCCCTTGTAAAATTATAACTGAAAAAATTATGACAGTGAAAGAGATCAGACCTAACCGATTCCATCTTGCTTCTAACTTTTAAACTGTCCTTGTTCATTCCTGGATGTAGGCGGAACTAGCTTTGGGAAGTAGTTCAGCTCATGATTTGACTCTGAAACAAAGTTGATAATTGCCTTTTCCTGAAAAGACCCCCTTCTTACCTAGGGACCAGTCTGCCTTTGCAGGACTAACAAATTAGCTACTGCAGGACTAACCAATTAGCTACAAGATTAGAAATGACATTTAGGGGCCATGCAACCTCTGGCTGCAAGAGTCTGAACCTCCCCAAATTGCTCCTGGGGACAACATCACTATTGTAAAACCTAAGATTGGTGCTTGAGATATTGTACAGACCCTGCACTGGATGGATCAGCTGACACCACCAAGACAGGTAATCTGGCTCAACCGGTTCTGCCATCCCACCCAGGAACAGAAGACAGGAAGAAAACTCACTTCGATCCACTATGATTCCACCTCCAATCTGACCAATCAGCACTCCCCACTTCCCAAGCCCCTACCTGCCAAATTATCTTTAAAATCTCTGATTCCTGAATGCTCAGGGAGACTGATTTGAATAGTGATAAAACTCTGATCTCCTGCACAGCTAGCTCTGTGTAAATTACTCTTTCTCTATTGCAATTCCCCTGTCTTGATAAACCAGCTTTGTCTAGGCAGCAGGCAAGGTGAACCCAATGGGCGGTTACAATTCTAGAGACAGGAAGTAGCATTGGCTGGACTTGGTACCTAGTGAGATGTGGGGTTGATGGAGAAGGAGGAGTTAAGGACTCTGGCTTGGGCAGTCAGATAGATTATGGGGCATCCCCAGAGACAGGGAAAAATGTTGACTCTAAGGGGATTTGGTGATATGGCTACCTGGTTTTGGAACTCAGCAGTGATCAGGGCTGGGGATGTGGAGTTGGGAGATGTCATCACTCAGGATTTGGGAAGGGTAAGTGCATAGAGTGAGAAGAGAGAGAGGTTGAGGAGTGGATACTGGGAAAAGGGCATTTGAGGTTGGGCAAAGGAAGAGGATGGAGAGAGAGAAAGAGAGTGGTGAAACTGAGGTGGGGTTGTCATGTCCCAGCAGTCAAGGAAGGAGAGGTGCAGAGAAGGAGGGAGAATCATCACTGCATACGACTTCTAGAAAGACAGAGAGAGAAGCATCTTTTGGATTTAGCAGTACATGGCCATTGGTGATTTGACAGGAATGATTTCAGTAAAGGGAAGGGAGATAGACTGAAGTGGATTTGGGAGTAGATAGAAAATTGGCAACTAGAGACACAGCACAGAGAATGTTTCTGCAATTTTGGCTCAGAAGAAAAAACTATAGGCTATGTAGTTGAAGGAAGAGACTGTAGGATGGGAGAGACTGGAAAGTCAAGTAGGATGGGCCATAAAGAATTTGGAAAGGGAGAGAACCCAGGAGAGGGGGGAGCAATTGGTAGAATGAGGGGGCTGTCAGAATCTCTGTGGGGGGTCATCCAGTGGTGTGGGGGCTGGGAGTTATGAGTTTGCAGCTCAGAAATGCTTTGATGAGTTTGATATATTTGCTCCCCCACCTCTGCCATTTTCCATTTCCATGTGGAATGCTGAGACTAGGCTGGGTGGCCAGGTTGGCTGGGGACTGGGAGCATTTGGCAGACTTTGCAGAGGAGGCTGGACAGAGGATCTTGTGCATGGGTTGGAGTGGCAGGTGTGGGTAGAGGGAGGTCAGGTGTAGTATGGGGTCAGGTGTAATATAGAGAGGTCAGATAGAGCTGGGGCAGATGCAGAGATCTGTGGAATAGGCTATAAGCTGGTAGTGAGTCTGAAGGTCAGGAGACTTCAAGCAGCATGTAGCATGCCAGGTCTCCAGGCATCATTGTAGGTTTTGTGAGTGCCTTGTCCATTGGGCCCAGCCAGGTGCTAAAAGTATAGGCAGCATAGCTGGGAGGATGCTGGGAAGATCTGGGCAGGAAGGTTGGAGGGCAGTGAAGGGCTTCAGTCTGAGAACTAGAAGTCAAGGGCTAAGTGGGGACCTTGAAGCAGATACCAGACCCATATATGGGGTGGTGGGGAGAAAGTGCGCTCTAAGGGCATGGAAAGCATACCCCATGCATACCAGATGCCAGGCCAGCAGTGAAATTGTGGCAACTACCTTCACCACAGAACACGAGCAACAGGTGTCCCTAGAACAATGAATAGCAAGGAGGATCTGACGAGAGGAGCCAAGGAGAGGCCCTGGCACTCCTTGTGTGGACCAAGCCACCTCTCAGAGATGCACTGATGGATGGTCCATGGTAGAGAGCCCCAACATGAACTCAACTGATGTTATGGCTCAGGTAGGCTTAAGAAGTCCCTGACAAAGTAGGATAAGCACAGCCTTGGGAGCCAAACAGATCTGGGTTCAAATCCTGACTACACATTCCTAGCTGTGTGACCTTGGAAATTTTTTAACTTGTCTGAGCCCATTCTTCTTATGTGTAGAATGAGAGAGCAAATCTCTACTGCCAGGGTCATTGTGAGAAATATATGAGAAGATGTTTTGGAAGACCTGATCATGGTGAATGGTTCATGATGGATTCTTAATAAATGATCCTTCCTTCCTTCCTTCCTTCCTTCCTTCCCTCCCTCCCTCCCTCTTTCCTTCCTTCCTGCTGAGAGGTGGAGATTTGTGCTAAGAACCAACAACATAGCTTTGGTTTGTACCAGGTCACATGGACCAAAGCAAGAGTTTGTTATAAGCCACCTAACAGTGTCAAGCACTGAAGTAAATTAGAGATGACAACAATTCTTTGAAACTTTTCCCATTAAGAGTTGGGGTCTGTGACACCTCCCCTTGTATCTGGGAAGGCTATGTGATTGGTTGAACAATGGAATATGTGGACGTAATGCTGTGCCAGTTTCCAGGCCCAGGTCTTAAGAGAATAGCAATTTTCATTCCTTGCTCTTGGAATACTTGGACTGTCCTGAGCCACCATGCTATGAGGAAGCTCAAGCAGCCACTATGCTATGAGGAAGCTGTGAGGCCCATGTGGAAAGGAACCAAGGCCCTCAGATGAAAGCCCTAGCTGAGCTACCAGTCAACAACCAGCACCATCTTGCCAGCCAAGTGAGTGCACCATCTTGAATCCTCCAGCCCCAGTGGAGCTGCTTCACCTTATGCTTCCTGGAACCAAGATGAGCCATCCCCTCTGAGCCCTGCCCACATTGAACATTAGTGAGCAAAGCAAGTGATTGTTGTTTAAAGCCTCTCTGTTTTGGAATAGTTTGTTATGGAGTAAAAGTTAACTAGAACAAGTGTACACAGTGGCACCAACAGTGAGCTAGACACCTGGAAGGTCACTGAAGAAGTAAACACAACCCATGATGGAAGTCAGTCACAGACATTGCTATCTGCCCAGTGTAGCTCTTCCTTTGTTTCAACTCAACCAGCCCATAGATCCCTCCTTCACTCGTAGGCCAAGTCTGTCTCTTTCAGCTTTGTTGGCAGATTGGTGCTATTAGGGAAGAGCTTTGGGCCTCTCTCAATCCCAGGCAGGGCCCATGGGCTCACAACAGACCAGAAGGGAGACAGATGGGATTCCTGGTAGCGGGAGCTGCCACTGGCACTTAGCTGAGGAGGGAGGAAACCTCGTCTGTGCTTCTCTTCCCTGGTACCAGGTAGCCCTGGTACCAGGTAGCAATTGTGCTCTTCTTATGATTAGAGGCACGGAGACTACCCCTGGGCTTTGACGTCCCTGTAAAGTGCTCCACAAGCACAGAGGAGCTGTTCATGGTGACAAAAACAGATGGCACTACCCAGATGGGAGGTTCTCACTGGAGGGGTCATATTACCTCCAAGAACGAGGGGCTGTAAACAATGCAGTGTCACTTCCCAACTACCAAATTAGTTGGAAAAAAAAAAAAAAGAATCAAGTGTTACTGTGAGCAGTGGGCGCTTGAGAAGGTGGCTTCAGTGACATGTCACTGGAAGCCTCGCATACTGCCTGTCTTGCGGAGCCCTGGCTGATGAGATGCACGAACATTATTAACGCCACTTTGCTGAAAATGCAGCACACTCAGACTAATGCCTTATGGCATTTGCTGCTTTCCTGGGGCTCCAAAGATGGAGAGAAAGTCCTGAAATAGCAACTCCAAGCTGGTCGTCAAGGCAACAGGATCCATTAGGGTGCATCGTCAGGTGCTGCGCTTGGCACTGTGAGGGGATGGGATAAAAGAAATTGCAAATGCACACCCTACCCTCCACGAGCCTACATTCTTCTTTGGGAGACAAGGCTTTGGTTTGTAAATCTATTCGGTCAGCATTTCCCTCCCTAAGGAGCAGGAGTACATGAGTACTGCAAAATATTAACTGGTGATAATATTTAAAAAAACAGAGTCATGGGGACAAGGACAAATGATTTTGCAGAGCATACTGGGCAAAACAAAATTAAAAATTGCTGGGCTTCTCGGAGTCTTTAATGAGCTCACATGCATTGTGATGTTCAAAAGGCAGATATTGTTGACTATGTTTCCCAGAATTATTTGACCATGGAAACTCTTGTTCACAGAGCATTTCAGGGGATTAGTAAACCACAGAATGGCTTGGGGGACCCTGAATTAGGAAGCAATACAAAGCCGCGTGTAATTAAGTTCTTAGGATGTGTGGAACAGTTTGGGAGCACAACAGAATTCAGAGCAGGGAGAGTCCGTGTTGGCTTCATGGTGGAGGAGTTGAGCTGAATCTTGCGTATTCTGAGTGGGTGTTGAGAGGGGAGAGTAGATTCCCTTGTGGGTGTGGATGGCCCTTCTCCTGGGACCGAGAGAGAGAGATCCCACTGTGCGAGTGATAGATCTCATTTGGTTCTGCCAAGAATCGAAAGAGGCATCACTTTTCATGTGCTTTTTCTGCTCTTGGAATGACTACTGTTTGCACAAACTAATGCTTTTGACAGCACATTCACTTATCACCTCCTCCCAGAAGCCCTCTCTGATGCCCTGAAATGAATGAACGCTTGTCCACTTTTTTACTTTTCTCTTTCTTTTCGTTTAAATGCTCAGCACTTAGATGCTACAATTGCCAATGTCATCCATCAGTCAATCCCTAATTACTTTTTTCGGCCTTTTTTTGGTGACTTTATACATATGTGTGTGTGTAAATGTGTGTGTGTGTCTGTGTGTGCAAATAACATTTGCCCTATTCACGAATTATTTTAATGTTTATACATTTATTTATTTATAGTATGGAAAAATAAAGCAACGTATTTTATTTTATTTTGTTTATTTATTTGTTTTCAACTTTTAGATTCTGTGGGTACATGTATAGGTTTGTTACAAAGGTATATTGTGGCTGAGGTTTAAAGTACGATTGAACACATCATCCAGGAAGTAAGCATAGTACCCAACAGGTAGTTTTTCAATAGTTGCTCCCTCCTTTCTCTCCCTACTCTTGTATTCCCCCGTATCTCTTGCTCCCATCTTTATGTCCTTGTGTACCCAATGTTTAGCTTCCACTTATAAGTGAGAATATGTTGTGTTTGGTTTTCTGTTTCTGCATTAATTCGGTTAAGATGATGGCCTCTAGCTGCATCTATGTTGTTGCAAAGAACATAATTTTGGTCTTTTTCATGGCTGCATAGTATTCCACTGTATCTATATAATATATATCATATTTTTTTATCCAATCCACTGTTGATGGGCATATCAAAAAGTTAACTTATCACAAGTAAATTAGGCCTTATTGCTTGGATGCAAGCATAGTTCAACATACAGAAATCGACAAATGTGATTCACCATATAAAGAGAATTAAGAACAAAAATCATATGATTATTTCAATAGATGCAGAAAAGATTATGATAAAATCCTATTAACTATTTGTAAGTGTAAAATTTAGTGACATTTATTACAATCACCATTGTACCTATCACTATTTTTTTTAACTTTTATTCAGTTCAGGGGTACAGGTGTAGGTTTGTTACATAGATAAACTTGTGTCGTGGGGGCTTGTAATACAGATTATTTCATTACTCAGGTATTAAGCCTAGTACCCATTAGTTATTTTCCTTGATTATCTCTCTCCTCCCATTCTCTGACTATCACCCTTATCTAGCTTTGAAATCTTTTAATCGCTCCAAATGAAACTCCACACCCGTTAAGGATAACTTTCCAGGCCAGGTGCTGTGGAATTATGCCTGTAATTCCAGCAGTTCAGGAGGCCGAGGGGGGCGGATCGCATGAGGTCAAGAGTTTGAGACCAGCCTGGCTAACATGGTGAAACCCCATCTCTACTAAAAATACAAAAAATTAGCTGGGTGTGGTGGCTCATGCCTATAGTCCCAGCTACTTGGGAGGAGAATCCTTGAACCTGGGAGATGGAGGTGAAAAAAGGATAACTTCCCATTCCTCTTATCCCAGGCTCTGGTAACTTTTTTTTTTTTTCTTTTCTGAGATGCAGTCTTGCTCTGTCACCCAGGCTGGAGTGCAATGACGCCTTCTCCGCTCACTGCAACCTCTGCCTCCTGGGTTCAAGTGATTCTCCCACCTCAGCCTCCCGAGTAGCTGGGACTACAAGTGCTCACCACCATGCCCGGCTAATTTTTGTATTTTTAATAGAGACAGGGTTTCACCATGTTGACCAGGCTGGTTTCAAACTCCTGGCTTCAAGTGATCCGCCCCCCTCAGCCTCCCAAATTGCTGAGATTATAGGGGTGAGCCACCGCGCCCGGCCCATGGTAACTTCTAATTTACTTTCTGTCTCTATGAATTTGCCTTTTCTAGATATTTCATTATGTGAACTTATACAACGTCTGTCCTTTTGTAACTGGCTTATCTTGTTTGGCATAATGTTTTCAAGGTTCGTACATGTTGAATCATAGTCTACTGTAGGGATATGTCACTTTTTGTTTATTCATTCATCTATTGGTGGCACCTGGGTTGTTTCTACCTTTTGGCTTTTGTTCCTAATGCTGCCATGAACATGGGTGTACACGTATCTCTCTGATCAACTTTTATGCATTGTCATTGCTTCTGTTACAGTGGTGACTATGCCATATCAAAACCTATTTGCTTGAATGCTAGATTTCCCTTCCGGAATGTGATCTTTTCGGCCAACAAATATTTGTCAAACAGCTATCATATACTTGGCATTATGGGTAGGGTGTTGTACAAGGCAGAACCCCTGTCCTTTGTGAACAAGCTTAGAATTGCTCTACCCACCTGATATGCTGACGTAGCTGTACATGATATGATCTGATGCCAGCTAGAATACAGTTAGAGCTGTAACCCCAAAAAATGTGCCATGAGAATTAGAATGGGGAGGCTAATCACAATTGTTTCTGAGATGCTCCAGTATTTTGCTGCTTGAGGAAGGTATGTTGCGGTTCTTAAAAGTGAGTCCCAAATATTAGTTTGTAATTGGAGATGTTGCCCTCTGTCTCTCTTGATTTGTCTGGGGCTCCCTCTGTCTCTCTGTCTTTCTGTTTCTCTCTCTGTCACACACACACACACACACACACACACACACACACACACACACACACACACACATCCTTCTTCTCTGAGTCCATAAATAACTTCCAGATAGGGAAGGTTATTGGACTTTGAAAAAGTTGTTTGATAATCTTCTCCTTGGTGTTCTTGGTGGCTTAGCTCAGCCCTGCATAAAAGCACTCACAGGGCTGGTATGTTCTCTTTAGAGTCTCTCAGCCGAGGCATTTATTTATAAGGAGACCACACTGGGGAGGCAGCTATGCAATTCTTCTATTTGAGAGCCAGCAATGATGTATTTAGCAATCGTCACCAATTGCTTATTTATTAAGAGACAATGTTCCAGAAAACTGGGTTGAGTCTATGCTTCCAAACTTGCTCACTGTGAGTCTTGGGCAATCTGCCTCTCTCAGCCTCGGGTTCCTCTTCTGTAAAATGGGAAATAACAAGGATGCCTACCTCGTTTCACAGGCTTAGCCCAGTGCCTTAATTAACACTGGATGTTATTACTGTGATTATCATTAGAGTGGTGCTTATCTATAAAATGGTGACATGCTAAATGCTAAGCACTAAACTCAAGTGGGGAAGAGATGCGTCTACAATGGACAGAGAGGTGGACTTAGGAATACCACCAGGGTTCCGACTGCAAAGATTCTGACTGCAAACATTCAGACTTGAGCAGGTGCCAGCTGGTCACCCAGAAGGTAGAAGGAGCATGCAGAAAAGTGCTTCAGGAGTCTAAAGTGGTGCCTGAATGCAGAGTAATAGTACCATTGTTTTAATTATTATTTTCTGTTGGGTGTGGTGGCCGGTGCCTGTAATTAGTCCCAGCACTTTGGGAGGCTGAGGCAGGAGGATCACTTGATCCCAGGAAGTCAAGGCTGCAGTGAGCCATGATGGTGCCACTGCACTCCAGACAGAGTGAGACCCTGTCTCAATAAACATTATTATTCTCCCCATCCCAACCTCATTGGGAGGATGGCAGGTGCAGCTCTCTAGAGCAGGTTAGAGGACTGTGCAATGCAGGGAAGCATTTCAGAGGCACTACTGAATCCCGCAAAGTGGATAACACTGGTGGACAAATAAAAAGTGATTGATGTCATTGACAACATGACTTTACAGACAGTGCTGTTGGAGCCTGAAGGGCTGTGATTATCTATGCCGTTTCCTGCAAGCCAATACCTAGTGCTGCTGCCCTGTAGGTGCATCGAGGAGCTGGAGCCATGTTTGTTACCATATCATGTTACAGACAGCAGCGTGGTCTGAGTCATTGGCTCCTGGAACGTGCACTTTGTTTGTACCTTCTCTCCCTGTAAGGATAGAGTGGATTTGCAAAGACCAGCATCCTTGCGTGACCCTATGCCTAGAGAAGCATGTCCCCCTCTTTCCTGCCTCCTTCTCGATTCTCCTGTTTCTCAAGCCATGTCCATAAACAGAGGAAGGGCTGAATGCTGTGCTGATTGCAGGAATATGGGGTGCCTCTGCCAGTCGGGGTCAAAGTGAGGCTAGCCCCAATCTGTCCTCTGCTAACCTCTCCTGCCTTATCACTAATGGAAGCTCCTTTTGCTCTCAGCACTCTGGTCTAACTGAATTGTTACCAGCAACTCCCCAAACTGCCATCCTATGTCATGTATCAATGCCTTTGAGCATTGATTGGTTGAGGCTGCCCTGAGCCCTTTCCCCAGGGCTGCTTCATGAATACCCGCTCTGCTTAAGGGATGCACGTTGTAGGGAGCTCTAATGGGTGAAACTGAACACCACTCTCCCCACTGGGTCCTTTCTGGGTCCTCACGAGGCTCTGTCTAGACAATGTGTTAGCATCCGTAATATATTATTGCTCTGATGTATTTAAACATCTGTCTTGTAATGCAAGCACTTTAAGAGGCCAACACACGAGGATTGTTTGATCCCAGGAGTTTGAAATCAGCCTGGGGAGCATGGCAAGACCCTGTCTCTACAAAAGCAAACAAACAAAAACTAGCCAGGTGTGGTGGTGCACAGCTGTAGTCCCAGCTACTTGTGGGGACTGAGGTGGGAGGATCGCTAGAGTGCAGAAGGTTGAGGCTGCAGTGAGCCGTGATTGTGCCACTACTCCAGCTTGGGGGCAGAGAAAGACTGTCTCAAACCAACCAACAAACAAACAAAAAGGTCTGTCTTCTTGTCCCCCTACTCCTCCCAAATTGAGCTACTGAGTTGCAGAGACCTTGTCTCATATGTTCTGTGTCCACTGTTCCTAGCTCTGTGCCTGTGTCCCCTATTCCTAGCTCTGTGTCTGTGTCCCCTATTCCTAGCCCTGTGTCTGTGTCCACTGTTCCTAGCTCTGTGTCTGTGTCCACTGTTCCTAGCTCTGTGCCTGTGTCCCCTATTCCTAGCTCTGTGTCTGTGTCCACTGTTCCTAGCTCTGTGCCTGTGTCCCCTATTCCTAGCCCTGTGTCTGTGTCCACTGTTCCTAGCTCTGTGCCTGTGTTTCCTATTCCTAGATCTGTGTCTGTGTCCACTGTTATTAGCTCTGTGCCTGTGTCCACTGTTTCTAGGTCAGTGCTTGGGACCCAGACATTTACCAAATGCTCACTTAGTAATGAGCAAATGAAAGAAATGATTGACGTGTGCTGTGCAGGATGCCAAGTCTTACATCTATTCATATCAACCCTCCTCTGCTCCATTACTATGTCCACTTTTGCTTGGTGAGGTGGAAGATGGGGTGATATCCTGAGAGAAGCATTAGACATTGAGAAGAAATGCTCCAAGGGATTGCATTGCTATTTTTCAGATTTGCCTGGGGCTGGCTTTGCTACAGGCTGGATAGATAGACTTGAGTTTTCTGTGCCAGGTGGAGGACTGGCTTTCCAGGGAGCGGGGCTCCACCTGCCGTGCTGGAGAGTCTTTCGAACACGTTTGTCTGCCTGATGGGTCTTTGCCTGTTGAAGTTCTGCCCATGTCCTCGGTGCAGTGCTGCCTGGCATTTGGAACCAACACTATAAACAACAGTTGGCCGTGAATCGGGGAAGCTGACTGGCTAACGATGAAATGCTCTCGAAAGGACGGTTTTGGTTGGGTTTGGGTCAATCAAGGGGAAGGTGGATAAGTCAAATTCTGTTTTGCCTGTGACTTGGCTCTGAGGTCAGGAGAGCCATCCTAGGCCAGTCTTTAGTCCAGATGAGAGGCAATCGTTGTTCTGGTTCCAAATCAGATTCAACTCGTGTTCTCTGATTGATGGTGAGATCGCTCCTGGGTGAGAGGCACAGTCACACGTTCTAGCTCATTGAACTCTTCCAGGAAACCTGTGAAACGCAGGGAGTTTCATTTCTATTTTACAGTTGAAGAAACTAAATTTGAGATGTGAAGTGATAGGACTGAGACCAGAATTGGATATTTTCACTCAAATTCTAGTACACTTTCTAGTGATATGCTTTGTGCACTATTTCTTTTTTTTTGTTTTTTCCAAATATCAGGTAGATTTTAGAGACTTCTAGGCTGAGCAGTTCTCTTGTTCCAACCATCAGCACTGTCTCTCTTGTGTATCTGAAATGGTCTGGGTCTCACTAGCCTATCAGTGAAGATGAAGGTGTATTCACAGGGGTGCAGAAACAATGCTACCTTCTCTCCCCAATCCATGAAACACCAACTCTGCAATTTGAACCTGCCCCTATTTCTAACAAGGTCTCTGTGCCTAAGAATGCACCCGTGTGTTTTCTGCTATCTCCCATTCCCAGTCTGCAGTCTGCTGTGCACAGGTCACCTATGAGAGGGGTCACTTCCAACCCTGTTGCTGGTGTCTTTCATGGCAGTCTGTTCTCATGGGGCTCTGCAGTTTTTCCTTGTGCTCTGCTGTTCTTGGAGCCCTCTCGAATCTGCGGGATGCTGAAGCCATACTGAGTTATTGTGGCATAGTAGGGGAGACATGGTCCCTCCTGGTGGTGCGCTGGAGCTGGTTTCTACTGAGGCAGGGCAGGTGAGCCCCCAAACTGGGGCTTATCCTGGGAGGGTCCTTGGCTTTGCCCAGGAAAGAATTCAAAGGCCAGCCGGTTGTGTTCGACTACAACTTTTATTGAAGCCGTGGTGCACAGCAGCAACAGAGATAACGCTCCTTGCAGAGCAGGGCTACCCCATAGGCAGTGTGCTTGGAGTAGTAGCTCAGAGGCAGTGCTGCACTCACACATTTATACCCCCTTTTAATTACATTCAAATGAAGGAGTGGATTATGCAGACATTTCTAGGGAAAGGGTGGTAACTTCTGGGTCATCAAGTCATTGCCATAGAAAGGGGCAGTAACTTCCAAGTGTTGCCATGGCAATGGAAAACTGACATGGCACATTGTGGGTACGTTTTATGGAAAGCTGCTTCCACCCCATCCCTGTTTTAGCTAGTCCTCAATATGGTCCAGTATCCAAGCCCTACCTCCTGAGTTGAGTCCTGCCTCCTACCTCACTACTGGCTTTTCAGAGTCAATTGTGTGCGTCTCATCCCATCTCTGAGGTTAATGACATCATGTGGATAGCTTGAAATTGACTATGATGGGAGTATTTACACCATGGAAAACAGGCAGCTGTTACCTATCAAGAACCCCTCTGCACCAGCCTGCTCCTGAAAATTTACACACCACTGCCTCCTCTCTGTCGCATTTTCTGCCCTAGGCCTGGGGTGTCTGGTGTCTCATGTAGCCTTCCATCAACCCCACTCCTTCAGCTGTGGGGCTCGGTTCAGTGCCTCTGGTTCTCTGCAGAGATGAGCAACATGTCAGCACTTCTATCTTTCTTCTCTTTCTTTCTCAGGCTCCATCCAGAAAAACAACTTGTACCACTAAGCTCCTTTATCCTCCTAATGTTAAAATATTCCCTGCCCCAAATAAAGCAAACAAAAACACAACACAATGAAGCAATGGTGCTGGTGTGTATTAACCTATTTGAATAGATACATGGGACAGGGGAGTTACTTTTATAAATCCTACCTCAGGACTAGCATTTTTTTTTTTTTTTTGTTTTTTTGTTTTTTTTTTTTTGAGATGTAGTCTTACTCTGTTGCCAGGCTGGAGTAGAGTGGCCCAATCTCAGCTCACTGCAACCTCTACCTCCTAGGTTCAAGCGATTCTCCTGCCTCAGCCTCCCGAGTACCTGGGATTATAGGTGCGTGCTGCCACGCCCAGCTAGTTTTTGTATTTTTGGTAGAGATGGGGTTTCACCATGTTGGCCAGGATGGTCTCGATCTCTTGACCTTGTGATCCACCAACCTTGGCCTCCCAAAATGCTGGGGTTACAGGTGTGAGCCACCGCACCCGGCCATGGGGGACTAGTCTTGACACCTAGTTAGATGTGTACATTTTTAACTTTGATTTCTCAAAAAATGCTCCAAAACCAAGGCACTTTGAGTGGAAGAGAAGGCACTGGGCCTCTAATCTTGAAGCTTGGGCTTCAGTTCTGACTCCTTCAGTGACCCACTCTGTGCCCATGAGTGTGTTAGTAAAGGGTGAACCAACTTACACATTGTGTGCCCCTGGGTTTATTAGTCAAGCCTGGGACAACTAACTCGCTGTGTGCTCTTGGGTTTGCTAGTCAAGTCCGGGGCAACTGGCCCACTGTGTGTCCTTGGATGTATTATTTAACAGCAGGCCAATTCATCTCCTGTGTGCTCTTAGGCTCTTAGGTGTATTAGTCAAGGGTAAACCAATTAATCCTCTGTGTGCCCTTGGGTTTACTAGTCAAGGGTGGGCCAACAGACCTACTGTGTGCCCTTGAGTATATTATTCAAGGGTGGGCCAATTGATCCACTGTGCCTTCTTGAGTGTATTAGTCAAGAGTGGATCAACTGACCCACTGTGTGCCCTTGGATGTATTAGTCAAGGGTGGGCCAATTGGCCTGCTGTGTGCCCTTAGATGTATTAGTCAAGAGTGGGTTAACTGTCCCACTGTATGTCCTTGGGTATATTAGACCCAGTGTGTGTCCTTGGGGACATTAGACCCACTGTGTGTTCTTGGGTATATTAGACCCACTGTGTGTTCTTGGGTATATTAGACCCACTGTGTATTCTTGGGTGTATTAGTCAAGAGCAGGCCAACTGACCCACTGTGTGCCCTTAGATATGTTAGTCAAGAGTGGGTCAACTGTCCCACTGTGTGTCCTTGAGTATATTAGACCCACTGTGTGTTACTGGGTGTCAAAAGTGGGCCAACTGACACACTGTGTGCCCTTGGATGTATTGCTCAAGGGCTAGCTTACTAACCCACAGCATGATCTTGGGTGTGTTAGAGTGGTTTAATTGCTAAAGCAACCCTCAACTTCAGTGGCGAACCTCAACATGTTTATTTCTCACTCATATGGCTGTCCATGCAGTTGGATGGGGAAATTGAGTGAGGACTGGGTGTGGAAAGGTTTGATGAACTAGCCTGGATATGACAGTCATTACTTTCTTTAATACTCCATTAACCAGAATTTGGTCACATGGCCAAACTGCAAGGCAGAAGTGTAAGGAAGGAAGAAGAGATTGGTGAGTAGCCACATCTCTGCTGTGCTGGGAAAGTCCTTTTCCTTCTAGATGCTTGATTCTATGGCTGAAACACAGAGGCTTTGATCTATGAGATCTGCAAGGCTTCTTCTTGCTCTCACAGTCCACGAGTTTCTTCTTTTATTATTGACAAACTAAATGAGCAGAGTTTTCAAAGCAGATTGGGTTTGCTTCTCATTCCTGGCTTGGATCCCCAATGTCTTTCATTGTGGGGTAGAGCCAACCCTTCACCAACGAGTCTGTTCAAAATGCTAATCAAAGTATTAGTGCCTGATCATCATCTTTCTCCAAACAATGCCCAGACCCACATCGCACTCCTTCTATGTCTTCTGAGAGTCCAAATTTTGAACCCATTTCATCAAGGCCAAATGTCAATCATAAGAAGAAATCTATATGAAATTTTAATTGCAAGATGTTCAGTGTAAATTTAATGAGTGAAATAAGAGATCTGAGAATTCCCGCATTCTCGGTTCATGCATAATGTTGACTTAAATTGGCTCTCTGGAGGTGGAGGGAATTGCATTTTTAGAATTTACACACCGAGAGAGCAAATGGAGTGGACCCTGAAGGTTAAGGTCCTAAATCAGAATCATTTAACTGGCTTTGAGTGATTGCTGTAGGCTGTAATGGCAAGGAGAGCTGGCTGCAGCCACAAGTGATTACTCTGCCTCAGATTATTGAAATGCTACTCAATATTCATAAATCAGTGGTCACTCATACCCCAAATAGTACCTGTCGGCTTTCTGAATAAATTTCCAACCTGCTAATGGAGATTGAAAGAGGCTGATGGGCGCTGGCTCAGAATTGAAACAGATGAGAGCGTTACTCGGACAGACCTGGAAACATCATGTCTTTTTGGAACATGAAGTCACTTTGGGGTAAAGATGTCCCAGCAGACATCTTTTCGCTCTTTGCAAAAGGGGGATTATTCAGGCAGTTTCTCCCAACCCTTGTCATTTCTGTAGAGAATAGCTTTGATGTTTATGTCTCAATCTCTGAAATTTTGCTTGGGACCAAATCAAATGAGTTAAAAGCTTCAATTCAATTGCTTGCACATCCCTGTTTACCCACAGTAATTGGAAAATAAATGCACGGTGCAGCGAAAGGCCATGACATTTATTGGATAGCATGAGAGCAAGCCGGGGAAGGAAATTGTAATTGGAGCGTCAGTCACCGGGGTAACAAATTTGGGAAGAAATAGAGAAATGAAAATGAGCGTGAACTCGTAGAGACATCAAACTGAAAAGCGATTTCATGACCACAGACACTTCAAGTCCATGTTCATTTTCCCTTTGCCTTGTTTCTGGGTTGGATTCATAAATTGTATATAATGGTGACCAGACGTCTGGGTGAGGACATCACATTGACTTGAGTAATAGGCACCACTCTGTAACTATTGCATTTGAAATCTGGCAGAAAATGATATTTGTGTGTGGATGTGAGGGAGACAAGCTGTATAGATTCGTCTCCTGCCTGGTTTCACCTTGAAAAAAGGAAACCAGATAAGGGAGGCTGAAAATAAATCCTGTTTTCAAGTGTAATCGCTCAAAATAATAGCATGGACTCTTTTGATCCCAGCTTTATTAGTCAAAGAGCGTAGAAACAAACATTGTAACTGCAAAACCACCCCCCTCTTCTTGGAAATTTAGGGACATAGAAGAAAGGGGACTCTGTCCAGGATGACAGAGCTAGAATTGAAATCCAGGCCAGCTGCCATGAAAAAGAGCAACAGTTCAAACCACATTCCCCAGGGAAACACTCTGTGCACAAAAGCAATTTGGTGACAGGTATGAAGAGTGTTAAAAACGTCCATTCTCTACCTCCTTTGGGGTTGATTCTATTTATCCTCAGTACAAATTCTCACTTCTACTACCTGATGCCAAAGAATTACGTTGACCTATAAAGAGGTTCATGGAAGCCTTATTTTTGCTACATTTGAAGCAGGTGACAAGTCCAATATGGAAGAATATTTAAGGAAGGCATGGATCGCCTGCTCACAGGTAGCAAGGAACCCTTTGAAAGGTTGCCTTGGAGAATCCATGACACTCCAGAGGAAATGTTTACGGTAAGTGAAAAAAGCAGACTGCAAATATGTACCTCCAGGGTGCTCACACCTACGTAAAAGACGCATGGCTGGATAGTATCAGGCAAATTTGGAAGAAGCCATGATTTCCTTCTTAGCACACTTCCCTCCTTGTTCCCTAACTGTGATCCTGCCTCATGGAAGCCTGATCACTAAACGTGTTTTCTCTTCTCCCCTGGTTCACACTGCTCTTACTGGCTAAAGTACTAACGAGACTTATTTTCTTCTCTTACAATCATGTACTTTTTGGTTATAGAAGTAATGCATACTCATTGTATGACTTTTTGGCAAATACAGAAAAGTATAAAAATATGATAAAAACCGGTCATAATGATGCCACTCAGAGATACCACAGTTTAGTTTATATTTGGGAGCATAACTTTTATGCCCAACCATCTTATAATGAAGGAACTGACCTACATGTGTTTCTGCTCTGTGAACTCTGAGTTAATAAGCCACCAACTCAAGATCACTGGCTCCATCCTAAATTGCTGTCTGACCTCTTGGCAAGTCGCTTACCCTCTCTATTCCTAAATTTCCTAATTTGTAAAATGCGAGAGTTGTTCTGTTTCTATCAAAAAAACTATCTCAGCCCTAAGAATGCTATAAATTCATAATAGTGTAGTTCTAATAGGAATCAGATTTATATCTAGCATGACATGCAGGCAGTATTGATAACTTTTCACGTGACCAGTGAGATCCCTCAACTACATAATATGCCCACCCCCTTAAAGATCTCTATCCGTTCTCTTCCATCCCTCCATAATCTAGCCACACAGGAACCACTTGTGTCTGTTCTGATGAACCACCTGCTGTGATGCCTCTGTGCTTCTCTCTAAGCTGTGTCCTTCTCCCAGAATAACCTTTCCCACCCTGTGCACATCAGGACACTGCCCAGATGTCTCCTCCTCTAGGGAGACTTCTCTATTCTCCCCGGTGCAGGATCAGCTGCTAACTCTCCTATGTTCCCGCAAGACTATGCAGAAGTTGTTTTACTCACTCTTATTGAGTACGGCTGCAATTTTTGTGAGCATATCTATCTCTAAACTCTGGGGACAACGTGGCTGACCATTGCGATTCCAGACCCAAGGTTGTCGCGGACCTAAGGGAAGAAAGGAGTGCTTCATTTATGCTGAGTCATCATTCCTTATTATTAATACAAGGCTTGGAATAAGTAAGACACAATGATTTGATGTTTTGAACAAAGCCAAGGTGACAATGGGTAAAGCCGAAGGAAGCGTTCATTGCCATCAGGCCATGGGCAGTGGGAGAAGGTTGTGGTTATTTTCTTGCAGCAGTGCAGGAAGCCTGTTGCACTCTGAAACGGGAGCTGAATGCCTTGGTGGAGATAAATGGGGAAGGCATGTGATACACCCGGCAGGCAGTAGCTCATCTCAAATTAGCTGAAGCCCCTGGGTTGGTTTTTTTTTTTTTTTTAGACAGGGTCTCACTCTATTGCTCAGGCTAGAGTGCAGTGATGCGATCACAGCTCACTGTAGCCTTGACCTCCTGGGCTCAAGTCTCAAGTGATCCTTCTGTCTCACCCTCTTGAGTAGCTGGAGCTACAGGTGCGTGCCACCACACCCGGCTAACTTTTTATATTTTTTGTAAAGAGAGGGTTTCTCAATGTTGCCCAGGCTGGGCTCGAACTCTTGAGCTCAAGCAATCTGCCCACCACAGCCTCCCAAAGTTCTGGGATTACAGGCGTGAGCCACTGCTCCTGACTCAAGCCCCTGGGTTTTAGCCAGGACAATGGGTCTCTGTGTAGTCGCAGTCTAAACTCTTCTGCTTTTGCACTAATTTGCAAAATACACGGCAAAATCTTCAGGCTGCATAGATGGGATTGATCTGACATTACCTTTCCTGTTTTCAGCCCTGTTTATAAAAACCATGTTGAATTAATGCTGTTGCTTTTAATGATGATAATTTTTGAGGAAAGTAGCATGTTATTAGACAGATTTTATTATAAGAAACACATTTCTGAGCCTCTGAAAGGCACTACCTTTCTGGGAAAGAAGCAGGAAGATGAAAGAGAATGAAGCCCCATTTCCTATGAGCCACATCCCTACGACACCTTGAAAGGCCCTTTGTTCACTCCAATGCTCTGGCCACATCATTCCACTTGCCTGGCCAGGCACTCCTCCTCTGACAACCTTAGGAACTCACAGATTCCTAGCAAGAGAGCAGCGTTGAGTCCTGAGCCCTCAACTGTGAGCTCCCAGAGCTAAGTTAGGCTAGATTGTGGAGGAATGGAAGAGAATAGATAGAGATCTTTTAGGGGCGGTCATATTGCATGGTTGAGAGACCTCATTGGTCACATAGGCTGTTATCAATTTCGCCTACATGTCAGACTAGCCATGAATCTGATTCGTATTAGAACCACACTATTACGAATTCATAGCATTTTCAGGGCTGAGAGAGTCTTTTGATATAATCAGAATAACCCATGCATTTTACAGATTAGGAAATTCAGGAACAGAGAGGGTAGCTGACTTGCCAAGAAGTCACACAGCAATTTAGGATGGAGCCAATTACAGACGCCATTTATAAGACAGGAGTCTTCACATTTCATTTCTCTGAATTTCCTCTTTTTTGAACTGTGCCCAATTGACTCTAGGCTATAAATTCTTATAACTGAGATAATTGGCCCATTTAACTGTGTGGGGGATGGTTCAAGGCAAAGCCAAGCTTCTCTCCCATTTTCCTTAGCAATTCTCCATTCAAAATTCCATAAATACTTACTGATCATTTACTATGTAAGCAGCATGCTAGTAGACATGGAAAGTTGAGCAGTGAATAAGAGGCTGTTGACGATGGGGCAGAGGAGGGGAAGAGGGGGTATTGAACCATTTACTGTACGATTAATTATTTGACTCCTAGGGGGCAAAGGGAGCCTCCTCCAAGAAGCTGAGTGCAGTGGTTTGAGGGCATAGACTGTTGGGCTCAGGCTTTTATTAGCTGTGCAACCCCTTGGAATATTCTATTGTCATCTGTAAAGGAGTTTGCAGCAATATCTATCTCGAGGGCCAAAAGAAGCATTGAATGGGGCAATCTTTACAAAGCATTCTGCAAGGGACATTAGGTTAGCAGGTACTCAATAAGTGTGTACAATTATTTAAAGTCTGAGGGAGGAGGGGAGTCAGTTCAGACCTTGAACAATGCCTCTGAATAGAACTGCTGGAGCTGCCTCTCCAGGAACTGTGAATGGTGGTCCAGACAGGCTCCAAGGCTTTGAGACTGAAACTACCTTTGCAAAAATTATGACAGTGAAAGAAATCTGATCTAACTGACTCCATCTTGCTTTTAACCTCACAGCTACCCTTGCTTATTCCTGGGTGTATGCCAAGGTAACTATGGGAGGAATTTAGTTTTCAGTTTCATTTTAAAACAAAGATGATAACAACCCTTTCCTGAAACAAACCCCTTCCTTGCTTGGGGACTGAAAATGCCTTTGTAAAACTAACAAATTAGCCACAAGATTAGAATTATGGCTCAGGAGTCATGGAACCAGAGGTCACAAGACCCATAATCTCCACAAATTGCTCTTATAGATAACAACACTACTGTAAAACCTAACATTGGTGTTTAAGGTATTTTTCAGACCCTTCATTCTGATAGATCAGCTGGCACCACCTGGACTGGTGGCACATACCAGGAAACTGGCTCAACTGGTCATGTGATCCCACCCGGGCAATGACTCAGTACAAGAAGACAGTTCCAACCTCCTATGATTTCATCCCTGACCCAACCAATCAGCATTCCCAATTTCCTAACACTCTGCCTGCCAAATTATCCTTAAAAAACTCCCTAGTCTCCAAATGTTTTGGGAAGCTGATTTGAGTAATAAACTCTTGTCTTCCCCTTGGCTAGCTCTGCATTTATTAAACCTTTTCTCCACTGCAACACTGCTGTCTCAGTGAATTGGCTGTACCTGTGCAGTGGGCGAGAAGAAAATGGTTATTACAAGACCATCACCCACCTTGGGATACAGTGCTCTTGGGCTGGCTTTTTTTCAACTTTTGCAGCCTCTCTCATCCCCACCTCTACATTTAAGGCATGTGAGTGTCCCTGAGATCACCCCCTGCAGAGAGTGGGGTAATTGCTACATGGGGAGACTGCCACCTGACTCTCTGGCTGAGAGCTTCTCCAAGTGCTTCAAGAACAGAGCAGAAAAGTGTGGGGAAACAGTGTCCCCCAGATTTTCAGGAGGATGGAAATGCAGTGAGACACAAAGGGTACAGTTGGTGCAAGCTGCCTGTCCATTAGCTGCAGGACAAAGTACATGCTCCCTACGGGCCAAGTGGACTTGGAGATGATAGCTGGGCTGGCACTATCTTGAAAGGATTTGAGGTAAGACAACCACCTGCTTGGGCAAAGAGATCCCAGGGAAAAGAGCACAAAAGCCCCACCAGAGCACGGGCAGAGGGGCAGAAACAAGAGGCTGGCAGGGAAGTGGGTGGCCTCCATCAGCGAAGGGAGAAACCTTGGAGAGCTCCATTGGAAGTCTCTGAAGGAACTCACAAAAGTAGCTGCCAGAAGGGGATCCACCAAGTGGACCCCAGTCATGACAGAAGGCACAGCCAGGAGTTTTATTGAGGTGCTCAATTAACCTTTGTGTCTTTCCTTCTCATTCATCTTTCCAGCCCAATAGTAGCAGCCTGTGAATGGAATGGGCCTCTCACTTTTCTCCAACATCTCTCTTCCCCGCACTGTTCCCTGCACCCTGTTGTTTAGTTCTCCTCCAGGGCAGAGGGCAACACTGCCTTCAGACCCAGGTGAGCCAGCTCCCCGTCCTGAGCCCTGTGTCTCAGAGGACCTCAAGCTTCAGCGAGCCTCAAAATTTCCTAAGTCTTTCCAGTACCAGGGTCTGTCTGGAGCTAGCTGTGCCCTTTGAGCAAGGTGCCTCGAGCCCAGACCTGGTTCCAGTGATTCCAGCCGTGGAAAGAGTCTTACTGGACATTTTCTAAGCCTCTTTTCTGTGGTTGGGCCTGGCCAAGGCCAGCAGTGCCATCCAGGTGGGACATCAAAGTTCAGACTGGGTCTTACATGGATTCCAGACCCTGTTTCTTCTCCTTAGGATGCTTTTGACCCTCTATTTCACACATGGGGTTGACCAGATGCCTGGAGTAGCTCAAAGAATTGTACCTATGTTGTGACTCTGAGGTCCTGTGGCCAGGCCCGGGGGGCAGCCTGGCACACAGATCACTCTTGCTAGTTGGTCCAGAGTTTCCTTCATGAGGTTTGGGCTGTCAGGTTGGTGTTGCCATGATGATTTGGGGTGACGCTTCCTCCTATCTGACACAAGATGAGTTGAGTTCAGGGATCTGGGCAACCAATGGTCCACCATCACCCCTGGGCTGAGCCATGCATTGGTGCTTACCGGTCTTGGCTCTGACCATGGTTCCACTTCCAGTCTTCAGCACCCAAAGGCTGTGGGGTGGCATTAGGTGCCCTTTACAACAGGCATGTTCTTATTTCTGAACCTGGGAACCTACACCAGGTGTCAGGGGGTCTTCTGGGGGATGTGTCCCCTGATCTAAAGGGCCTGAGACCGGGTCACCATTGCAGTGGTCCATGGGAACCTGGGATGGCAGCCCTCTCCTTCCTGCACTGTGCCGACCCTGGAAGGATGAGAAGCAAAGCCAGAAAAGAGAGAAGGAGGTGGAATAGGAGATAAGAAGAAAATGCCCCTCACTGCCACCTAAATACACTCCACTCACTCCAGAAAACTACCTGGGTGGGCAGAGAGGAGGGATTCTAAGTGGGTAACATTGCAGAGTGTTGTGATCACCCCAGACCTGACTGCAATTATGTGACTGGCCATTAGACAAGATACTTTAATTCCTTATTTTTTATTTTTATTTTTTTGAGATGGAGTCTTGCTTTGTTGCCTAGGCTGGAGTGCAGTGGTGTGATCTTGGCTCACTGTAACCTCCACCTCCAGGGTTCAAACGATTCTCTTGCCTCAGCCCCCGAGTAGCTGGGATTACAGGTGCCCGCCACCACGCCTGGTTAATTTTTGTATTTTTAGTAAAGGATTTCACCATATTGGCTAGGCTGGTCTCGAACTCCCGACCTTAGGTGATCCACCTGCCTTTGCCTCCCAAAGTGCTGAGATTACAGGCATGAGCCACCGTGCCCCATCCAAGACATTTTAATTCCTAAGACAAGACTTCCAGCTACCAGAAGTGACAGAAGTAAGGCCATGGAGGGGACTGCAGTGACATCCAGGTTGGTAAGGACCCAGATGGTAGCCACAAGCCACATGGGGCTATTTAAATTTAAATTAGTGGAAGTCAAATACAATGAAAGACTCAGGTGCTGTGTCTCATTAGCCGCATGTCAAGTGCTTGAAAGTTATACATGGCTAGTGGCTACCCTGCTGGCCAGTGTAGACATAGAACGTTTCCACCCTGCAGAAAATTCTCTTGGACAGGGAGGTTCCAGAGAGTGGCTGAAAGGAATCACGAGAGAATTCGTGAAGCTGGTTTCTGCTACCCCTTGGCTGAGTCTAGATTGGTTAGTGTTAATTGAACTTAACAGTTACTTAAGATTAAGGGAGGCATTATTTATATTTTTTAAGATGAGAGAGATGGGAGCGTGTTAATATGCTGAAGGAAAAAGAACCTGCAGAAAGGGAGAGAGGAATGGTATTGGGGAGGGAGGGGTGATTGTAAGAGCAAGGACGGTGAGTTTATTTTGAGCCCAGAGGTAAAGTAAAGGTGTCAGATGATTCTGCAAATCATCATGAATTCCTGAAACAAGAAAGGAACCCACAACCCAGACTGGCTTGCAATTCTCTTCCAAAGGGAAGTGGAATTGCCGGTGTGAACCTCCTTAATACTTAAATGCTTTGCAGATGAAACAGAAAATAACCAGGAATTGCATTCTCAACACCGCCACTGCATTTACAGAGCCTCGGGCAGGATATCTGACCCATTATTGTCAGAATATACAGAGTCCACATCCCAAACCATTAATTTGAGATTCTGCGTTCAATCATTATTTATTCATTGTCAAATTTATATGACATACAAAAACCTCTTATTTTAACACCTGATATTTGTCTCAGATACATATAGAGAAAGGCTTTGCATCAGATGCCAGTTTGACTCTCTTGAATTCTCAACCACAGAAGCTCAGGGACTCTTTGCGTGTGCAAGTGTGTGTGGGCATCTGTGGGAGTTCACAGAGTAAGGGCATGACACAGTTCAGTATTTTCATCTCCTGAGCAGATTTTCTGGGGAGTGATGGGTAAAAGGGCACAGTGGCTTATGCCTGTAATCCCAGCACTTTGGGAGGCCGAGGCGGGTGAATCATGAGGTCAGGAGTTCGAGACCAGCCTGGCCATCATGGTGAAACCCTGTCTCTACTAAAAATACAAAAAATTAGGTGGGTATAGTGGCGGGCGCCTGTAATCCCAGCTACTCGGGAGGCTGAGGCAGGAGAATCACTTGAATTTGGGAGGTGGAGGTTGCGGTGAGCCAAGATCATGCCACTGTACTCCAGCCCGGGCTACAGAGTGAGACTCTGTCTTAAAACAAAACAAAACAAAACAAAACAAAACAAACAAACAAACAAAAAAACCCACCATGTCCACCTTTCTACGCAGTGCTGAAAATCTGTTTTGGACCTTCCAATCAGGATATCAGAAGAAAATGTCCCTTGTGGCATATGAAGGCATAGCACAGAGCGGTAGCCAGCCAGCCAGCAAGGGGAGGGTTTTACACCAAGAGAAAAGCCACTCCTGCAGAAAAAGTGATGAGTAGAGGGCATTTCTCAGACTGCTTTGGGCAGAAGCAGTTTTCTTAGCAATCCTTTAGCTAAGAAGTCTGTACTTGGCATTTATTTTGAGCCCAGAGGTCAGAAAAGAGGTGAGATGATTCTGCAAAACATCACAAATTCCTGACAAAAGAAAGGAGCCCACAGCTTGGGCCTGCTTGGAATAAGGACAGTGTGAGACAGCTTGTAAAGAAGTCACGGAAGAAGATAACGCAAGGGAAAGAGGCAGAGAGAAGAGAATACTCTCCTGTCTCCAGTTAGCTGGGACTTTCTTTCTTTTTTTTTGTTTTTTGAGATGGAGTCTCGCTCTGTCGCCCAGGCTGGAGTGCAGAGGTGCGATCTCAGCTCACTGCAAGCTCCGCCTCTGGGGTTCATGCCATTCTCCCGCCTCAGCCTTCCCGAGTAGCTGGGACCACAGGTGCCCGCCACTACGCCCGGCTACTTTTTTGTATTTTTAGTAGAGACGGGGTTTCACCGTGTTGGCCAGGATGGTCTCGATCTCCTGACCTCGTGATCCGCCTGCCTCGGCCTCCCAGAGTGCTGGGATTACAGGCGTGAGCCACCGGAGAGTTTTCATGTCTTCTCAACTGAGAGAGAATTGGAAGATAATGTCAGAATCTCACTCCATGCAGCATGCAGCCTGTTTTTTCTTAATATCTGGTTGGATTTGCAACTAGATTTTCCTAAGATGAGACTTCCTGTTATAGGAAGTCGCTTAAAAGGCTTTGGAGTGTGTGAGGCCAAGACCGGCAGATCACGAGGTCAGGAGTTTGACAAAAATTAGCCAGGTGTGGTGGTGTGCGCCTGTACTCCCAGCTACTCAGGAGGCTGAGGCAGGAGAATCACTTGAACCCGGGAGGCAGAGGCTACACTGAACCAAGATCGTGCCACTGCACTCCAGCCTGGGCAACAGAGCGAGACTCCATCTGAAAAAAAAAAAAAAAGGCTTTGTAGTGGACTGCAATACTATCTAAGGTTGGCAAGGAAACGTAGGGTGCCCACAAACCACATGGGGCTCCTTAAATTTAAATAACCCTCCAACTCTTCTACTCAGTCAGGCACTTGGAAGTCGCAAAGGGGAAGGGAGAGGGGAAGATTGGCTTGGAGACCTGTACACATGTCTTTAACTTAATGTTAAGTGTGTTTCGGCCTTGAACTTAGTATTAAGTGTAGCTCTCGTTCCACATGTGGTTCAGTCATTCACTGCTAACCTTATCTTTTTTTTTTTTTTTTTTTTTGAGACAGAGTCTTCTTTTGTCACCCAGGCTGGAGTGCAGTGGTGCGATCTCAGCTCACTGCAACTTCCGCCTCCCAGGTTCAAGCAATTCTCCTGCCTCAGCCTCCCGAGTAGCTGGGATTACAGGCACCCGCCAGTACGCCCAGCTAATTTTTTTGTATTTTTAGTAGAGATGGGGTTTCACCATGTTGACCAGGCTGGTCTCGAACTCCTGACCTCATGATTCACCCGCCTCGGCCTTCCAAAGTGTTGAGATTGCAGGCGTGAGCCACTGCGTCCGGCCCAACCTTACCTCTTTTAAACACCCACTCCCCTCTGTATCTGCCCCAGGATAGGAACCAGGTTCTGCAGTATCTGAGGACATGGGTTCTGGAGACCAGAGGGTTCTGCTGTTTGTTAATAACATAGCACAGAGCAAGCGTTTCCGCCTCTGTGCCTCAGTTTCTTCAGACAACAAGTGAGACTAATGGTCATATCTACTGCCAGGGTCATTGTGAAGATTTATAGAGGTCAGTTTCTGTAACTTGCCAGGCACAAGGCCAGCACTCCCCAAATAGCAGCTATTTGTATTATTTTTGTTACAGCCTCAGCCTATGGGCTTTAAGCCTCAGAATTAGAGTGGCTGGTCTCCCACGTTCTCATAAGCACCCACAGCCAGATGGACAGCTCTGAATAAGATGGGTCATTATACTGTGAGGAAGAAAATCAGAGCTCCCACGGGGAGACACGAGCTCTCTGTATGGAACTGTCAAACCATTTTGGCAGCTGTCTTGCAAACAAAGGCAAAAGTGGGATCCTGTGGTTGATGGGTATGCAATGATCAATTTCTGTCTTTGGGAACTGCAAGGAGGGAGACACCATGGTGTGATAAGACCCAAGCTGTCATCCCTGCCCAACGTTGACAGTCATCTAACTTTGCGGGGCCGGCTTTTGGGTTGATGGACCATGTTGCCTACCTGAGTGCTTTCTGCTCTGTGATTCTGTTACTCCAAGAAATGGAGCACGTAGCCGTCAAATCCTCTTCCATATGGGGATGAGCTGTATTTCTTTATGGGGGGAGGGGGAAGTGTGTGTCTGTTTCTCTTAAAGAGTAACAAATCCTGGGATATCGAAACTGTGAGTCTCCTTGGAAACAATGAGAAAATGAAACTTTGGATTTTTCATTTTCCACCACTTTGAGATAATACGTCAATGTGTGTAACCTTTTCTAGATTTTAGCACTCTGAGCACTTACGGATTGCAAAAAGCAAAGATCTATGCCTGGAAGTCTTGTATCTATAATATAAAAAATGTGCTGGCATATCCACTCACAGCAGGAACATATTACTGCTTTTATGAGTGACTTTCATTGAAAAGATGGACTGGGATTTGGACTTTCTTACAGTCTCTAACACAATTTAATAAGGACTAAGTGCAGGTAGAGGATTGAAGGATGGTTTCAGGTTCAGATGCACACTTTTCTGGGCATGACAAAGGCATGCTGTCTGACTGCTTTGGTGCCTCTGGCAGTGAACTCCACTCTAGGAGTCTTAGAAACACTAAAAGGCTGCAGTGCCTTGGGGAATTTGTTCAGTTTCTGACACGTAGTTCTGGCGTCTCCCACCATCTCCCTTCTGCCTCTTCCTTGCTTCTTTCCGCTGGGTAGGGTGTGTCTGGTACTTTGGCTGGGTGTTCTACCTGGTTCATCATTTTGGCTTTATCCTGGATCTGCCCTTCCCCTCCCTTGACTCCACAGTCTTCCAGTTTTACCTTCCCCAACCCTCACTCTGGCTCCTAAACCTCCTCCAGAGTCCACTTACCCATGAGGGCTTGGAGCATCCATTCATCTGCCTCTGGTTTTCCTCCTGTCTGAGGTCCTCTTTCTTCAGTACCCTAGGGAGTGGGATAGATAGCCTGGGGTAGGACGCTGGGGTCCAAAGGAACAGGGGCCACTGCTCAAGAGAGTGGCTTGTGGCCAGCTCTGGGCTTGAAGCTGAAGTTCCGGGTGGACCACTTGTGGATGGAGCACAGTGAGAGGTAGATATATCAAGCTGAACAGCACACACAGCCCTTGAACAGGCTGGTCCCTGCAGAGCAGAGCCCTTGTTGGTGAATTAGCATTCAGGGGATACACTCCAGGATTATAAGGAAATGAGCTGCCAAGAGTTAGGCTACAGATTCTCAAAAACCTAGGCATAGAATTACCACATGACCCAACAATTCCGCTCCTAAATACCTACCCCAAATAACTGAGGAACAGGGGTTCAAATAAAAACATGTACACAAATGTGTATAGCAGAGTTATTCACAATAGCCAAAAGGTGGAAACAACCCCAGTGTCCATCAACGGGTGAATGGAGACCTACAATGTGGCATATCCATACAATGGAATATTATTCAGTCGTTAAAAGGAATGAAGTACTGACACATTCCACAATGTGGATAAACCTTGAAACATTATGCTAAGTGAAAGAAGCTAGACACAAAAGTCCACCATTATATGATTCTATTTATGTGAAATGTCCAGAATAGGCAAGTCCACAGAGCCCGAAAATAGACTAGTGGTTTTCAGGGACTGGGGATGGGGGATATGGGGAGGGACTGCAGTGGGTACAGGATTTTCTTTTCGGATGGTGTAGATATCTGGGAACTAGATAGATATGATGTTTGTACACGTTTGTGAATGTGCTAAATGGCAAGGAATTATACACATTCAAATGAATATTGATTAATTTTATATTATGGGAATTTTACCTTAATTTAAAAAAAGGTAGGACAGTCTCTAGCCTGCACTGGGAGATGGGCAGATACATTGAGAAAGCAGTCATGTTACTGAAACCTAAAAGGAGGATTATATCAGGAATGGGTTTGGCTATACATGTAATATTAATATAAATTATATTAACGATAGCTTAAGTAAATGGGGGTTTATATTCTCCACTCAGAAGTCTGGGGTGGGTGACTCATAATGAACCCGACAATGATATTGGGGATCCAAGCTCTTACTCTTCTCTACTGTTCTTAGTATGTATACTTTTGTACTCATTCCTCTTCATCACAAAATAGTTGCTACCATTCCAGCCACCATATCTAGGTTCCAGGTAGGAAGAAGGGAAAGTTGTAAAGAACTGTAGGTGCATTTCCAGTTAGACCTTTTTATTTATTTATTTATTTTTTTGAGATGGAGTCTCACTCTGCTGCTCTGTTGCCCAGGCTGGAGTGCAGTGGCGCGATCTTGGCTCACCACAACCTCTGCCTCCTGGGTTCAAGTGTTTCTCCTGCCTCAGCCTCCTGAGTAGCTGGACTACAGGTGCATACCACCATGCCCAGCTAATTTTTGTATTTTTAGTAGAGACAGGGTTTCACTATGTTGACCAGGCTGGTCTTGAACTCCTGACCTCAAGTGATCCACTTGCCTAGGCCTTTGAAAGTGCTGGGATTACAGGTGTAAACCAGTGTGCCTGGCCTGAGTGGGACCTTTCAAATAAGGTCCTGGATCCTTATTTTCTGGATCCGCCACTCACTGACAACAACACTGGGTCAGAGAATCCCACATTGATGCATCAACGAAAAAGTGACTTGGGACAGAATTACAGGAGGTTGGTTCAGTCAACCAATGATGTCTGTATGAGAACCAAAGAAAAAAGTCTGGAAATTGCATTTTATACATGAGATGACCTGGAGATCCTCAGCTGCAGGACCTGGATCTTGCTATGGCAAGGTCTGCCGTGGTGACATTTGGCCTCAGGATAGATCAGCACTATTCAGAGATGCAGCCTTCAGGAAAGGGGCATTGTTTGTTCCTGGGGAAAGCCCTAGGGAATCTGATTTAATAGCAAACCCACAGGAGGGAAGGATGGTCAGCTTGGGTAATGTTTCCCTCATCAGAAGTCAACGCAGGACTGGTCTTGAGCCCAGGGATGGTGGTCCCAGCTGGGAGTTACTGGGGAGAGCAATGACCACTGAGATGAGGTTGGAAGCAATGGATACAGATGTGGGACCCAGAACTTGTCTCGACAACATGACAAGATCAAGCCAAGGATGGATATTGCTTGGCATGGGCTATTCCTGTAAAGAAAATACTGTCCATGTCAAAATAAAGTATACTTCTTTCTGCTGCCTGGAGAGACACCAAAATGTACAGATACACATGTGTCTGGTTTCATATACATGTCATTTTTCTGTGACCTTTTTGAAATCACATATTGTGATTTTTTTTTTTTTTTTGAGATGGAGTCTTGCTCTGTCGCCCAGGCTGGAGTGCAGTGGTGTGATCTCGGCTTACTGCAACCTCCCCATCCTGGGTTCAAGCTATTCTTCTGCCTTAAGCCCCCCAAGTAGCTGGGACTACAGGTATGCGCCATCACGCCTGGATAATTTTTGTATTTTTAGTAGCAAGGGGGTTTCGCCATGTTGGCCAGGCTGGTCTCGAACTCCTGACCTCAAGTGATCTGCCTGCCTCAGCCTCCCAAAGTGCTGGGATTACAGGCGTGAGCCACCACACCTGGCTTCACATATTCTGTCTTGTTCATTCGCATGTCTCCACTATCTAGCACAGTTCTCAGCACACAATACTAGTCCTCCATTAATTTCCATTAATGTTGCCAAGATGGAATTAATCTTTTGCAACTCCATAAAGATAGTCTCAGTTTGGTATCTGCAGTTCAGTCAATCTTCTGTTCATTTCACTTTCCTGGGCAGGACCAGCTCTGGTGAAAATTATGAAGTAATTTCATAATAAGAGTTGAAGTAATTTCAAAATAAGAGTTTTTCTTCATAACTCCATCGTGGTAACAACCTTCTCCCCAAATCCTCTGATAGGCTCTATTGGAAAAACGTAGGCTTTGCAGCTAGAAAGAAGTAGCTTCCAGTGACTGGATATGAAAACATACTGTAAACCTACAATGATTTGAGCCAGTGGCCCTGGCTTAGACCCAAGTAAATCAAAGGAAGAGTCTAAAACGCACAAATAGACCTAAGTATATGTAATAACCTAATGTATTAATAAAGTGAGATAAATGATTTTAGTCAATACATTACTGTTTGAAAATTAAATTTCAGAATGCATAAGAGTGCTAGGATAATACATGCATTGATTTTAATGTTCCAGTCAAAGACGGAAATTTAAAGGTTGATTGATACATTTGACAAACTAAACATTTAAAGTTGCAGTTTGGAACATTACCACGGTAAAACAGAAAAATGGCTTAATATGAGCTGGAACATCTATTTGCAGCATATATTACGGAAAAAGTGTGATGATCTTAATATATCGAGAAAGTGTACAAATCAATAAAATAGAAGATGATTGACCTAGTTAAAAAAATCAGCAAAAGACATAAATGGTAATTCCCAAAAGATGATATGCAAATTGCCAAGAAACATCAAAATAGCTCAGTATTACTAGGAAATAAATAAATTTAAACAACTAGATGTATATTTTTACTATAAAATTGACATTTTTGGGCTGGGCGTGGTGGCTCACTCCTGTAATCCCAGCACTTTGGGAGGCCGAGGTGGATGGATCACAAAGTCAGGGGTTCAAGACCCACCTGGCCAACATGGTGAAACGCTGTCTCTACTAAAAATACAAAAGCTAGCCGGGCGTGGTGGTGTGTACCTGTAGTCCCAGCTACTCAGGAGGCTGAGGCAGGAAAATAGCTTGAACCCAGGAGATGGAGGTTGCAGTGAGCCGAGATCACTCCATTGCCCTCCAGCCTGGGCAATAGAGTGAGACTCCGTCTCAAAGGAAAAAAAAATGATATTTTTTTGGAAAGGCAATGCCAGTGTTGGTAAGAGTTTGAGGAAATGGGAACTTGTACACACTGATTTAACCTGGCACAATTTTTTGACGTATGATTTTACAATATTCCTATCAAAAAATCTTAAAATGTTCTTATTCTTTCAGTTAGAAATTTCATTTGTAGCAATTTATTCTAAAGAGTAACTCTGGGTATAGGCAAGGGTTTATTTCCAAGGATATTCATTACACCATTGTTTATAACAGAAATCAGATACAATCTATCCAATAGAGGAATGGTTAAAAGTAATTTGGTACAAGAATGCAATGGAGTATAATGGGACAATGAAAAACAGTGAGGAAGATGGAGGGTCATGACCAGAGCATGTAAAATGAAAATGCAGATGATATAATAGCATGTACAATATGATTCTGTCCCAGTAGGTAATCAGACAGACGTGAGAAGGGCAGGAGAGCCCCCCGACCCCACCAGGAATGTCAGGCGACCATCAGGTGGTGGTCAGGTGGTTGTTAAACTCTCTAAAATAATAATCGGTTGCAGCCTGCACCAAGGAAAGGCAGTCTCCCAATAGACAGAAAAATCTGAAACTGGTGATCAGCTTCCCAGTAAGACCTCAGGAGTTGGGCAAGTGGGCTCAAGCATGCGCATTAAGAGGCAAAATGGTGGAGTTTCACTGGTATATGATCTTCCTCTAGGAACACTTGACTGGTAAGGGAAGAATGCCTCAAGTGAGCATGCGTACAATTTCAGGAAACACATTGTGGATGCGGCCCCTCCCAGATCCTGGAAGGCCACTGTGCACATGGACAGCCCACCCCATGGGAAGAATCAGAGGAGAAGGGACGAAACCCTCCGGAAGCAGAACAACCTAGAAAACCCCAAGTCCGAGGTCAAACTGCACTTGATCTCTCAAGTCCCCCGCTTTGTCCTCTTACAAGGGAAGTGTACTTCCTTTCATTCTTGCTCTAAAACTTTTTAACAGAGTTTCACTCCTTCTCTAAAACTTACCTGAGTCCCTCCCTGTCCCTTATGCCCCTTGGTTGAATTCTTTCTTCAGAAGAGGCAAGAATTCAGATTGCTGCAGACCTGTATGGATTCAGCACCGGTAACAATTCCATTTTTTTTTTTTTTTGAGACGGAGTCTTGCACTGTCACCTGGGCTGGAGTGCAATGGTGTGATCTTGGCTCACTGCAACCTCTGCCTCCTGGGTTCAAGTGATTCTCCTGCCTCAGCCTCCCGAGTAGCTGGGACTACAGGCGCCAGCCACCACGCCCGGCTAAATTTGTATTTTTTTTTTTTAAGTAGAGATGGGGTTTCACTATGTTAGCCAGGCTGGTCTCGAACTACTGACCTTGTGATCCACCCGCCGCAGCTCCCCAAAGTGCTGGGATTACAAGTGTAAGCCACTGCACCTGGCCTAACAATTCCATTTTAAATGTGTGTGTGCACACACACATATATACACAGAAGAAAGGTAGTTATCTTTGAGTATTGCAGGAAACTTTTAGTTCCTTCTCACACACACACACATATATTTTATATAACACAAAGTATTGTATGAAATCTAATATAATGTGTGATATAGACATGATACTGCCTAATACATACAGGGTTTCCTTTCCTATTATTATATTACTCATGGAAGCAGATTTCCCATTATATGACTCATGTAAGCAGATTTATAAAGTTATTTAATTGGACAACTCTCCAGACCTCACTATTACTAGCTGTATTTTTTGTTTTTGTTTTTGTTTTGTTTTGTTTCCCAAGAAGGAGTTTTGCTCTGTCATCCAGGCTGGAGTGCAGTGGCATGATCTCGGCTCACTGCAACCTCCGTCTCCTGGGTTCAAGCGATTCTCCTGCCTCAGCCTCCCAAGTAGCTGGGATTACAGGCATGCGCCACCATGCCCAGCTAATTTTGCATTTTTAGTAGAGATGGGGTTTCTACATGTTGGTCAGGGTGGTCTCGAACTCCTGACCTCAGGTGATCCGCGGGCCTCAGCCTCCCCAAGTGCTAGGATTACAGGCATGACCCACCGTGCCCAGCCCTAGTAGCTTTATTATCTTAGGCAAGTTACTTAAACTCTCTGAGCCTAAGTTTTTGCATCTGCAAAATTTGCATAATAATATCTACCTCTTAGAATTGTAGTGCAGATGAAATGGGATAATATGTATGAAAGCTTTCTGATCTGTATTAATCACTCAGTAAATGCAATGTCTTTTATTTTCTCTGGTACACTCTCCCTCCCTTATCACATGTGCACATAGGAGAGTTTCTAATATTAAGCAGTTATATTTTACAGTGAATTTAAATGAATGTCTTTTTTTTTTCCCAGATGGATTTTATTCTATGTCTGTGGGGTTTTCACTATAAAATGAAAGATTTGTTTCTATAACCTTCTATTTAAAGAATAATTGCAGTCTTTTTCCAATTTGTAGAAAAATTGAAGTCGATGGCTAGGAATTTTCTTCATTTTAATTTTCTCACCCTAAAACCACATCAGAAACTTGTTTTCCTGCTACCATAACGATCATAGCAGAAACTCCTATGAGCTAGAATCTGAGTTTGCGAAGTCATATTTGGTTGTTTGGATCCATCAGTGTTTCTGCAAAGCCTGTGTTGACTCTGCCAGTTCAAGGGGCTTGGGAAACACTTCGTTGGAAGGAGTGTTTTCACAGGTGGAGGTGTGAGGGCTCCTGGTTTGTCCCGAGGTTATAACAGAATGCAGTGAGTGCTAACCTGAGCTCGTTGATATTACGTGAGCGGACTGTCAGGCCACTTTGCACCAACCTGCCTGTACAATCTCTGAAAAGCTGTAGGTTAGGGTTCTGGAAATGGAAGTGTGGGCTGTGTTCAATGCAAGAGTGTGCTCTGGGCGGCAAACAATTCATGGAAAAATCAGCAGCCCCTCCTTTCCTCTGCACAACAATCCCTAGCAGAGATTACTTTAAGTCAACCATTCCCATTGATTATGCTTGCAAAAAAATATCCAGCCTCTTCCCAGAAAACAAGACATTCCTCCTCCAGACTCTTTTTAAATTGCCTGTCACCTGCTTTCTCCTGGGTTTGGTGAATAACCTCATCCTACTATTGGTCGGGCCTCTGTCTCGGGGGGCCCAGCTCAGCCCCGAACCTCGTTAGAATCCAGGTCTGTGTTCCTGGCACACAGCTGCTTCTTGCACTTGAAAACTGACGGGGAGAAAAATGGTCCCTGCACTTCCTATCAGCCTTAAACAGAAACATCTGCTCACCACGAGCCTTTTGCTGGCTTGGTTTGCAGGGAATGTGTTCTGGGCAGGTGATGGCGCTGCCTCTCCGCACGGTGACATCAGCCAGAGAGAACTGCTGCCGGGGACGGGAGGGCCCTGGGAATACAGAATAGTTCTGCCTGCCAGGAAAACGAAGCCTGAACTGCACATTTTATAAAGCTTTAAAAGCACAAATCCTGGCTTAAAAGGGGAAATATTGCCAGGTGGTGAAAAGTGCTTCTGAAGAAAAAGAAAATAATATAAAAGAGAGAGCTGATTGAATCCAGGAGTTCTGTCTGGCCCTTTTGTTCTTCCTTCCCTATCAGCCGAGCAATAAATGAAGATTTCTAGTCTGAGGGCATCCATTGAGACAAAAATGCTTTTCTTTCATCGGATTGTATCTGACATCTCACTGCATTTCTCTGTTTTAGGCACCGATTAAATATTCCAGCATGGGAAAGAGGCTTAGCCCAGAGTCTAGGTATAGATATCCCTTCTTCTTCATTATCTTCTTTTTTGTTGTTGTTTTTTGAGATGGAGTCTCGCTCTGCTGTGCAGGCTGGAATGCAGTGGCGCGATCTCGGCTCACTGCAATCTCCGCCCCGTGGGTTCAAGCAATTCTCCTGCCTCAGCCTCCCTAGTAGCTGGAATTACAGGTGTGCGCTACCACGCCCAGCTAATTTTTTTGTATTTTTAATAGAGATGGGATTTCACCATGTTGGCCAGGCTGGTTTAGAACTCCTGGCCTGGCCTTGAGTGGTCTGCCCGCCTCAGCCTTCCAAATTCTTCATTATCTTCTTAAAACTCTCAAAGAGAGCCAGAGCCAAAATTCTTCCTTTCTTTCTGCTTTCATATTAGGGCACAGAGGCACCAGGAAATCAAGAAGTTTGTGTAAAGTTTCCCCCCTTGGGGTTTTACGTGGCTTTGCTCATGCTGCATTTGTTTAAGTAACACAAAGCATGGGCCGTCACCATAAAGCAAATCTGTATGTGTCTCTCGCTGTCCCCTTAAGTCTGCTCCCATGGGTGGTGGGTGAAACCGCCTTTGCAAAATGATAACTGAGGAAATTATGACAGTGAAAGAGATCAGACCTAACCGACTCCATCTTGCTTCTAACCTTTAAGCTGTCCTTGTTCATGCCTGGGCATAGGCCGAACTAGCTTTGGGAAGGAATTCAGTTCATGGTTTGACTCTGAAACAAAATTGATAACAGCCCTTTCCTGAAAAGACCCCCTTCTTGCCCAGGGACGCGTCTGCCTTTGCAGGACTAACAAATTAGCTACAAGATTAGAAATAACAGTTTAGGGTTCATGCAGCCTCGGGCTCTATGAGTCTCAACCTCTCCTAATTGCTCCTGGGGATAACATCACTATTGTAAAACTTAAGATCAGTGCTTGAGATATTTTGTAGCCTCTGCACTGGATGGATCAGCTGACGCCACCCAGACGGGTAATCTGGCTCAACCAGTTCGGCAATCCCACCCAGAACAGAAGACAGCAAGAAAAAACTCACTTTGACCCCCTATAGATGGAATCATACACTCCCCACTTCCCAAGCCCACACCTGACAAATTATCTTTAAAAACTCTGATCCCTGAGTTTTTGGGGAGACTGATTTAATAATAAAACTCTGGTTTCCCGCACGGCTGGCTCTGTGTAAATTACTCTTTCTCCACTGCAATTCCCCTGTCTTGATAAATTGGCTGTGTCTGGGCATCGGGCAAGATGAACGGGCTCTGTCTGGGCAGTTACATGGGGATTGTTTTTTCATGGCCAGGGGCAAGCCTCTGGACTCCTCCGATCGCTTGTAGGGAAGGAAAACTCCTGTAGCCAATCTAAGTTATAAAACAGAGTCCCAGTCTCATGTGATAACCAACATTCTCAACCTAATTTAAAGCTGATTTTGCCTCATGCTTCCCTGTTGTGCTGGTGCAGATAGAAAATTCAGGCACGGGGCCGTTTTTTGTCCCCTCTCTTTTCTTGCTTCTCTTCCTCCTCCTCTGTGATCTTTCTACCTGGACCTTCTGACCCTGATGGGAAGCGGTTATGAAGAGCGAGAGGAGGTGAAGTGGAAGCAACCATCTGTGTGCCTGGAAATTGACAACCATCAGGTGACACTCTGCCTCGAATGTCCCCTTTTGGGGGCACTTCTGTGGATGCTTTGATTCTTTGGAGACCCTTCTTCCATTTCTGAGGCTTCCCACCTGCAGTTCCCTTGGTGCGAATGGTGCATTTTCCTTGAATCCATTTCTCACTCTATCTGGCCCCTAAACTTCTGATACAGGAGATAGAAAGAAATTATTTAGGCAGATAGTAAGGGCAACAGAGTCCTCGGTGCAATTTCCCTTTTAACAAAAAAGCCACCCCCAAATCATTTCTTTTCTAACAAAAGGCAGCCTGAAAAATCAAGCTGCAAACATAAATAAGCAAGCTGGAAGCTTGCACAGGAGAATGCTGGCAGCTGTGCCCATAGTAAAGGGCTACCTGGGGCCAGGTATGTTCGACATGGAGGCTTTATCTTCCCTTTTCTTTGTCACCACGTGTACAGTAAGGAACAGGCAACATGGTACCAGCCAGGCAAAGAGCTCATCTGCATAGTAAAAGATTAGGGTGGGGGCAGCCAGGTTTTTCCCGCCCTATGCAAATGGCACATCTGGTCCAAACAATCTTTGGTGCCCTATGTAAATCAGACACCACCTCAAGTTCATCTATAAACCCCCTTGGATTTCACTGTAGAAGTGGCAACCCATTTCCCCAGGACCCCTCCCTCTGCAGCAGAGAGAGCTCATCTCTTTCTTTTGCCTATTAAACTTCTGTTCTTAACCTCACTCCGGTGTGTCCGCATCCTAGTTTTCTGTGGCTGTGAGAAAACGAACCTTGGGTATTTACCCTAGACAACGATGCTGCTTCACTTCCAGAGGTGCCTCTAGCTTCTCTCTGCTGAAGTCCACTGCCTCTCCCTGCAGCCCTCCTGGATGAGGTCTAAAACCACACTTGGTCCATAGGAGACACACATGGATGCTTTGTCCTGACATGCTCTGGAACAGGAAGACTTCAAATGCAAGCACCTCTTCTGGGGTTTTGTCTGCTGGCAGCTAGCTAACCCATCTCTCACCTTCATGTTTCTTGGGTAGGAAATAGACCAAACCCTTTTGTCTTCTAATAGAGGGGATATATAGTAACCATATATTTGGGGGTTTCTGCTGAAGCCCCAAAGCCCCCTTCTCCAAGCTCAAGGAGAAGAGCAGGCACCTTGCAGTCCTCACCCTTGATAGGAAGTAAGATTTACAGTACATCAACAGCTAGTCCTAAAACCCTTTGCTATCTCCTTTCCTTGAAGTCCCTGATGCCAAACCTGGGTCAGGCAGAAGTGTCTCTTCTATTTGGAGGTGGGGGATTGGGGTGAGGTTGGGACTAAGTACAGCTTTCTTCAAAGAAGCTGTCTGCAAAAATCATCCCCAATCTCCAACTTTTTTTTTTTTTTTCTGAGACAGAGTTTTGCTCCGTTGCCCAGACTGGAGTGCAGTGGCACAATCCCGGCTCACTGAAACCTCTGCTTCCTAGGTTCAAGCGATTCTCCTGCCTCAGCCTCTGGAGTAGCTGGGATTGCAGGTGTGCACCACCATGCCTGGCTAATTTTTTGTATTTTTAGTAGAGACTGGGTTTCACCATGTTGGCCAGGCTGGTCTCGAACTCCTGACCCCGTGATCCGCCCACCTCAGCCTCCCAAAGTGCTGGGATTACAGGCCTGAGCCACCACGCCTGGCCTCTCCGATCTCCAACTCTTAACCCTTGGTATGGGTGGGAGGTTTAGGAGTTATTAAGCTATAATTCAGACAGCTCTTTGGTTATGTCATTTGTGCGTGTCTTAGATCTCTTTTGGAATGTGATGACTATTGTCTTTAGTGCCTTTGTTTCAGCCTCATGCGATGCTCTGACTATATTGACTGGCCTGTCTTCCTTCCCACTTGTTTCTAAGCTCTTGGAGGTGAGGTTCAGGTTTGATTAATTTCTATCTTCAACAAGCAGCCTGGGTCTAGCTCGTGGTAAGCACTTGGTGCGTTCTTGCTGAACCAATGAATAAATGCCACAAATCTCTTTCAGCGAATAATCAGTAATTTATTGAGCAAATAAATGATCAAATGCTGGGCCTTGCGCAGAGGGAGCAATGATCACATCTACCACAGGGCACAGTTTTAGAGCGCTTCCACAGTAGTTGGGATGAGTGGTTATTGGGTGTCAAAGTATTTGTCAATGTCCAATTCCAAGGCTGGGGCAGAGAAAGCATGGGATAAACCTAGATGATCTTGTGATGCCAAAAAGTAAATTACTTGGCTGGGGGGAAGAGGAAGGGCATGCCAGAAGGACATAGGAACCAGCCTGAAGGAGCCCTCAGTGGCCAAATCTGGGCCAAGCTGGGCAACAAAATAAAAATAAATAATGATAGTAATGCATTACAACGCATAGAATAAAAAATCAGTATCCGGAAGTCCACACTGGCATGCATGAGTAAATAATTACATAAATAAATTGAAGAGTGGGGAAAGCACTTCTTTACGGTAGAATTCTGATCATTAAATGTAGAAGGGATGATGGAAATAGGCAAACACCAGAGTAGTAAGTGCTTTAGGCAAAAATCAATGGATGCTGAAATGAGTGGGCAAAAGCGTGGCGAGAAAAGTGATACTCACATAATCTCAAAGTATATCCCCTTTGATACTTATTAGTTACAAAGAGAAAAATGGTAACTTTACAGTAGAGATCCCAGTAATCCCAATTTTATCAGGTGATCAAATTTAAAGATCACTATGGGTCGAGTATCCCTTATCAGAAGTGCTTGGGTCCAGAAGTGTTTTGGATTTTGGATGTTTCTGGATTTTGGAATATCTGCATGTACATAATAGGATATCTTGGGGATGAGACCCGAGTCTAAAGACAAAATTCATTGATGTTTTATTTACACCTAATACACATAGCCTGAAGGTAATTTTATACAATATTTCTAAACATTTTGTGCATGAAAAAAAAGTTTTGACTGTGTTTTAACTGTGACCCATCACATGAGTCAGGTGTGGAATTTTCCACCTGCACTCTAAAAGTTTTGGGTTTTGGAGCATCAAGCCTCACAGATTTTGGATTTTCAGATGAGAGAGTCTCACCCAATAGAGAGAAGACACAGTGACATCATGAGCCTGCTGGCCTGATGCACTGAGAAGGGGACAGCCTCACATCTGTGGTGCTTTTGCCTTCAAATACTGAATTTAGATATGAGGAGACCTCAGACTGATCCAAACTTGGGGACATTCTAGAAACTAACTGGCTAGTACTCTTCAAAAATGGCAAGATCATGAAAGAACAGACTGAGAACTATTCTAGACAGGGGGATGTTTAAAGAGACCCAACAAATGAAGGCAACATCATATCCTAGATAGGATCTTGGATCAGATAAAGGCTGTTCGTGGAACAATCGGAGAAGCGTGAGAAAGATGTGTAGGTTAATTTACAGTATCTCATCAACTTTGACTAATGTAGATGAGTGCATTGTGCCTGTGTAAAATGCATTAATATTTCGAGAAAGTTGCTAAGGGTTTATGATAATTACTTGTACTGTGGGTGCAACTTTTAAAAATAAATTTGAATTTATTTCAAAGGAGTTTGAGACCAGCATGGGAGTTGGTCAAGCCCCCTCTCTACAAAGAAAAAAAGATTATTAGCCAGGTGTGGTGGCTTAAGCCTGTAGTCCCAGCTACTAGGGAGGCTGAGGTGGGAGGATTGCTTGAGCCTGGGAGGTGGAGGCTGCAGTGAGCTGTGATGGTGCCACTGCACTCCAGCCTGGGCAACATAGCGAGACCCTGTTCCATCCCCCAAAGCATAAAAAAGTTAAAAAATAAATTAAAACTATGCCTTATTTTTAAGAAGTTAGTATCTCCCTCTTGAAGCTCATCCCTCTCTTGACTTTTTCAAGCATCTCAATCCAAAAGGGTTGGTTTCATCCCCCCTCCCACTGATTTGATCAGATCTTGCTATGGTTCCTCATGGCCACATGGTGTCGCTGTTGGCACTCTGTCCTGCCTCATCTTGCCGGCCTGGCAGATCCAGCTCCCTGCAGAGGCCCCCGGGAATAGCCATGGATGAGCCACGCCCCCAATCTCGAGCTTGGCGAAGGCGCTCTAGGCTTGAATCCTCCGAGGTCGTCGTTCTCAGGGCTCAGCCCTTTCAGTTCACATCCCGAGCCTCCTCTGATGGACCAGCTCACCCTGGAAATCGACTGGCTGGGCACTGGTGTGCTGCCTCTCCCAGCCCTTGAACCCTCCGTCTTCCCCGCTTGAATTGCACATCTTCAAGACGCTACAGACACCCTAGCTCCTCTGTCCTGCTCCCAGGGGAGACTGTAGGGATGCAGCCCTCTAAGAGACACTCCTTCAGGAATTCCAAGGTGTCCACACTTGCTTCTCTGGGAGGGAGGAGCAAGCTCAGTATGACTTTCTGTGCCCTCTCTCATTAGACATGAGCTCAAAAATTTGAGCACTTCATTTATTCACTTTCTACAAAAAATATTTATCAAGTGTCGGCTTTGGACTGGGCTCTCTGTTCTAGGGATTAATAAAAAGATCTTGGCTGTAAATCTAAAGGCAGACGTCATGAAACAAATCAAGAGTTAAGACTCTGTAAGGATGGGGTGCTGTGGGTACCTGACGGGAAAACCTTGCTCACCAGGTCTAACCGTGGAAGCTGGCACTTGAATTGAATCCTGGAAGAAGAAAAGTACCAGCTGATATACAAGAGGAAGAAGGACATTTTTCTCTGCGGGAGCAGCAAATATTCAGACCCCGAGTCTGAACGAAGACATCCTAATGTGTTCCTACAACTGTCTCCTTTAGTGCTCCTTTAATGCATTTGACCTTATTCTCATTCCTCTTTTTTTTTTTTTTTTTTTTTTGAGACAATGTCTTGCTCTGTTGCCCAGGCTAGAGTGCAGTGGTGCAGTCATAGCTCACTGCAGCCTAGACCTCCTCGGGCTTGAGCAATCCTCCCGCCTCAGCCTTCTGAGTAGCTGGGACCACAGATGTGCACCATCATGTCTGGCTAATTTTTTTTTTTTTTTTGAGATGGAGTCTCGCTCTGCCACCCAGGCTGGAGTGCAGTGATGTGACCTCAGCTCACTGCAACCTCTGCCTCCCGGGTTCAAGCGGTTCTCCTGTCTCAGCCTCCCGAGTAGCTGGGACCACAGGTGTGCACCACCACACCTGGCTAATTTTTGTATTTTCAGTGGAGGCAGGGTTTTGCCATGTTGGCCAGGTTGGTCTCAAACTCCTGACCTCAAGTGATCTGCCTGCCTCAGCCTCCCAAAGTGCTGGGATCACAGGCATCAGCCACAGTGCCTGCCTCTTGTCCAGCTTATTTTTATTTTTATTTTTTTGTAGAGATGGGGTCTTACTATGTTGCCCAGGCTGGCCTTGAACTTCTGGGCTCAAGTGATCCTCCTGCCTTGGCCTCCCAAAGTGCTGGGATTATAGGTATGAGCCACCACGCCTGGCTTCTGTTTTATTTTCTGTTTTGTTCTTCTGCCTCTCCACACTGGTCTATGAGCTCTGAGTGGGCGGGCACCTTGTCTTCAATGTTGACTTTATTCCCAGTGCCTAGGACCAGGTAGAGTCTCAGCTTTAAAAAAGTGACCAATTAATGAAACAGCTTAATGTATTAGTTAGTGGCAATGCAAGCTGTGGCTCCATCTGGCTGGGGTGATGTTTAGGGGAGCAGCAACTTCCAAGGCTATAGAGTCTGGCAAAAGGTGGGTCACATAGAACCTTGTGTGCTGAGCCTGGGAGGAGCTTTTGCTTCATCTTGAAGCCAGTGGGGAGCCTCGGAATCTATTGACCAGAAGAATAAGGTAATTGCATTTGTCTTGAAGGCTAGCTCTGCTGCAGCCTGGAAGCTACCTGAGAGGGGTTAAGGGGAGAGGCAGTGAGAACAGCAGGAGGCTTTTGCTGAGATTTGGGCAAATGACAAAAAGGTCCTGAGCCTAGAAGATCTTGTGATGCCAAAAAGTAAGAAACTATTTGAGAAAACAGAAGTATGGAGGCATGTCAGAAGGACACAGGAACCGGCTTGAAGGAGCTCCCAGTGACCAAATTTGGGACAAGTTGAGCAACAAAGTAAAATAATGGGCCGGACGTGGTGGCTCGTTTCTGTGATCCCAGCACTTTGAGAGACCGAGACAGGCAGATCGCTTGAGCCTAGGAGTTTGAGACCAGCCTGGGCAACATGGTGAGACCCCATCTCTACAAAAAAAAAAAAAAAAAAAAAGGAAAAAAAAGAAAAAATACAAAAATTAGCCTGGCGTGGTGGTGCACCAGCCTGTGGTCCCAGCTACTGAGAGGCCGAGGCGGACAGATTGCTTGAGCCCAGGAGTTTGAGACCAGCCTGGGCAACACGGTGAAATCCCATCTCCACAAAAAAAAAAAAACAACAAAAATTAACTGGATGTGGTGGCCCACACCTTTAGTTCCAGTTACAGCTGGCCACTTACTAATGCACTTAATTGGAGGAGCTATACTAATATTATCAACTATTAATTTACCCACAGCTTCAAGTACATTCATTATTCTAGTTTTATTAACCACCCTCGAATTTGCTGTAGCCCTTTTTCAGGCCTACATCTTTACACTACTAGTAAGCCTCTACTTCCATGACAACACATAATGACCCACCAAACTCATGCCTATCAGATGGGCCAAGCCTAGCCCCTGACCACTGATGGGAGCCCTTTCAGCACTACTAGTAGCATCCAGCCTAGCCATATGATTTCATTCTAACTCTGCTACCCTCCTGACTCCGCTACCCCTCCCTTCCCTTCCCTTCCCTACTAACCAATACATTAATAACATATCAATTGATGATGTGATATTATCTGAGAAGGCACATTCCAAGGCCACCATACATCAATCATCCAAAAAGTTCTTCCATATGGAATGATCTTATTCATTGTTTCAGAGGTGCTCTTCTTCACTGGTTTCTTCTGAGCGTTCTACCAGGAGGCTGAGGCAGGTGGATCGCTTGAGCCTGGGAGGTGCAGGCTGCAGTGAGCTGTGATTGCACCACTGCACTCCAGCCTGAACAACAGAGCGAGAACCTGTCTCAAAAACAATGATAGTCATGGATTATAACACATTGAATAAAAATCAATATCCAGGTGTCTACACTGGCATACATGAGTAAAGAATTAGATGCATACTTTGCAGAGAAGGGAGAGTGATTCTTTACAGATTCCTGTGACTACTAGGTGTAGAAGGGATGATCTTCCAGGCTCAGGACTTCTAGGCTGTGAGGGGGCTGAAGAGAAGGACAGGTACTATGGAGGTAGCTGGGAGAACAAGCATGGCCCCGACAAGATGGCGGCACCCACCCAGATGGCCCAGCCATTCTCGGAGGAGAGAAGAGTTTGAATCTGAACACTTTAAATGGGTGGTGCCTGGGTGTGCGACATCCCGGATAAAATTCCATGGACAGCATAGGACCTGTGGGTTTGAAGATGAAAAGGAAGATAGGAGATGGTCAAGGAGATTTGGGACTTACCAAGGTAAAGATGGAGGTAATGCCGTGGGTGTGAATGGCGGCATCCCAAGGGAGAATGCCCAGCGCGTTAACTCTGGATGGAGCCACAGCGTTATCAACAGAGAAGAGAAAGAAAAACCCAGCAAAGGAGACTGAGAGAAGTCATGGAAACCAAGAGGCCGTGAATTACAGAAATCAAAGAAGACGTTTCTACGAGTGAGTAGTCCACAAGGTCAAATGCAGCAGCCAGATCCAGCCAAACAAAGACTGGATCCTGTCCCTTGGGTTAGACTGTCTGGGCTTTGGTGGCTGCAGAAGCAGCACTGGTGGAGAGGTGTGGTCAGAGCGAGATCACGATGGGGTGAAGGGTTGGAGAGAGGAGACAGTCACTGCTCTAGCCCCATGGGTCCCTCAGTCCTTACCCCACCTCCCGTGAGCTCTCTCCCCATTTCCCGCCTTTGCATGCTTCCAGAGCCAGCTCCAAGCTGTCCCTCTCTCCTTATCTCACCTCTGTGGAAGACTTAATTCTTCCTTTATCTGCGTTGCTAAGATAATTCACTATACCTCTTAGGACACTTTTTTTTTTTTTTTTTTGTCTACATAACCTGTAAGGTGAGCTATATTTATATGTAACCTACACTCTCTATATTTATATATTTATTTATTTGGAGGTAAGGTCTTGCTGTGTCACCCAGGCTGGAGTGCAGTGGCACAATCATGGCTCACTGCAGCCTCCACCTCCCGGGCTCAAGCCATCCTCCTGCCTCACCCTCCTGAGTAGATGGGACTAGAGGCACGCACCACCACACTGGGCTAATGTTTAAAATTTTTCATGGAGACGGGATCTCCCTAGGTTGCCCAGGCTGGTCCGGTATCTCCCTAGGTGGCCCAGGCTGGTCCCAAACTCCTAGGCTCAAGCAATCTTCCAGCCTTGGCCTTCCAAAGTGCTGGGGTTACGTGCATGAGCCACTGTGCCTGGCGTCATCTATATATTTATATCTGTGTGTCCCCATGTAGTTCCCTCCTTTTATCTGCTTCTTTACGACTCTCCGAGCTCCCTTCCTTCCTCCCTCCTCCCATACAATTAAGCAGAAACAGAAGCCCTAAGAAAGAAAAAGAGGGCCCAAGAAAATTCTTGGGTGTGGGAGGAAGAGTCTCTCAGGAGAGTTTGCAGGGCTGTTTTCTGTTGTCAGTACTAGGTCACTGTGGGACTTGGGGAAGAGAGAGAGAGAGAAAGAGAAGGAAGGAAGGGGGATCTGAAAGTGGGTGAAGGGAAGGGAAAGGGTTAGTACTGGCCACCCATAAGGCCCTTGGACAGTGGGCAGAGACTTGGCTGTCTTGTAAGGGATGAAGCTCTCCGTGGAATCCTCCTTTCCCACCCAGATGGAACCAAACACATCATTGGGAATTAACTTTGGAGATGAGGCTCTAAAGGCTCCACCACTGACACAACTCTGTTGATCAGTAGACAGGGTATCTGGAGACCAGGGGCTGGGTTTTCCTTCCTGTCCCTCCAGTGCCTGTCCTAGCATTTGTTCCCTGCCGGTCCTTGGGAAATACTGGACCGAAAAGCAAAACAGATCATCCGGGCATTTGCTGGATTGACTTGGTTCCCCCGCCAATGAATCCTGCTCTCTTCTTTTTACCATTTCCTCCAACAAAGACATCAAAAGCTCAAAGAAAGAAGATCAGGGAACTTGGAAAGCCTCATCTGACAAGTGTGAGCTGACTCCCAGGGCCCTGTGCTGAGCAGGGCCCACTGGGCATTTCCCATCTCTGGAGAGGCACCCAGCCTCTCCTCTGAGCTCCGTCAGTCAGCCTAACATCCCACACTGCCATCGATTTTTCTGTCTTTCTACACTAATTAGACATGTTATTACTAATCTTTGGTAATCACCACAAGGGGCCTGTGGAAAGTCTCCGAGATTTCAATCTAGATTAAAAATAAGAAACATTATCACCTCTGGGACAATGCAGAGAAAGCACATGTTATTTTAATGTTTAAATCAATAAAGCTGTCCCGCTTCTGTTTTGTGCGAGTATTGATGAAATTTATAAAAATCCCATTTAAACTTCTCCCTGTCCATCTCATCCCTCCCCGCATCCCTCCCCGCAGGGGCACGTGATTGATTTCTCAGAGGGCATCTGAGATGGAGGGGTACAAGAAAAGGCTGTCAAATACCCTTGTGCATTGGGGGCGGATAGGAGAGACCTAGGGGGGAAAGGAGGAGGCTTCAGGGACCTAGTTCCCGCTCTTTTATTTCCATTTCCATTGATTCCTCTTATTAAAGAAGCCTTTGAACCCACAAGAAAGAAAGAGAGAAAATCCTTTCTTCCTTAATTAATCTCTTTTCCAATTGTTAGATTGCAAACTTTGATTGCAAAACAACCTGGCTGCCCCAGGCAGATTAAATCAGGCGGGGGCAAGAGGAAGGGGAGGGGAGGGAAACGTCTTAACCAGGAATTCTGTCATTGGAGAGCGGAGAAAAGAAAATTATCTTCAAACGAAGAGAACACCATCTAGCACATTCTCTCAAACAACTGAAACTAATGTGTTGACACAGAAAGAGAAATGAGCCTACTTTAATTTTCTGCAGAGACAGACTGTAATTTGTAACATCTCTGATCAGAAATTGAGGCGGCATATGGACTCAAAGAGAAGTATAGCGCCGTTAACTTTTTGCCAGGCATAGTGGGGTAGGGGGAGGAGGAACCGAACACATTTCTATTGCCACGGAGATGCTGGCATCAGCTACCAGGACAGCTTGTGCACGCAGAAGGGTGGCGTCGTGTACCACAACTCGGGAGGGAGGCAGCCTGTGTTTGTGCGTCTCCTGTGTGTATGGAGACTTGTACTCAGCTAGCTGCGAGGTTGGAGGGGCCGGATACATTCCTCCGCTCCACCACCTGTGCGAGAGCCCCTGGCTCCAGGCTGGGCTGCCCCTCCCGATGTGTGGTGCAGAAGAAGAGCTTAACTGGCTTTTGGTGTGAGCTCAGCTTTATTCCAAGAAGAGGATCCCCTTATTGCTGAACTTTCCCAGGACGGCTGAAGTACTTGGCATGCTTCTAACCCTATGCCCCAAACATCTGTTTCCCCTGCAGACTGCCAGCTTCTTTAGGGCAGAGGTTACATGATCAAAATGATGATACTGTCTTGTGTTTGTAATCCCAGCACTTTGGGAGGCTAAGGCAGGAGAATCACTTGAGGTCAGGTGTTTGAAACCAGGCTGGGCAACACAGTGAGACCCCATCTCTACAAAAGAAAATTTAAAAAAAATTAGCTGGGTGTGGTGGTGCACACCTTTAGTCCCAACTACTTGGGATGCTGATGTGGGAGGATCATTTGAGCCCAGGAGTTTGAGGCTGCAGTGAACTGTGATCAAGCCACTGCACTCCAGCCTGGGCGGCAGAGAGAGACCCTGTCTCAAAAACAAAAACAAATGATGATGGAAATAATCGTGATGGTGGTAATAATCATGAGGATGATAATCACCTTTACTCTACATTGAGTACCTACTAAGTGCTGGTTCCAACTTAGGCACATCACTTACCTTTTCAGCAGCTTGTCCAATATCCTAGCAAGGTAATATTTTATGAATGAACAAAGTGAAATGATGCAATGTCTTTCCCAAGGTCACTCAATCATTGGGTGGCAGAGTTGGAACTGAATCTCAAACTGTCCCCTCCAAAGCCACCCGTTTGCCAACCAGGCCATGTGTCTCCTGAGCTGAGCCCAGGTCTAGCACTTACTGATACTTAATGATGTTGGCTGAAAGACAAGTGTCTTCTTCACTTCTGTGACTTCTTGTGTGTGTGTGTGTGTGTGTGTGTGTGTGTGTGTGACAGGGTCTCACTGTATCAGAGGCTGGAGTGCAGGGGCTGGATCATAGCTCACTGCAACTATAGCTTCTACCCCCTGAACTTAAGCAATCCTCCTGCCTGCCGCCTCCCCTCAATCTCCCAACTAGCTGGGACTACAGGTTCATGCCACCATGCCTGGCTATGTAAAAACAAAAATTGTAGAGATGAAGTCTTGCTATGTTGCCCATGCTGGTCCCAAACTCCCGGCCTCAAGTGATCCTCCTGCCTCAGCCTCCCAAAGTACTGGGCTTACAGGCATGAGCCACTGCACCCGGCCCTTCTGTGACTTCCAACTGCCTATTATTTTGACCTACTGTAGCTTCCAGCTTTAATGATATTCTCTTGGATAGAAAGACTCCAGTGGCCCCACCCCCCACGCTAAACCTTTTGAATGCACTTTAGTCTCACTCAGAAATTCCATGTCAATTAGCATTGTTCACAAGAAAGGAAAGACAGCATTCAATAGACCTACCATGAACCAGGCACTTTCTGTGTTTTATTTCATTTAGATTTCTATCATCATCATCACAACCAATTTTTACAGATGAAAAAATAGTCTCAGAGAAGTTCGGTGAGTAACTTGTCCAAATTATTGCAGTGAGCAAGCAGCCAGAGGCTAAATTACCGCCACCTTATTATTTTTTGACACCATGGCCTTCAGCAGCCAATATCACATTTTGTAAGATGAGGGACTCCAGGCTCAATACATTCAAGAGAATCACCTCTGACCCCTGCACTTTTTTTATTTTTATGCTGGGGTTCACTCTGTCACCCAGGCTGGAGTGGAGTGGCATGGCACGATCACAGCTCACTGCAACCTCAACCTCCTGAATTCAAGCAGATTACAGGCGTGAGCCACTGGGCCCAGCAAGACAGGAATTTTGATTAGAGACCCAGGTCCTGTGCTTGGCATGTCACCAGGTTTATTTATGACTTATTCATATTGATTGACTGATTGAGATAGGGTCTTGCTATGTTGCCCAGACCTGTCTCGATCTCCTGACCTGAAGTGATCCTCCTGCCTCAAGCCTCCCAAAGTGCTGAGACGACAGGCATGAGCCACTGTGCCTGGCTCCTGCCCATTCTTAGACTCAAGTTCTGCATTTCTAGCTGTCTCTTGGACAACTTGGTAGCATCTCAAACTCAACATCCACGTGGTCATAGAACTGAGTCCAGGTGAATAGGATGTGAGTGGATGTATCTGTTTCCATGTCGTGTGGCTCAAACGCAGATGTGGTCATGTACCAACTCCAAACCCAAGGACACAGATAAGGCCTAGGTCCCTCCTGGACTCCCTGGCACAGATCCTGTCTGCCCATTCTGAAAGGGTATGGAGAAGAGAAATGTGCTCCTCTCCTGTCAAAGCCACAGCATACTAGGGTTTCTTTGCAGAGCAGCTTGCTTGGTCTCCTTTGAGACAACTTCACTCCTTTTCCTCTACGAAACCGATCTGGTTCCCCCACCCCCCAGATGACACTGGGGCAATAAAACACTAGAAACATACTTGGAAGATGGAAGCATCCTGATAATGAAATGCTTCCCATCTCAGTGCATAGAAGGAAACCAGGTTGTACGGATCACTTACTGGTGTCAGACATTTTCACATATCTTATTGATGTAGTTTAGATATGAGTGTCCTCCAGATCTCATGTTGAAATTTGATTCCCGAATTTGGAGGTGGGGCCTGGTGGGAGGTGTTTGGGTCACAGGGGTGGAGACCTCATGATGGCTTGGCACTGTCTCTGCAGTAATGAGTGAGTTCTCCCTGCATTAGTTCATGAGAGAGCTGGCTTTTTTTTAAAAAAAAAAGCATGGCACCCCTCTCTTTTTTTTTTTTTTTTGAGACAGAGTCTCGCTCTGTCACTGAGGCTGGAGTGTAGTGGCGTGATCTTGGCTCACTGCAACCTCCGCCTTCCAAGTTCAAGAGATTCTTCTGCCTCAGCCTCCCGAGTAGCTGGGATTATAGATGTCTGCCACCATGCCCGGCTAATTTTGTAATTTTAGTAGAGACAGGGTTTCACCATGTTGGTCAGGCTGGTCTTGAACTCCTGACCTCAGGTGATCCACCCACCTTGGCCTCCCAAAGTGCTGGGATTACAGGCATGAGCCACTGCGCCCGGTCACCCCTTTCTTTCCCCCCCCTTTCTCATCGTGTGATGCTGGATCCCCTTAGCCTTTCACCATGAGTGGAAGCTCCCTGAGGCCTCACCCGAAGCAGATGCTGGCATCATGCTTTTTGTACAACCTGCAGAACCATGAGGCAAACAAACCTCTTTTCTTTATGTTACCCAGTCTACCTTTATATCAGCACAAAACGGACTAAGACACTTAGGATTAATTATACCATTTCTCTCTTTTTCTTTTCTTTTCTTTCGAGACAGTCTCATTCTGCCGCCCATGCTGGAATGCAGTGGCACGAACTCACCGCAACCTCCGCCTTCCAGGTTCAAGTGATTCTCCTGCCTCAGCCTCCTGAGTAGCTGGGATTACAGGTGCCCGCCACCATGCCCAGCTAATTTTCATATTTTTAGTAGAGGCAGGGTTTCACCACATTGACCAGGCTGATCTCAGTCTCCTGGCCTCAAGTGATCCAACTGCCTCAGCCTTCCAAAGTGCTGGGATTACAGGCATGAGCCACTGTGCCCAGCAATCATGCTGCTTCTTAAAGTTTTCAATGACTTTTGGATGAAGTTCAGTCTTGGCTTCTTCAAAGCCTTTTTGGAGCAGGCCAGGCTGGAGCTAAAGCATTGCGCTGGCACAAGGATGCACAGACTCCTTAGTGAGCCCCTCCTCAGCTGGGCCTCCATCCACCCCATTCACCTCTGCTGTCCCCTTCTTGCTGTTTTTCCCTTTTCACTTTCTGGTTCTATCCTTGTGCCTTTGGCTCAGGCAGGCCCCTCTTCGTGGAATGCCAGAGGCATCTTATCTACCAGAAAGCTGGAACTCAACCTTTGAGACACTCTATTCCATTTCTTCCAGGGACTCTTCCCTTCTCTCCTCTTCCCTCCTGTGTTTTAGACTCTCCATTGTACAAGTAGACACACAGCTACCCACGAGATCCTATGGTTCTTAGCTATCCACCCATAGCAGACTATGAGCTCTCTGATGGCAAGAACCTATTTTTTTTTTTTTTTTTTTTCTGAGACAGAGTCTTACTCTGTTACCCAGGCTGGAGTTCAATGGCACAATCTCGGCTCACTGCAACCTCCGCCCCCTGGGATCAAGTGATTCTCTTGCCTCAGCCTCCTGAGTAGCTGGGACTACAGGTGCCCACCACCACGCCAAGCTAATTTTTGTATTATTAGTGGAGATGGGTTTCACCATGTTGGTTAGGCTGATCTCGAACTCCTGACCTCGTGATCCACCTGCCTCAGCCTCCCAAAGTGTTGGGATTACAGGCATGAGCCACCGCTCCCAGCCAAGAACCTTGCCTTATTCATTAGCTTGTGTAGATGCCAGCACAGTTCCTAGCACCTAGAAGGCTCTCAGTGAATATTGTATGAAATGATAACCCTGACAACAGTCATGTGAGGTCAGCATGATTTCTTTCCATTTGTAATCAGAAAATCTGACTCCGAGAGATTCTGACTTGCCCAGGAGCAAAGGTATCTAGTGTGAGGCTTGGGTTTTGAACATAGATCTGTCTGATGCCAAAATCCATGCTTTTTATATCCCTTTACAACTCCCTCTTGATATCTCTACCAAGTAGAGAGTGATTTCCTTTCAGAAAGACGGATTTTCTGGATTAAATGTGTCTAGACATCTCTCTCATCTTAATGCGGATTTGTTCAGAGCAAAGCAGCATCTCCCAGACTGGTGGCAAAACTGAAATAACAAGCAGCAGCTGCCACCTCCAGCAGCCCTGGAAGCCTCATCTGCACAGCTCCCTTGGCGTGTTGTCCTCATGGGTTCTGGAGACAGCCCTGAATTTTTCTTTCCTTTCCCTCCCTCCCTCCCTCTCTCCCACTCTCCTTTTCTTCCTTCCTCCTTTTTTCCCTCCCTCCCTTCCTCCCTCCCTATCTCCCTGCCTTTTTCCCTCCTTCCTCCCTCCCTTCCTTCCTTCCTTCCTTCTTTCCTCCCTCCCTCCCCCTTCCTCCCTCTCTTCTTTTTCCCCTTCCTTCCTTCCTCCCTTCCTTTCTTCCTTTCTCCCCTTTTCCTTTCTTCTTTCCTCCCGTTGTTCTTTCTCCCTCCCTCCCTCCGTTCCTCCCTTCTTCCCTCCCTCCCTGCCTCCTTCGTTCCTTCCTTTCTTCCTTCCTTCCTCCCCTTCTCCTTTCTTCCTTCCTAGCACAAAACTAGGCTTTCCCTTCTGCAATTCCCACCTGGGGGACGTTGATTTATTTTGGGCATTGGCAGCAGAAAGTGCATCTTGCTGTGGCTTTCATTTTGGTGATATTTGAGCTGCACCAGCAGGTGGGGCCTGAAGCTAGTTTGGCTGCCATCAGCCTTGTTTCTGGAGGGCCTGGAATTCAGGAATGGCTTTCCCTTTCAGCTCCAACTTTCCTCTCCCCACCAAATGTTGATTTCAATTTGCCTGGGGTCTGGGTCCATCCAGACCCTGAGGGTTCCGGATGTTCTCCAGTTCCCAAACCAGCCTGCTCTGTGGCTTCTCTGAAGCTGTGGCTTGCTCATCTCAGCACCTACGCCATCAATCCAGCTTTCTCTGGTGGTCGCGCTGGGCTAGAAGGTCGGGCGCAGGGCGTGATTGTTGGGGCATAGGGCTTTTACCTGAAGCAGCTCCGATTTTTCAGCAGACACTACTACACACATTCATCTCCCTGCAGTTCTTGAAGCCTGTTAGTTTTCTGTCCCATGCTAAACTATGAGCTCTTTGAAGGCAAGAACCTTGTTTTATGCATTGCTTTGTGTGGGTTCCCAGCACAACTCCTGGCACCTGGAAGGGCATCATGAATATTCAGTGATAATTGTAATCCTGTCAGTGGTCCTGTGAGCTCCCTATGACTAGTCCAGTTTATTTTTATTTTTCATTTTTTAGAGACAGGGTCTTGCTCTGTCACCTAGGCTGGAGTGCAGTGGCGCGGTCATAGCTCACTGCAGCCTTGACCTCCTGGGCTCAAGAGATCTCCCATCTCAGCCTCCTGAGTAGCTGGGACTATAGGCACTTGCCACCACATCTGGCTAATTCAATTTTTTTTTTTTATAGACATGGGGATCTTGCTATGTTGCCCAGGCTGGTCCTGAACTCCTGGCCTTGAGCAATCCTTCTACTCTGGCCTCTCAAAGAGCTAGGATTACAGGTGTCAGCCACCCTACCTGGCCACTAGCCCAACCTATGTGTGGGTACTTGAAAAGTGGCCTTTGGGGAGAGAAGGAAGGTAGCATGTTTTCTACAAATGCACAAAGATTTTGCATTTGGTTCTAGTGTATACTTATGTAGATTATAATATTAAGAAAACATTTAAAATGAATAGCAGTGCTTCTTATATGCCAAGCACCATGCCAATGCATTATCTGTAATTTGCTCTAAGTTCTCACAGCTACCCTTTGAGAAGGTGATATGCTTATCCACGATTTAAAAATCAAGAAACTATTGTTTAGAGAGGTTAGAAATCACTTGGCTCAGAGTGGCCAAGCTGAGATTTGAACCCAGCTCTGCCTGATGTCAGAACAATGCCTTTCTTCTTGCTGATTCTCTACTCTGCTACCAGAGCTGATGTTTCCAGGATCTTCGATGCTGCCTCTGGCTCTGGGCCCTGCACAGAGACTCTTGCAAGAATGAGTACCCAAGCCCCAAAAGCGGAGGCTTTAAAAGAGTGAACTGTCGTGAAGTTTATTCTGATGCCAAAAGGGGGTTTGAGAGAGACTTAAAGAGCAGTTGTGACTGTGCGTGGTGGCTCATGCCTGTAATTCCAGGATTTTGAGAGGCCGAGGCAGGCGGATCGCCCTGTCTCTACTAAAAAAAAAAAAAAAAAAAAAAAAAAAATTAGCTGGGCATGGTGGCAGGTGCCTGTAATCCCAACTACTCTGGAGGCTGAGGCAGGAGAATTGCTTGAACCCGGGAGGTGGAGGTTGCAGTGAGCCGAGATTGCACCATTGAACTCCAGCCCAGATAACAAGAGTGAAACTCTATCTCAAAAAAAAAAATATATATATATATACACACACACATATAAAAGGCAATTGCACCAGCTCTTATGTGCGACTGATAAGCTCGACTGTGAACTGTAACATAGGCAGCCCATAATGAATAAGGGAGAGATTTATTAGAGGATGTCATATTTGGTTAAGTACTTTATATGTAAGATGAGTATTTCTCTTGTACATATTACATTTTCAATGGGTTTCCAACCATTTCCAATCCATTATTTTTAACTCCTTGCATTATATTGATGGTAAATTAATTACGACAATTACAAGTCAAAAAACCCATATTGTCCAATTATAATTTAATTCATTTTAGCTCCTCTCTTTGAGTTTGGATAAAAAGCTAAAGCACTTTAGAAAATGCTGTAAATTTCTCTAAAATCCTGTCATTGGGTTTCATATTTCTGTGGTGGTTTGAAGACAGGATGGAGATTCGATAGGGGACTGTGCTGGCAACCCAGGCAGCATCCCTCAGGGTAGTCCGGAAGCCTGTGTTCAAATCCAGCTTCAACAATCTGCTAGAATTGCAACAAAAACAATAATTGACAAGTGGGACTTAATTAAACTGAAGAGCTTCTGCACAACAAGAGAAACTATTAAGGGAGTAAGCAGACAACCTACAGAATGGGAAAGAATATTCACAAACTCTGCATCTGACAAAGAACTAATGTCCAGAATCTATAAGGAACTTAAACAAATCAACAAGCAAAAAATAGACAACCCCATTAAAAAGTGGGCAAATGACAGGAACAGACACTTCTCGAAAGAAGGCACACAAGCAACCGACAAATATATGGAAAAATGCCCAGCATCACTAATCATCAGAGAAATGCAAATCAAAACCACAATGAGATACCATCTCATACCAGTCAGAATGGCTATTGTTAAGAAGTAAAAAAATAACAGATATTGGCAAGGCTGGGAGAAAAGGGGACATATATACACTGTTGATGGGAATGTAAATTAGCCCAGCCATTGTGGAGAGCAGTTTGGAGATTTCTCAATGGAAGAGTTAGACACCATTCAACCCGGCAATTCCATTACTGGGTATATATTTCAAAGGATAATAAATTGTTCTACTAAAAACAGAACAATTTATTTCCCTTTGAATATATACCTGGTAAGGCCAAGTTTCATTGACATGCATGCGTATGTTTGTCGCAGCACTATTCACAAGAGCAAAGACAAGGAATCAACCCAGGTTTCCATCAATGATGGATTGGACAAAGACAATGTGGTGTATGCACACCACGGAATACTGTGCAGCCATGAAAAAGAAAGAAATCATGTCCTTTGCAGTAGTATGGATGAAGCTGGAGGGCATTATCCTAAGCCAATTAATGCAGGAACAGAAAACCAAATACTGCATGTTCTCACTTATAAGTGGGAGCTAAACATTGGGCATGCACGGACACAAAGTTGGGAATAATAGATGCTGTGGACTATAAGAGGGGATAGAAAGGGATAGGGGCAATGAGTGAAAAACTGCCTATTGGGTACTATGCTCACTACCTGGGTGATGGGATCATTTTTTTTCTTTGAGGTGTGATTTCTTTTTGATTTCCCTTCTCATTTGTGTACCATGTGGAGGCCCTGGTCCATCACAGATCCCATGAGGCTGTCCAAGTTTTGAGGCCTTTCTGGTACTAGCATTAGTGGCCCTCAGGGAGGTCTCCAAGTGATGTAGGCCCTGATTTAGGGTCACAGTCCCAAACCTCAGTATCACACAATATACCCACATTACAAACCTGCATATGCACGTGTATCCCCAAATCTAAAATAGATGTTGAAAAACAAAGCAAAACCAAAAACCCAATCTGCTAGTTGTAACCTTGGACAGGCACTTAATCTCTCTGTGCCTTTGTTTTCTTATCTGTAAAATGGGGTTAGTGACAGAGTTCCCACTTCACAGGGCCATTTTGAGGATTAAATGAGTTAGCATAGCTAACACCCCAGGAACACACAGTGAGCACTGCTATGGTTTGGCTGTGTCCCCACCCAAATCTCATCTTGAATTGTAGCTCCCATAATTCCCACATGTCATGGGAGGAGCCTGGTGGGAGGTGATTGACTCATGGGGGTGGGTCTTTCCCATGCTGTTCTCATGATAGTGAATAAGTCTCACAAGATCTGATGGTTGTAAAAAGGGGAGTTTCCCTGCACAAGCTCTCTTCTCTTGTCTGCTGCCACGTGAAACATGCCTTTCACCTTCCACCATGATTCTGAGGCCTCCCTGGCCATGTGGAACTGTAAGTCCATTAAACCTCTTTCTTTTTTTAAATTGCCCAGTCTCAGGTATGCCTTTATCAGCAGTGTGAAAATGGACTAATACAAGCACCCTGTAAGTCTTGGCTGTACTTAATGCTGCTAGGCTCTAGGGGAAGGATGACATCTGAACCAATTTTAGCCAATTGATAGTGCTTTTCTGGGGCACGATGTGAAAACAGACCCAAAGACCCAGGCTGAGCTCAGCATAGAGTGCAGGGATCAATGGGCAATGTCTGCCATGGGCCAGGCATGGTGACTCATGCCTGTAATCCCAGCACTTTGGGAGGCTGAGGTGGGAGGATTGCTTGAGGCCAGGAGTTCAAGATTAGCCTGGGCTACATGGCAAAACCTTGTGTCTGAAAAATAGCTGGGCATGGTGGTGTATGCCAGTAGTCCCAGCTACTTGGGAGGCTGGGCAGGAGGATTGCTTGAGGCCAGGTGTTTGAGATCAGTCCGGGCAACATAGTGAGACCCTGTCTCTATAAAAAATTTTAAAAAAATTTAGCCGGGCATGGTGGTGCATGCCTGTAATCTAAGCTACTAGGGAGGCTGAAGTGGGGGGATCACTTAAGGCCAGGAGTTCAAGACCAGCCTAGGCAACATAGTGAGACCCTCTCCTTAATTTAAAAAGTAGTGGGCATGGTGGTATGCATTTGTAGTCCCAGCTACTTGGGAGGCTGAGGCAGGAGAATGGCTTGAGTCCAGGAAGTCAAGGCTGTAGTGAGCTATGATGGCACCACTGCATTCCAGCCTGGGCAACAGAGCAAGACCCTGTCTCATTAAAAAAAAAAAAAACAAAGTCTGCCATGGACACAGCTGCTGGAAGAGGTGACGAGTAAGAATCAAGCTCTGCTAACGAGGGGACTGAGCTTCTTTTAATTCCTCCTAAATCCTCAGTACTCAGCACAGCATGTGGCACCTACTAGGCCAGTTCCTGATAACAGCCCTGTGTCCTCACACAGGACTGCCCGAGGCTGGTCCTGTCCTGCACACCTCAGTCTTTCAGCCAACAAATTGCTCTTTTTCTGCTTCAGCCAGTTTGGGCTGGGTTTTCTGTCATGGGAATAAAAACGTCTTAACTAATCCAAACAGAAAACCATGTCCTTTTGAGGGATTTGGCGAGACCATCTCTACAGCTGATGCTGTCAGAGCATGACAGCCTGATGCATCCAGCTCTACTCTTGGAAATAACATCCCCTAAACCATTTCATCATGTTAATTGCATCCTGGGCTCTGAGAATTCCTCCCAGTGGACAGGTCGGTGATCAAGGTCACCTATATCCATGCTGGCCATCACTTTCCTTGACTCATTTCTTCTTAGGATATTGTGAATGTCATTGATTGGGCCTCAGATAAGCCATCTTGTTCTTGCCTTCTGCCTGGGTCTGTCTCTTGAGATGATTTTATACATATCCAATCTCATCTGCCATGTCTTAATTTTATTAACCAAGCTCTCCAAATCCTGGGAGGCTCTTGCTGTCATCTCATACTGTGCACAAGTGGGAGGGTTTCCTAGGCTGACTTGCCTGTTCCCTGAAGCATCGGAAACCTGCATAAGGGTTAGGGATGGAGCCAACATCACTTGGCTTTGGCCAGAGCCTTTGTATCATTTTAACCTATTTATTTATTTATTTACTTATTTATTTATTTATTTATTTTTTGAGACAGAGTCTTGTTCTGTCGCCCAGGCTGGAGTGCAGTGGCACAATCTTGGCTCACTGCAACCTTTGCCTCTGGGTTCAAGTGATTCTCCTGCCTCAGCTTCCCTGAGTAGCTGGGATTACAGGTGCCTGCCACCATGCCCGGCTAATTTTTGTATTTGTAGCAGAGGTGGGGTTTTGCCATGTTAGCCAGGCTGGTCTCAAACTCCTGACCTCAAGTGATCCACCCACCTCAGCCTCCCAAATTGTTGGGATTCCAGGCGTGAGCCACCGCATACTGCCCATTTTAATCTCTTGAAGGCCAAGCTTCACTGATTGGCATACGAGGCTGGGCTTGTCCTATCACCAACTGCTTCACACCTTCCTTCCTGATTCTGCCTGTTTTACTCTCACTGTTCCTTCCCTGGAGGGTTGCATCCCACAGTCAATGAGCATTCCAGTCTTCAGGGATCTCTTTCTGTTCTGAATCTCTGGAGCAATGTCAATGTCAGGTCTGGCATGAACACAGGGTCTCTCTTACTAGACAGGGACCCTTGAAGGCAGGGACCATGTCTTAGTCATTGCTGTATGCCCAGCTCTTGCAAGGCCTGGGCAAAACAAAAACAAAAACAAAAACAGTCCGGCGCCGTGGCTCACGCCTGTAATTCCAGCACTTTAGGAGGCCGAGGTGGGCGGATCACAAGGTCAGGAGATCGAGACCATCCTGGCTAACATGGTGAAACCCCATCTCTACTAAAAATACAAAAATTAGCCAGGTGTGGTCACGCACGCCTGTAGTCCAAGCTACTCAGGAGGCTGAGGCAGGAGAATTGCTTGAACCCAGGAGGCGGAGGTTGCAGTGAGCCGAGGTTGCACCATTGCACTCCAGCCTGGGCGACAGAGTGAGACTCCATTTCAAAAAACAAAACAAAACAAAAACAAACCCTAGTCAAAGTCAAAGACACGTTCACATGTAGGAGACAGGGTATTGTAAGGATACGAAGTCAACTCCATTGGCCTGGAGGCCAATCTATTTCAGTCTCACTGGGTCTGACGATAATCTTGGATCCTCTTGCTTTCTTCCAGCACACCATGTTGTATTCATGCCTCTTCACTTTCTCAAGCTCTTCTTTTTCCTGAAATCGTTTCTCTCCTTCCTGACCTGCTTCACCCCCAAGGGTCTTCCAGGCTAACTCTAGTGTGGTACGATGTGTTCTGCCTGCATTGTGCAACCTCACAGGAACCCAGTCTGCAAGGCTGTGTCCAGGCCTGAAGCATCCCCAAAGCCTGATATGTGTCTTGTTCATCTCTACAGCTCTTAGGCCTAGCACAGATGCCAATGAATAATGCCAGTGAATCACTGGGGACCACCTGGCCATCACCGGAGCTCTGTGATACCACAGAGGCATCCTGGTGCAGGGAGCAGTCACTTCCTGTCCCATTCCTCCTTCTCTTATTTCTAATTAGAATTTCTCAAAATTCCTGGTTATGTACAAGGGTAGACCAGGTCATTTTCCTGCAGTTTGACACTAATGAAAGCCGCTAGACTGCCTGAGCAGCACTGTCCTGGGCTGGGCTCTTAATCTGCTTATTATGCCTTTCCCAGCATGGTGAGGAAACAAAACTCACTGGCCTGGGGCCAGGAGGACAGTCAGCAGCAAGAGACGCCCTAGAATAAAATTAAACCATGTGACAATTTTTTAAAAAACTTTTCTTCCCCCAGTGTCACCAGCACATGGAAAATGCTTTTATTGTTTTCTTTTCTTTCTTGTTTTTGCAGGAGGCGTCTCTCCCACAAGACCCCCCAACTAAGACGGAGCAAGAGAAAACAAAGAAAAACAGAGATGAATGAATAAGAAGCAGAGGAAATGCTGAAGAGAAATAGATTGAGAGCAGAACACAATGGATTGAAGGATTCTGGACCCAGGCTAAGAGAAGGATGCTTATTTATGGGACACCTGTATCAAATCAACAGCCAGTTGGCCAGGCATGGTGGCTCACACCTGTAATCCGAGTACTTTGGGAGGCTGAGGCTGGCGGATCACTTAAGGTCAGGAGTTCAAGACCAGCATGGCCAATATGGTGAAATCCTGTCTCTACTAAAAAAAAACAAAAAAATCAGCTGGGTGCGGTGGCGGGCACCTGTAGTCCCAGCTACTTGGGAGGTTGAGGCAGGAGAATTGCTTGAACCTGGCAGGCGGAGGTTGCAGTGAGCAGAGATGGCATCACTGAACTCCACCCTGGGTGACAGAGTGAGACGTTGTCTGAAAACAAACAAAGAAACAAACAAAGGTACGTCAATTGGTGTTGCATGCAGGTGTATATGCCTGCAACATAGGCACTGATATACGTTGACTTAAAATATATACATGACTTAAATGTATACATTAATTTAAAAGACATATCCTGCATTAACCTATCCTGGGCTGCAAGGGAAAGACCTATTGTCAAGCCATGAGAACTATCTCCTATTTCCATGCATCCCTTGAGGTGCCTGCTACCCATAGCATTTTGTTTGTTCAATCTGCTGTAATGCAATTTTACTCTATACTTTAGCTTAATTGGTGAAGTGTGAAGAAACAAAGCAAATATTTGTGCAGCTCGAATGTTGCTCTTGTAATTAGGAGGTAGTATTTCTCGGTGTTTGTGTCGGAATGGCAATACACATTCAGGGGAATTGATTTGCTTTGGGAATCAATAGATGTGGTTTCCATTGGCAGAGAATTTGAGGCTTCCTTTTGGAAACAGGAGGATCCAGGACAGCTCAATCTCTAAACGCCTGGCTCCATTTAACATGGCAACTGGGCAGAGGTGTTGTTTCCAAGTTGGCTGTTTTTTGGCCCAAGAATGGTGCCAGTAAGCTTGGTGTTAATCTTGCAGAAACACAGAATCTAAAATGTGGTTCCTGCTCCCTGGACTACTTCCTCTGCTGGACAATTCCTGGGTACCTTGCAAAGCCAATGTCTATGAAAAGCCTCCCTCTGCTATCAGGTTGAGGGATCCCGTGTCCTCTGTACATCCTTGGTGCCTGTACTCTGTTCACCATGTCTTGGAGGTAACACACATCTACCGCACTGAGCCACAATAGCCATTGCATATATATGTATATGTATTGGCCATTGCATTTTTTAGATCTCTTTGGTTGCAGCTAGTAGGAACCCACTTGAGCTAGATGAAAACCTAAAAACTATTTATAGGGACATATGGGTACTTTCACTACCCATACCGCAGTCAATCAGAGGCTGAAGTGGAGACTTGTCTTGTTATCACAGGAGTGAGGATGTGGCCTGTGTGCTGCCTCATCTTGCCTAGAACTGGCTGTACCTGCTATTCTTTTGCTTGTACCTTTACCCTTGGTTACCCTAATTCCCTATCTATCTATCTATCTATCTATCTATCTATCTATCTATCATCTATCTATCTATTATCTATCTTCTATCTATTATCTATCTATGTATCTATCATCTGTCTTCTATCTATCTATCTAATCGTCTATCTATCTTATCTATCTATTATCTATCTATATCTTCTATTAATTGTGGGTTTTTTTTGGAGGACTCTGACAAAAAGATAAACTTTTACAAGACAGTTTATCAGATTTTGAGTATTTTTTTCCCAAAGGTATTGAATCTGAAGGTTCAACCAGAGGAGAACACCGAGGTTCTTCTCTTCCTTCCTCTTTCCTCTCCCAGGCCTCCAATGCTCTCCTCTCTTTATCAAGCAGAACAAAAATGATGACATCCATGGAAGAAAAAAAAATGGAAAGTGTTGGGGGAGAGGAGGGAAGGGAGGGAAAGCAGGAGGGCTCTGGAGCACGGAGGGTCAACTCTGCTGGTCCACGTGGCCATTGGAGGCACCCTGAGAGTCTGCAGAGGAGGGGCCCTGGGAATAAGTAAACTAGAGTGGTGACTTCCCTGCATGTCTGATTCCTCATTGCACAGGGACTTTATATGAGTTGGACTTCATTGCTTGAAACTGCAGTGGAGAAGAGCTGAACCTGATTTATCTTTCTTTCATATCCATACCCATTTATTTGCCAGTGAGGGAGGATACCTTCCCTCCTCCACATCCTCAACCCTGCCCTTCAGTCCAGATCATGAACAGATGCTGGGAACCGACACCTGATTCTTCCAGTGTCAAACACAAGCAGGTGGACAGAGCCACCACAGAGCCAGTGGCCAGTTGACAGGCATCCCGTGTTCCAGTATTCCATCCACACACTCTCCAATGGGGTCATCTTTGGTTTAGGGGTGACATTTGCTGTGTGTGGGCACTGTCTTAAGTTCCTTATATGTTCAGTACAGCTCTGGACCCAGAATAAATATTTGATAAATGGCGAGAACCAGAGACCACCTGTACTAGCCAGGGTTCTCTAGAGGGATGGATAGATGTATATATGAAGGGGAGTTTATTAAGGAGTATTGCCTCACATGTTCCCAAGGAGAAGTCCCACAATAGGCCGTCTGGAAGTTGAGGAGCAAGGAAGCGATTCCAAGTCAAGTCCCAAAACCTCACAAGCAGGGGAGCCGACCGTGCAGCCTTCAGTCCACGGCCAAAGGCCCGAGAGACCCTGGCAAACCACTGGTGTAAGTCCAAGAGTCCAAAAGAGGAAGAACTTGGAGTCTGATGTTTGAAGGCAGGAAGCATCCAGCATGGGAGAAAGATGAAGGCTGAAGGACTCAGCAAAATCTAGTCCTTCCACGTTCCTCTGCCTGCTTGTATCCTAGCTACACTGGCAGCTGATTAGATGGTGCCCACGCAGATTGAGTGTGGGTCTGCCTCTCCCAGTCCACCGGCTCAAATGTTAATCTCCTCTGGCAACACCCTCACTGACACACCCAGGAACCATACCTTGCATCCTTTAATCCAATCAAGTTGACACTCAGTATTAACCATCACACCAGCCTATCAGCCTTTTTGCTGAGGTTATGAAAAAGCGCTATCGGACAGATTCAGTGTGGGATGTTGTTGCAAGCTCTGGGCCTGGCAGAGGAAATATATTTGAGCGAATACAGTAGAAGCTGCTAGTATATTTTCATTGTCATATTCTCATAGCGTCTGCCAGTAATTGGGGGTTATCCTAGCTCCAAAGGCAATGTGTAAAACTCCTTCTTGGAACGTCAAAGGCCTTTAAGATGTAGTTAGTGCTGTACTTAACACAGGTAATAGCTATTAGCCTGAAGTATTTCAAGGGTTTAGAGTCATCTCAGAGGAAACCTCAAAGATGAGTTGCACAAAGGAAATCTTTCATGAGGCCTGATGGATCCTCAGGGCTTTCAATGGGATTCAAGAGGCTGAGTGATGGACAGTGTGTGTGTGTGTGTGTGTGTGTGTGTGCATGTGCGTGTGTGTGTATGTGTGCATGTGCATTGTGTGTGTGTGTGAGAGAGAGAGAGACAGACAGACAGAGAGAGAGAGAGGCAGAGACAGAGACAGAGACAGAGAGAGCCATCCTGGCTGCTCTTGATATTGGTGTTGTTAATTGAAGCAAGTTAAAAAAAAAAAAAAGCAAAAGCAAAACAAAACAAAACAAATCTAGGACTCTTTTTCCCCTTTTAGACAAATCCAGATCCAAATGAGGACTTCAATAAATGCGCAGTAGAGGTCTCTAGCAAAGATCTCTTTTAAATACCATAGTTTTTGAAAATGACAGATGCAGATGAAACACTTCAATGTTTAATGTCAAAGTTAATGAAAAATATAATTTGAAGGCAAGAGTGCTACTGGATAATATCTGCAGTAGTGAAGAATTTTAATTCTAGATGAATTCCAATACTTTCGGGGGCTAAGGTGGGAGGGTCACTTGAGTCCAGGAGTTGAAGACCAGCCCGGGCAACATAGTCAGACCCCATCTACACACACACACACACACACACACACACACACACACACACACACACACACAAAATTCTAAGTGACTGTTCCTCCAATTTGCTGAATTTACTCATTCATCAATTTATTCATTTCACAGACCGGTATTGAGTGGCTTTTGTCTGTTAGCATCTGTTGGTCTCTAATGGCTTGAGAATGTGTAAAAATCAAGCACTGCCCTGCAGGAAAAATGAGTCCAGTAGATAATTCAAATAAGTAAATGCTGTATTCTTTTGAGGCTAATATTCAACTTCTTTTTTTGGTAGCCTAAGGGCCTTGGAATCAGAAAGCAAGTATTTATAGAGCATCTTCTCTGTGTGGTCCTAACCCGGGCACAGAGAGGGGGATGCACATATAAATAAGACTTAGGACATAGTGTTTGTCTTCTGAAAGGTAACGGGTTGGAAAGATGCGTTGGATGAGGATATCATGTTGGCAGAGTCTCGTATGAAGGAACCATTTGAGAAATGGCGCCAGAGGTGGATAAGCGTTGGGATATGGAACTTCAGCAGGACCTGGCAGTTGAACACATAACCTGGCATATATGCGAAAAGTCACTCTAAACCAGTTTGTCAGGAGAAAGATGGTGGATGGGAGGCTTCTGGAAGAGAAGGTGTTAATACACCACCTGGAAATAAAGATATTAGGTTGGTACAAAAGTAATTGTGGTTTCTGCCATTAAAAAGTAATGACAAGGCCAGGTGCAGTGGCTCACGCCTGTAATCCCAGCACTTTGGGAGGCCAAGGCGGGTGGATCACCTGAGGTCAGGAGTTCAAGCCCAGCCTGGCCAACATGGTGAAACCCAGTCTCTATTAAAAATACAAAAATTAGCCAGACGCATTGGCGTGTGCTGGTAGTCCCAGCTACTCGGGAGGCTGAGGCGGGAGAATCGCTTGAACCTGGGAGGTAGAGGTTGCAGTGAGCTGAGATTGTGCCATTGCACTCCAGCCCAGGTGACAGAGTGAGACTCCGTCTCAAAAAAAAAAAAAAAAAAAACCTAATGACAAAAACCACAATTACTTTTGCACCAACCACCAGCCTAATATGATTTTATTTTTTATTGTAAAAGTAATACGGTTTAAAAAAAGTGGTTCCAGAGGATATAAAAGGAAGAGTGCTCAGAAATGAAAAATGAAAGTCTTTCTCACCTCCATCCTTAGGCTCACAGTGTAGACTCAACTGAATTTCACTTTTTAGCTCTTCTCTCAGTTACAACCATAAACCTGAATGAAAGACTCTACAACTAACTTTTGATCCATAAATTTTGATGATTAATATTACTGCCTCCTCTCCCTTCTCTTTTGTATTTGTGGATTTATAATACTTACGTTCTCTTCTTAAACCACAAAAATAGGTCTTCTAGGCTTTGACTACTGGTTGGTGGAAAAAGACTTAGAACTAACAGACAGCATTTACAATTGTATGATTATGTAAATATTATTCACTATAAAACTTTGAGTAGTGTGATTAGACCCAAAGAAGCATATGTAACCCTGTTATTAGGGTTGGTAGTTGCTGTGCTAAAAAGCAAAAATCAATGTGAAACAGGACATGGAGGGTGGCAGGGTCCAATCTGATTCCAAGGTTTGAGGGTCCAACAGGGCACACATCTCACTGGCAAGCAATTGTTACTTAAGAATAATACAACAATAATTTTTTCTTCCAACGTATGTGTATTATTTTTTCAAATGGCTACTAAATCGTTAAGACAAAAATACATATTAAACTGTGTGGACCTACGCAAAAAGGACTGTTGGTACTCCTTTTGGATGCTGTTAAAAAATTGCAGGCTGGGTGCGGTGGCTCACGCCTGTAATCCCAGCACTTTGGGAGTCCCAGGCGGGTGGATCACGAGGTCAGGAGTTCGAGACCAGCCTGGCTAACATGGTGAAACCCTGTCTCTACTAATAATACAAAAATTAGCTGGGTGTGGTGAGTGCGCCTGTAGTCCCAGCTACTTAGGCGGCTGAAGCAGGAGAATCACTTGAACCTGGGAGGTAGAGGTTGCAGTGAGCTGATATCCCACCACTGCACTCCAGCCTGGGTGACAGAGTGAGACTCCGTCTCAAAAAAAAAAAAAAAAAAAAAAAAAAGCTAAGTTACTAAGAATGACATGAACTGAGAAAGTTTGGGAACTTCTGACATAATGTTGATTCTAGAAAATTCCTTCTGACTGCTGTGTGGACAATGGGTGGGAGGGATATAAGAGCAGAAGCAGGGAGATGAGTCAGAAGATTATTGAAGTATACCTTTTTTTTTGGTGGGGGGACAGAGTCTTGCTTTATCTCCCAGGCTGGATTTCAGTGGTGTGATCTTGGCTCACTGCAATCTCCACCTCCTGGGTTCAAGTCATTCTCCCACTTCGGCTTCTCAAGTGGATGGGACTACAGATGCATACGACCATGCTCAGCTAATTTTTAAATTTTCTGTAGAGACAGAGTCTTGCTATGTTGCCCAAGCTGGATTTGAACTCCTGGACTCAAGGGATCCTCCCACCTTGGCCTCCCAAAGTGCTGGGATTACAGGCATGAACCACTGTGCCCAGCCTGGACTTCAAGTTTATATGCTGTGTTAGCTTTGTCTTTCCTGGTAACAAATTACACTGATACTTAGTGGCTTAAAACAACAAACATTAATTGTCTCCTGGTTTCTGTGGGCCAGAAATTCAGCAGCAGCTTAGCTGAGTGATCTGGCTCAGCATCTCCTGTGAGGTTGCAGTCAAGGTATAGACTGGGGCTATGATCGTCTGAAGGCTTAACTGGGATGGAGGATCCATGTTTAAACAGACTCACGTGGCTATTAGCAGGAGGCTGAGCCCCTGGCTGTGTGTTGGATTGAGGTATTGGTTCCTAGCCACATGCACCTCTGCATAGGGCTGCTTGAGTCTCTTCGTGACATGCAGTTAGCTTCTTCCAGAGCAACTGATTCAAGAGAGAGAAAGGCAGAAGAAGCTACCCTATCTTTTAGGACCTGGCCTTGGTAGTGAAATACCATCAGGTCTGCCTTATGCTATTGGTCACACAGATCAGCCTGAATCAGTGTCAGAGAAGACTACACAGAGGTATGAACATCAGGAAGGGAGAATTGTCTTGGGCTACTTTGGAAGCTGCATTCCACACAGCAAAATAATAATAATAATAATAATAGTCATTATTATTATTTTCAGACAGGGTCTTGTTACCTAGGCTGGAGTGCAGTGGTGCCATCACGGCTCACTGCAGTCTCCAGCTCCTGGGCTCAAGTGACCCTCCCACCTCAGCGTCTTGAGTAGCTGGGACTACAGGCACGTGACCAAGTCCAGCTAATTTTTTAAGTTTTTGTAGAGACGGGATCTTTCTAGGTTGCCCAGGCTGGTTTTGAACTCCTGGGCTCAAGTGATTCTACTGCCTCAGCCACTAAATAAGCAATGCATTTCACCCATTGCTAGTTATGTCACTGGTTCCGGGGAAGGTTGCAGTTTCTAGGGAGGTGAGTACTTGGGGGCAGCAGCTGTCAGGAGCACACACAACAAAGTGAATTTTGCTCTCAGCACAAGGACTGTTCACCTTTCATGCTACAGTTTTCTTGCTGGATGTATTCCTCCAGGGCTGTTTGGGGTGTCAGTGCAAATGTAAAGACAACCTACCAACTGATTTTGTTTTTCAGAGCATTGAGGCTGAAAACTAGAAGGGTTGTGTTCTTAATGTTCTTAAGGAATTTTTTGACTACCTGACTGGAGCTTATAGATGTCTCAGGGATCATCCCTAACAGCGGCTCTCAACTTTGGGTGCACAGAGGAATCTCTTGGGGGACTTTAAAAAATGCGGAAGCTAGTGTCCCAGAACCAGTAATTCTGAATTGATTGGTCTGGGGAGTAGTTTGGGCAATGAAATTTACAAAGCTTCCAAAAAGCTTGAGAATCACTGAACTGAGAGAGAACCACTTAGAACTTCTTGCTTCTGTGGGCAAGAGGCTGTGAAGATGGAGCATTTCCCATCTCCCAGGTACACAAATGTGTAGAGGGCTACCACCCTCTGAAGGATGGGGTCTGTGCATCTCAGCTCTAAGCAGTGGCTCATTCAATGGTTTCCTTTTTTTAGCTGTTGAATTGCATTTTGGAAATCCAGCCAGTCGAGTTGAAAACATCAATTAGAATCTGTTCTTCCTTGTATTAAAGTTTTATTTTTTTTCTCTTTAGGGCTAAAGAAATTGGTTCTACATTGCTTTTAGACGATACTGACTCGTTAAATGCAATTTCAACGAATGCTAAATTGCTTAATTAGATAATAATATCAAAGAAATTGACCATTATATCTGGTTATTGACTTTTCAGATGGCCTGTATTACCATTTATATTCTTTCCAGTTGGGTTTTTAAGCATGAAAATAATTTATTGAGGGATTGTTCTTAAAAGCTATTTTTAATAGCCTAATGGCTTTTTAATTTTCAAATCGTTTATATTCATCAGCTGTAGCCAAGAAAGGGCTCAGATTGCCTCTCCCTCCATGGCCGTTCCTTCCTCTTCAGTTATTAATTGGTTTTACTTGGATGTAAAGCCATGGGAAGCAGGATTTCCCCCCTATTTATGATGTCAGAAGGGGCACACCATCAAGGAAATGAACTTTGGGCTGGAAGCCACAAAAATAACCTAAGAAAACCCAATGTTTATTGAATAACTTCTCTATGTTAGGCAATTTATGTAGATTGGATTGCTTCTAATCCTTTCAGTCATTCTATAATATTAGCGGTATTATCTTTCTTTTGTAGAATGGGAAATGAGGACTCAGGTAAGTAGAATGTCATCGTCATCATTATCATCGTCATCATCATTATCATTGTCATCATATCTTCCTCCTCCTCCTCATCATCAAGGCTGACACACATTGACAGGAGGTCATGCATCCCAGTTTACTTTGTGTCTCTATATAATTTTTAGTAGTGTTTTTTATCGCTTTTGAAATTACCCCAATTAGGACAAGAGAGTAAGTGATCACTCTGCTTATTGGACACTTGACAGCTGCCAGGCCCTGTGTCAATCATTTCATATGGATGACCATGCTCAAACCTCCCAACAGTCAATGGGTACTTTTATTACCCTTCCTTTATAGATGGGGAAACTGAGGCACTGTAAGTCAAGGTCAAGGTGAAGACACTTGCAAAAGTCACAGAGCTGATTCGTGATGGAGCCCAGCTCTAAGCCTAGGCAGCCTCATTTACTCTCTATTCTCTTTCTGGTACACCAAGCTGAGTATCAATCAATATCACGATTTCAAAAATCTGGACCAGGGTGAAAGTTCCATGAGACTACTTATTGGGCAAAAATAGCAAAAACACTATTATAACCACAGGAACACTGAGTTGTTTTGATGTGGTGGAACTCTATTATGAATAAGCGACAGGAAATCACATTTTCTGTTGTTAGGCTCTGTAGAGGAAACACAGACTCTTTATATTGAATTAGCTAGAAGAACTTGTGCTTTGAAAGCCATGGGGCAGCTGGACAGGATGCACACAATCCTCTCAATTCCTATGAGCTTAATTAGACAAACTCATTGACTGTCAACAGCTATGATTATTTTCCTGGGACCTCAGACTGCCTTAATACAGATATAGCATCCAAAGAAAGGGTGGCTGAGGCTCCTGGCTCCTGTGTGCAGCCACTTATAACTGGAGTGCTATCATGCTGCAGAGGAACCAGGAATGAAGTGGGGTATTTTTGGATGAGGGTGACCAGCTGGGAGGGGAATGAAAGCCAAGTCCTCAGAAAAGCTTGGGAGTGATTTGTGGCTATTAGGTCAGGGGAGAAGAAGGCTTAGAACAGGGAACCGAGAATAGGCACTTAGAATTCAGAGGGTATATCCTATCAGACATATTTTGTACCATCTCAGGGCTATCACTGATGGGGAGATAGTAGCTGCAGGAAACAGCATCATCTCCCTCTCTGCATTTGTTTCTAGCTCCTGAGAGAGAAGATAGTGGTATAACTGGTTGGACTGGGTGACATGTCAGTCTGTCTTTGTAACCTAATTGTGACACTCCTCACCATAAGGCAGTGTGAACATTTACAGAAGACTGTGATGTTGGCTGGGGTCTCCAGTCCCTTGAGACCTAGAGAAGATTGGCTTAAATCCGCATCTGCCCCTCTGACTGTATGAAGTCCTTGCTAAGACTTTTGCAAATTCCTAGAGGCTTACTATGTTACTATGTTTTGCTCTCTACTGGCTGTGAGGCCCTCTTCCTTCACACAGTGGTTGGACCATCTTCTAAGCTGTCTTGCTGTCTTCATTCCACACATAATTAGCTTGAATCAATGGTAGTGTTGCTTAAACAGACAAATTACATTCTTTGCAGAATGAGGTTATGCTGTGTGTTTTGGTCAAGGAAGGGCAGAGTTTTTGTTAGTAGACTTTAGCAGTCTTTCTTGTCTCTGCAAAACAGCCTTTAATTAAACATTAGATATTTTACAATTCTTAAAATGACTTTGGTGATCCATCACTAGGGGAGTTTTGCTAACCTTTGATTATAGATTACTTGCTATTTTAATTTTTTTGCCCCTTTCTTCTTTACTCTTTTTGGGATCAAATTTCTTATATAAGGCATTTTGGCTATTTCCCTTATTGCCCATTCCCTACTGACTTCCAAGTTCTAACACAGTAGTTTTGGCCATGACCTATGGTAAGAAGCATAGCATACCATGACTCAAAACATTTATACAATACTTACTCTTGCTACCTCTGATGCACAGGCTTATTTTCTATTCTATGCAATGTAATGCTATGCTAGCCTATCTTGTCCTATCTCATCACATTTCCATTCCATTTGATTTAAAAATGTTAGTCATGATTCACCAAACTGATTGCAACCCACTGATGTAATAGGACTTGAAATTTTCAAACCACTGCTCCTACTTTTTTTTTTTTAAACTCAAGTGATTTTCCAAGTACTTTTCTGTCACTGTTTTGCTTATGTGAGTCTTAGAATGCGAATCTTTCAAAGACAAGGCCTTGCTTTTGAATTCCCCACACTAACTAGTCTAATTCTAAGCACATAGCAAGGTAAAGTAGATATGGCGTTTATTGATCAGTGGAATGATGGGTCCTCTAAACTTCACTGAAACCAGAAAGGGACTCTTAGGACTGGAAACACAAGGATAGGTGCCCTCTGCAACTATAGAACATTAGCGACTGGGTGGAGTAGCCCTTTGTAAGTCATCACGTGCTCTTCAAAGCCAAGTTTATTTAAACGTGTTTGTTCAGTGGATTTACACTGAACCTCATTGCTGCAGGATTTCCTGCAGAAATTAGAAACACAAGACATACTCCTGACCTCGAGGAGTTCAGGAACTGACAAAGAATTAATTTATAACACAGCAGAATGAATTTATAACAGTGTTGCCTTAGTCTGTGTTGTGTTGCTACAAAGCATCCCTGTATAGCAACACAACACAGACTAAGACAACACTTAGTTGCCTTAGTGAAAACTGGGTAACTTATAAAGAAAAGAGGTTTATTTGGCGCATGGTAACTCAAGACTGTACGAGAAACATGGCACCAGCATCTGCATCTGAGGGCCTCAGGCTGCTTCTACTATGGTGGAAGGCAAATGGGAGCCAGTGTGTCCAGAGATCACATGGCTAGAGAGAAAACAAGGTGGGAAGAGGTGCCAGGGCCTATTAAACAATCAGCTCTTGAGGGAGCTAATAGAGTAATAACTCTCTCATTCCCCCAATTCAGGTCATTAATGTATTCATGAGGAATCTACCTCCATGACCCAAACACCTCTCATTAAGCCCCACTTCCAACACTGGGGATCAAATTTCAATATAAGGTTTGGAGGGGACAAATATCCAAACCATAGCAAATGAGATTAGTGTTGCACTAGAAGCATGTATGTTGTGAAGTTGGAACCCAGATAGGGGGTAGCATGGAGGAGATGCTATTTGGACAAGGTCTTATAGGTTGGATTGGTGTCAGTCAAAGGGAAAAACATTTTAGTCAGAAGAGACAGTATGTGCAAAGGTCACCAGACTTAAGAGTGGATTGCGTTTCAGGAAATGGATGTTGGTTGCCGATGGTTGGAGTAAACGGTGTAATGTACAGGGTGGTCAGAGATAAAAGGCTGGGGTCAGGTTGTAAAGGATTTTGACCTTGTATGGAAAGCTATCCAATGATTATCAGAGGGGAGTGCAGAGAATAGACTCAAGGCAGAGAGGCTTGGGGAGGGCAGCTGGTTGGGAGATGAAGGAACTCTGCTTTCAACATCTGCACCAGCTAGGCAGTGACATCAGGGCATGGCTCTCTTGCTGTGGAATCATTAGTTTCTGCTGTGGCATTCAGGGATGTGCCCTCTAACTAATCAAACTTTGATCTGGCAGTTTCCTTGGAGGGTGTCAGCCAATAGTGGAGGAGTCCTGCATGGCATCTGCCAATCATCCTAGGAGCGAGAGGAGAAGAAAGTGAGATCTGCAAGGTGCTTTGGCTGAAATGATGTAAATATCCAATGGCAGTCTCATGTCGAATGGGTGGCCGATGATCCCATTCATGGTGTAAACTCTCTCAATGATTAGGCAGTGACTATAAACAGCCTGCCCAAATTGGCTTAATCAGATGCAGCCTTGATCTTGCCAAGGGAAGGATGTATATGATCACACTGTGACATAGGGAGAGAAGAAGAGGAATTATTAGTTTGATTGTTCCTAAATGTCCATCACTGGGCACTTAAAAAAAAAAAAAACAGTTGGCCAGGTGCGGTGGCTCACGTCTGTAATCCCAACACTTTGGGAGGCCGAGGTGGGTGCATCAGGAGGTCAGGAGATCGAGACCATCCTAGCTAACATGGTGAAATCCCGTCTCTACTAAAAATACAAAAAATTAGCTGAGTGTGGTGGTGGGTGCCTGTGGTCCCAGCTACTTGGGAGGCTGAGGCAGGAGAATGGCGTCAACCCGGGAGGCGGAGCTTGCAGTGAGCCGAGATCACGCCACTACACTCCAGTCTGGGCAACAGAGCGAGACTCCATCTTGAAAAAAAAAAAAAAAGTCATGCTGAAAGAAAAATAACCTTAATGCATATTAGCCATAATATTACATGGTATTATGCAATATACTACATATTACGTTATGCAAGAACAGTGGACTCCTTTCTCTTCCCATCTCCATCCTGTCTCTCAGTGAACTTTAATTGTGATAAACTTACAGAGGTCCACAGCAAGACACATAATCAAACTGTGGAAGGAAAAGAGAATCGTGATAGTAGCAAAATAGAAATGATTTGTCATGTACAGTGATCCTCAAAAAGATTTCCTGTTTCACATTGATTTTTGCTTTTTAGCCCAGCAACTACCAACCCTAATAACAGGGTTACATATGCTTCTTTGGGTCTAGTATGTCTCAGATCTTCCCGAGAGTTTGGAGGTCAGGCTTCCAGTTTCTGCTTTCTACAGAAACCAGAGAGAGCAGTGAGGGGTGTATCATGCCGCAGCAGAATCCCTGCCTGGCATGCCTCCTTATTTGGGAATGTGGTGCTGGGTTCCCTATTTTAACTTCTACCCTGGGCACCGATGTGATGCTTGTTTGCAGCAGTTCTGTATCTGTTCACTTGCATCACTACCTCCCATGGTCCAAGCTGAGCCAAGAAATGGGGAGAAGATGGGATGGGGAGCGGGGGCTCCATCATCTCACGATCCAGAGCCTTGACCATTT